>NC_000012.12:97763158-98066188 GCF_000001405.40 Homo sapiens | reverse complement strand
TTACATTTCTAGAGTTCAGAAGTCTCAAATCAGTCTTGTGGATCTAAAGTCAAGCTGTCATCAGGGCTTGTTCCTTTTGGAAGCTCTAGGAGAAAATTGATTTCCTTACCTTTTCCAGCTTCTAGAGGCCACCTTCATTCTTTGGCTATTGGCTTTTTCCTCCATCTTCAAAGCTGAAGCATAGCATCTTCCAATCTCTTTCTGATTCTCTGATCTTTGCTTCCATCATTGCATCTCCTCTCACTCTGACCCACCTCCTTCCTACTTTTACTTATAAGGACACTGTGATGACATTGGGCCCACCTGGCTAATCCAGGATAATCCTTAACTTAATCATGCCTGCAAAGTCCCTTTTACTACATAAGGCAACATATTCTCAGATTCTGGGGACTGGGATATGGACATCTTTTGAGGGCCATTATTCTACCTACCACAGGGAAGAGGCCTGGATGGTCAACTCTAGGGCTGGATATAGGAGATTGTCAGCAGCTCCAAATGCCAAGCCAAAGATTCTTTACCTGGATTGGGAATGGGGTGATGAGATGAGTGAGCATGTGTGTGTGTGTGTGTGTGTGTGCCCGCACACATGCACACATATGCACATGCACAGGTTGTACAAAGATAGGGTTCAGGAGGCCCATGAACTCTCTCACATACAGTGAGTCATTCACTCATTTATTTCTGTAAATAATGTTCCTGTCTTTAGATGAGAAAATACATCTCATATGTCTCAGGTGTCAAAGGAAAGAAAGAAGAGCTGGATGTCCTGGATCTTAGAGCTCCCTGGAAGGCTGTGAGCCAGGGTCTCTGCTCATAATCACAAGTTCTATTTCTTTCTTCTTTCTTTTTCCTTCTGGCTAACGTTTATTGAGTACTTACCAGGAGGAGATAGAGAGCTAGATGCTTTGATTTAAGTTGTAATCCTTGCTGCATTTGTTAGCATGAGCCCTCCTGCCGTAACAAATCACAAAATTACAGTGGTTTGACCCCATAGAGGCTTATTTCTTGTTCACATGACTGTCTGATGCCAGAGCTGTGATCTGAGGCTGGCTTTCTTCTGCAGGATGGTTTGCAACTCAGGCTTTGTCTGTGGTGCTGCCCCACTCTCCCCCAGGTCCCCAGATGCCTCTGCATACAGTCAGGTGATTGGGGAAAAGTGTGTGGAGAAGGTTCTCCTGCTCCTTAAAAATATCAGCTTCTCCTGAGACTCAAAATGTGGTCATACCTGACCTCAAAGGGGACTGGGGAATACAGTGTCTGGCTGAGCAGTTTCCTCCCAGTAACAACTCACACTGTGCAAGTTTTGGGGGAGAGTGAGTTTTTGGTGGACATATGTCGTCTCATCCAGCCTCTAAAGAACTCTATTTGGTAATATTATCTCTATTTAATGGTGAGCAAATCAAGGCCCCAAATGTTCTAATAGTGTGACCTGATTAGTAAGTGGCATAATCAGAATTCCTGTACAGGCTTGTCTGAATTTTCTCTGACTGCAAAATCCATCTTTGTAACCAGTGCCTCATGCCAGCACTTGTCCTGATGCAGTGATTATCAACCTCCTTTGTACCTGATAGTCCTCAGGGGGTCAGGTACTCCCCAAAACCACCGGCTCTCAACTCTGTACACCCTTTTCTAGGAGGCAGCTGAGCAACAGCTCCTTGCTCTTCTCCTTTACTGCCTTCTCTTGTTAAAGTCACAGTCCCCTTGTGTGTTTTCACAAGCTCTGTGATCTAGATCTAGATATTTTCTTATCTCCCATCTTTCTCAGTCAATGGCATTGACCCATGATGGTTTGTTTTCTCAAACCTGTTCCCAAAACATTCACAGACATCTAGCCCCAAACATCAGTCATCTTTCATTCCTCCCTGTCCTGCATTCATCCATTTATTTACACTCTGACATTTATTCTGGGGCTACTCTATGCCAGGCCCTGTACAGTCTACTTGGTAGGAATATGACCCAGAACTTGGGCTTATTGCTCATGTTGCCAATTTCAGAACCCAGTGGTGCCAGCATTTACCCTTCTCTCTCTGTTTCCTGTGTTTCCACTGATAAGAGCTCATGCCCTTATCCCTTTTAGGGCACCCAGTAATTTCCTTGATGGTCTCCTACCATATTTATCTTTAGTTACTTTCTTCCATATATTGTCAAGTTAGTCTTTATAAAGCAGAGCCCTTATTACATCAATTTCCAGCTCTAAACCTTCTATGGCTCCTTATTGACTGTAGAATAAGCTCTAAAGTGTCTAATATAACATACAAAACCTTTCACGATCTGATTCCACTTGATCTTTTTAATTTTGTATCCCACTTCTCCCTTTTATGCTTCCCATCCTGATAGAATTACTTACCAATCTCTACACATGCCCTCTCTCTCTCTCTCTTTTTACCCCTCACCTGCACACATATCCTACACATATCCTGTTCTTTCTCAGCTTAAACTCTTTGGTCCAGCACAGTTTCTAGTATGAGTGAGTCTGTGCTGAATAAATACATGGAGAATGAATGGCTAGGTCCCAGCCTGGAATACCCTTCCTGTTCTTTCTGTAGCACATCTAAATCCCACACATAGTACTTTGTGCCTTGGTCATGGCAATACATTCACTGTATGTTATATTTGCTTAATGTATGCATCTTATCACTATTACTAGATGGTGCTCAGGACTGTACATGGTTTCCCCTTACTGCATACCAAACCATTCTTCACCTGCTCAGCAGCTGAGTACAATGTCCTGTACATAGTAGGTCCTCAAAAAATGTGCGTGTATGTGCATGTGTATATATTTATATTAAATGATTAGACCTTACTATAATGTTTTTGAGGATTATAGAGTCTAAATAAGTCACCTACTATAGCCCTTGGCACACAGTAGGCTCTCATCTGGAAACATGTCATGCTAAGGTGTTAATGGCTGATAACTGTGCTGAGCCATTTTTAAAGGGGCGTTTAATAAGGAACCTAAGGAATGAGTCTCCAATTTAGGATTCCTGGACCAAGTGGGAGAGGTGGTTGGGGTCGAAGATCCTCTGATCGTCCTGCATGTGCAATGAAATCCTTAGGGCAGGGAAACCTGTCTGGCACTTCAGAAACAATCCATGCTTGTTGGAATTGACACTGCAGAGGGCAGTGCTCTGGCTACTGGTGGAGCCTGGTGTACAGGGGTGGGGGTGACTGGGTCATTCATCATTCAGCCCAGGGTTAGGCTGAATATTGGTTGGACGAATGCATAAAGGTTTCAGAGCTGGGATGTGAATGAGAACTCTACCGTAGGGCTCTTTGCAATAGTTACCTCTTTGGATACTGCTTCATGAAAAGGTGAGGAAGTACTTAGGGTGCCGGAAGAATATGAAGCTTTATTCTTGCTTCATTTAGTGAGCAGACAGCTCTCTAACTGTGCCCTTCTGATAACCACGAGGGTTCCTATCCTGTTTATTTAATGCCAGTCCTTGGGAGCACTGACACAGGCTGGGGGTTGTGTTTTTATTAGAGACATTAGCCACCAAGGGAGCCTGCTCAGGGTTTCACATGGTTTGCAGCTGAGCAGGAGGCCAGCAAAGTCACCAGACTCCACGTGATTTAAGTAGAGATAAGACTTCAAGCTTTGCTTGTGTTCCCAGGATTTGGCGTGATGGTACAGCTGGGACCGTGCTATCTCGGCTTCCTCTGTTTAGGTAATTGGTGCAGCAGGGAGGGCTTTATTAGAGCAATGGTAAGTTTTTTCCATCGAAGGTTTCCAATACCCAAAATACATTTCACTGACTTTAAATGAATCACTGGATACAATCCAGCCAAGGGAGGCACTTGTCTTCAAAACTCTGTTGCTTAAATTTTTCTGTAAGACTTGGGAAAGGCAGGATTCAAAAACTAAGACACCCAACTCTTACACAGTACAGATATAAACCTCTCTTTTTTGGTCAGTCTTCTCTACAGCTTATCTCCTTTGTATATTTCGGAGTGTTGTCAATTTAAACAAAAAGCCTCACATAGGAATTTATTGTATTACTAAGCCCCTTACCATTGTGTTTCTCTATAATCTGATATATCCCATTCTTACTGCTGCTAATGCTTTCTCTTCACCCTCTGTCATCCCGTACGCAGATGACCCAGTGTTGCTTCAAGTGGAGATGACATATATGGTGTCGTTGATCCTTTCTGCATCTGGGCAGACAGCTCTAACTGATCACAGCACAGTGTATCAATGAGTTGGGCCTTGTATACGAAGTTCTACTCAGGAGGGCCCCAGGCAGCCACCAATGATCAGTGAAAATGAATATGTGAGATAAAACCTATTTTGCCAATTTCACAGTTTCTACTGACTCCTAGAAATGAAAAAGAAGATTTAGTCTTTTACAGTGTTCCTTCTCCTATGCTTTTTTCTCTCAAGATTTCATTTTCTACTTTAGAACTTTAAGTAATGTGGTAAAGTTCTCTTTTTTGTTCGGTTCAGTTTTAGCAGCATTTCTTGATTTCCCACTTTGTAAGAAGAGAGTATTAGCCTTTTTATAGTTTCCTTTGTCTCTCCTTTCCCATTGACTTTTCTTATCCCATGACTTTTCTATTGTCATGCTGTTAACATTTACTCCTGTTCCTTATATAGTGTACCCTGATCACTCTTGATGAGACAGCCCACTTCCACCAATCTATCCTCTTTACCTGACTTCATTTTTCTTTATAACATTTTTACCACTTGAATACTAGATATTTATTTGTTAATTATCTCCCCCCAACTAGAATTTAAATTTCATGAAAGGAGGAAATTTGTGTGCTTTATTTAGTGCTATATCCCTAGCATCTAGAATATTGCTGGTATAGTAAGTGAGGCACTTAATAAGCACCTGCTTAAGTAATAAATGAATTCTAGTCATGCTCCAAATCTCAGCTAGCTTTTATGGAAGAACCAGACCTTTGTGCATGAGGAAGTATCTGACCCTGTGATAGGAAAGGACCATCTCCTCTTCTGGCCCACTAGAGTATTGAGAACTTACATTGAAGGCATTCTCTACCTAGGATCCCATTAAAATAATTCCCTTCTCCACCTAGGATCCCATTAAAATAATTCCCTTAATCATCTAGTTTTAACCTTATAAAGTGTATTGGCTTCCTCAGAAAGTGGAATCCAGAAAAGGCACATTTTGATGGGAAGGAGGAAAAAGAAGAGAAAGGTTCAGAACATGAGGTTGCTCAGGGAGGTCAAAGTGTGGAGATGTGCAGTTACACAGCTCAGTATATAAACTGAAAGGAAAGATAGAAAATCACATTCACTAACTTAAAATCTTTCCTATCAGACCGGCTAATAGCTATTTGTGTAGTTGTAGTGTGCTGGAGAGATGGGCCTTGGAGGCAGACTGGCCTAGGTTCCCCTTTCTGCCACTTCATGGTTGTGACATTGGATGATCTACCCAACTTCTCTGAAAATGAATTAGTGTTATTCATAAAAATGAACCTCTGTTGAATAATACCTGAATATGCCTGCTCAGCTACTCAAGTACAAAATGGAAAGAGTCTCTCGATGTTCTGGGAAGACAAAGAAACAAGGGCTGTGCTTGTTCAGTTATAAATAATGAATGGTTTAAATAGTAAAAGCACTTCATTGTCTCACATGACAAGAAGCTGGCACTAGGTCACTGCAGGGTTAGTTCAGTGGCTCAGCAATGTTAGTGAGCAAAGTCAGAATCTGTTTTGGCTTTTCCTCAAGATTTAAGATGGCTGCAGCAGCTTGAAGGATATCCTTATATGACAGAAAGGAGAGAGAGTAGAAAAGAGTTTTCTCCTCACATTTCTCTCTAATTTATCAGGAAAAATTTCTCCCAGGAAGTCTCTAACAACTTATGTTTATGCTTAGCTGAAAGGGACTGTGGGAAATTAGTATAAGTTATTTCAAGCCACCATCATGGAACCAGGCTCTGCCTATATGTTGGACAACTAAGGAATGTTTACTTCACAAATCAACCAGCTAAAGGAATATGTTTTTGGAGTGGGTATTTTCATTCATCTTCAACATGCAGTGTTGACTAGGCAACAGTAGAGCATACTAGAACATCTTAACATAATTCTGAAGAGTAAACTCTTAATAATCAAGGCTACTGAATAAGAGTTACCATTTCCTACTATGTACTAGACACTTAAACATATTTACATTTTTCCAACATCTTATAAAGTGCATAGCATTATTCTCCTAATATAGAGATCCAGAAATGCATACCAAGTTGCCCCAGCCACTTGTCTTAGTTTATTTTGTGTTGCCATAACAGAATACCTGAGACTGGGTAATTTATAAAGAAGAGAGGTTTACTTAGGTCATGGTTCTGCAGGCAGGCTGGAAAGTTCAAGGGCATGGCCCTGGCATTTGGCGAGTGCTTTTATGCTGCGTCATAACACAGCAGAGAAGGTCAAACCAGAAGTGGACACATGGTGGAAAGAGGTAAAACCCAAGGGGCATCCTGGCTTTATAATCACCCACTCTCATGGATACTAATTTATTCCTGATGGAACTAATCCAGTTTCCTCAGAGCCAGAGCTCTCACTACCATGAGAACAGCACCAAGCCATTCATGAGGGATCTGTCCGAATGGCCCAAACACCTCCCCACTAGGCCCCATCTCCCAACACTAGGGATCAAATTTTAATATAAATTTTGATAGGACAAAGAAACTATATCTAAACCACAGCAGTCCCCTACTTAGTAAGTGGCCCAGGTAGAAACTGAAGCTAGATTTTACTGACTCCTGCATTGGTACTCTTGTCTCTATATTCTCCAAATGTCTACCTACCCCAGCCAGAAAAGATGATCTCCCTCTCAGAAGCAGTGAAATGGCCAAATTATTGCCCCTGAGGTTCTTTCCAACACAGTCATGTATGAAGTGAGCTTTCTTTGAAGGCTTTAATGATCTTTTAGTTATTTTTATTTTTCTCCCATTGGCCTAAAATTATTTTTATGAAAAAGTATGCTTAAGTATGATTCAGTGATTCTGAATACTTTCTTTTTTTTCTCCCATGTTTAATTTTTCTCTCTGCTCCACTCTTGTTTGCATCTCCTGTGTCTGAATAAAGCCAAGGCAGTTCTTTGGATGTCAATCATTTTGAAGGGCGACTTTCTTGCATGACTTGGTAAGATCTGAAAGGAGGATAACCACAATGGAGAGGCTGTGGTGAGGCATCCCCAGGCAGCTGGCAGTCTTCAGCATCCAAATGTAATTGCTCTATTTTATTCACCACAGCTTGCCTGCTGTGTTCATCAGACTGCCCAGTGGAACAGAAGGTAATCAGGGCTGTGACGATCTCAGAAAGTCAGGCACGCACAACCAAAGTTAAAAATATGTAAAAAACAAATTACTTAGATGTAATTTGCTCTCATAGAACCCAATTTCTGGATAAGAACAAGAGGAAACAGTGCAAAACTGGGGCATTAAGATTCATCTTCTCCAAAGAAAATTCAGGGAGAGCTGTGAACGTTTAATAACTTCAGTATCCAGCCGCCCATAGTAAGTGCTTGCTTAATGCATAGACAAGACAGGGAGATTCAGAGAGAGGGCAACCCAAGGCATTTCCATTTCATTTAAAAAACTCTTTGATCTATTTCAAAATTTAGGATTTTGCTTTTGACTTTGCTAGATAAAGTTGGAGTAGAAATGAATTATTCATATGAAATATTGCCTCAATAACACTGCATCAAATAAACATAATGAAAAGCTGCCCATGTTATATAAGGGAAGCTAAGTCACAACTCTTTTGAATTGCAAAGTTAAGTACTCGGGGCTAGACTCTTCTCCAACATTATTCTATGGAGGAATCCACTTAGGAGGATGTAATGCTCAGATCTTTTTTAATTCTGGTCAGTCATGCATTTGTGGTTCATGGGTTTAAACTACAGTTGTAACCATGGTGTTACTAACGCTTGTAGTCCTCATCTGTCCGTATTCCATGCAAGTCACTGGAGGCCGGAGAGCAATTTCTGTGACAATGTATCCACTACCACTCCAGCATTTTAAGTGCAGCATAGAAATATGGTAACAGGTATTCTCCCCCTCCCCAAGAATTGTGCACATTGTGATGTTTTCAACAACGCCAAAGCATACCCGTATCCATAGCTTGGAGGGAAAACTTTAAAGCAAATAGCACCCTCAGTGATCAGCAATGTTCCTTTTTAAACAATGTTTTCACTAACAGATTAAAAGAGAGATGAATAAACTAAACAAACAGTACATGTCAGGGGAATTGAGCTCTGCTGAAATTCAATAGATAACACTTGAATTTTTGCTGACAATTCAACTCTAAAGAATTGGAGTTCAATAAAGGTGTAGGAAATAGCTGAGTCAGCCCTGGGAAAAATGGTGAGGAGAGCAGAATTTGTCTTTGGTGTGGCCCTGATCCCTGCCTTCTATCCTTTGGATGCTTAGGGTCCTACAGAAGCAGGCCCATCACATTGAAGTGGGTGTTCAGTGGTTCCTAATCACTGACTCACGGTTACTGAGGAGCTTTGTAAAACTGGATTTCTGGATCACATTTTAGATCTAAATTGGAGTCTCGAGAGTTGAGAAGCTCCCTGTGCTTCCTAAGGAAGTCTGATGCTCAGCTGGCTCTTGGGACGACTGGTGAAGTGAGTGTGTTGAGAGCACAAGCATTGCAGTTGGCCTGCAAGGCAATGTTGGGCAAAGCTGTTGTTATGAACTGAATGTATGTGTCTCCTAAAACTCATATATTGAAGCCTTGACCCCTAAGGTGACAGTGTTGGGGGTAAATTTTTTGGGAAGTAATTAGGTTTAGATTAGATCACAACAGTGGGACCCTCATGGTGGGATTAGTGAGTGTCCTTCTAAGAAGAAGAAGACGACGACACAGGAGAGCTCTCCAGGGTTTATTTTTAGAGCAAGAGAGCACCTCCCACAGAGCCCAGCCAACAAGAGACCTCAATAAACACTAGATGTTCTCTTTTAAGAAGCAGTATCACAAACCTAAAATAGCAAATATAGTGCTTTTTATATGGTCTGTGCTCACTAAATTACATTTGTCATTAATACTATTGTATTCTTAAATGTATATATAATTTATATTATAAAATTTCTGACATTGTTATAATGTTATATTTATATATTTATTTAATATGCCAAAAGTGAAATCAAATCAAGTTAAAATTTTTAAAAGTTTGTTATGCATACAAACAAACAGTTTAAGAACTGGGAGACTTTGAACAAAAAGTGGTAAGAAGCCTGGCTTACAGTAGTTACAGCACAGCCTATAAAGCATAAAGGAGGAAGTATTTTGGACTTCTTTGTGATTCGTTCTTATACATTAACGTTCTTTTGAAGGCAAATAGAGCAGTTTAAGCTCATTTGTCCATAGGTGATTGGTTTAATTTCACTGAATTATGCCAACAAGGATAAAAAGCTCTCATTTTGTGTTTTGCTTCTAATTAAAACTAGTGTTTTTGGGAAATCACGATGACTGAAGTTTTGGCTACATGGCCATTAGTGGTTGGCCTTCGGATATCAAAATTGTGGCCTCTGTTTTTATTATTTTTTTAAACAAATATAAAATGTCATTTGAGTCACTAGTACTGTCTCATTGTTTCCTTGGGACAATTTTTAGAGACAGGATCAGCAGGGGTTATTGTTCTCATTTTATAAATGAAGAAACTCAGTCTCAAACTGGAGCTGCCCAGGACTCTAGCACCAGTAAGTGGCTCCAGCTTCTATTCCATGCACCTTCCCCTCCAAGTCATGACACAGATGACATACTGGGCTCAACTCTCACAATCATCTTGAGAGACAGCCACTGCTAGTACCATTTCACAGACCCAGAAACGGAGGCAGAGCAGCTCATGACTATCACTTGGGCTGCCATAACAAAATACCCTAGGGTAGGTGGGTTAAACAACAGACATTTGTGTCTCACAGTTCTGGAGGCTGGGAAGTCCAAGATAAAGGTGCTGGTAGATTAGGTGTCCGGCAAGGGCCTTCTTCCCACATTGTTCACGGCCACCTTCATCCTGTGTGCTCATGTGGCCTTTCCTTGGTGTCTGGACATGAAGGGAGGAAAGCGCTTACTATGAGGCAGGCCCAGTTCTAAGGGCTTTACATATCACAACTACTGAAGTGTCCTTACTATAACTGCCATTTTACAGATGAGAAAAACGAGACCCAGAAAAGTTAAATAACATGCCTTACCTCACACATTACGTGCTGGAAATGTGATTAGAACGTAGGCATTCTAGCTCTATAATTAGTTTTAATCCACCATTCTAAACTGTATTTATGATAGGATTTTTTTGTTTGTTTGTTTGAGATAGTCTCACTCTGTCACCCAGGCTGGAGTGCAGTGGTGCAATCTTGGCTCACTGCAACTTCTGCCTCCTAGGTTCAAGCAATTCTCCTGCCTCAGCCTCCTGAGTAGCTAGGATTACAGGTGCCCGCCACAAAGCCCAGCTAATTTTTGTATTTTTAGTAGAGATGGTGTTTCACCATGTTAGCCAGACTGATATCGAACTCCTGACCTCAAGTGATTTGCCTGTCTTGGCCTTGCAAAGTGCTGGGATGATATGAAAATTTTAAAATAACATAATGCCTAATAAATACTTGTAAGATAAATGACTTAAACTTCCTTAGAACTTTGTGTCTTCTGGGAAAAGCTCCCTCAGACCCAGATAACTGCCTGGCCTCCCTTTCTCACTTTTCTTAGTGGATCCTAGGTAGAATACTGTGCTTAGCTGTGGGTAAGGTTTCGACCGGCAGATGGCATTTCCCCTTCTCTCCATTTTTCTCCCTGTATTCCTCCCTCCTTTTTTCCTCCAAAGTTATTTACAGAGTATGTGCTCTATGTCAGGCATCATGCTAAGCTCTGAATGTTCAACAGTAAACAAGATGACATGCCTTTTGCCTTTGGAAAACTAATGTTCTAGTGAGGAAGAGAGGAGCATAATACGTAATTGACAAATATGTGTGATAAGCACAAGGCCTGGGGAAATGCAGGATGTGTCTTGGAGTGCAGGGCTGGGCGTCCTAAGGGTCAGGAAGATGACCTTGAGGACGTGCCATCTAAATTGAGACTGGAAGTGTGTGCTAGCCAGGTGATGGGCTTGTGGGTAAAGCCTTAGGAGACAATGTTTCAGGCACAGGAAATAGTATGCGCAAAGGCCTAGAGGCAAGATAGAGAGTGGTTTATTGTAGAAACTGAGAGACATGGTCTATGCCTAAGGTTTAATATTTCCAAAGAGGTGACTGGAGAGAGGCAAGAAGGGAGAAGTTAAGGAGAGATGAGATTGTAAAGAGTTTATGGTAGAGGTGATAAAGGGTTTGAACTTCATGCTCAGAGCAACAGGGAGCTATTAAGGGTTTTCAGCACGGGTGTGGCATGGTGAGGTTCATATTTTGGAAAGACCACTCTGGTGACAGTCTACAATAATAATTGGAAGGCAGCAAGGATGGAGGCAGAGAGAGGCATAAGGAAGTTTCTGCAGTCACCAGATGGCAGATGGCTGTGGCCTGGACCAGGGTAGGCCTATGGGATGAAGAGATATTTAGGAGGGATGGTCAACAAGATTCAGTGATAATTTGATGGGACGGGTGACTGATATCCCTCAGGAAACACTCTTTAGGTGGAGCATTAAGAAAATTGAGCACATTTAGTCTGAAGAGGTAGAGGGAAGGGAAAACATGAGAGAGATTTTCAAATATTTAGTGCAGTATAGCTGTTAAAATGTTTTGATTAGTTTTATTGTCTCCATTTGAAAGAGTGACCAGCTAAGAGTACAACAATTAAAACATTATGTTGACAAAATATAGTAAGTAATGACATTCTGTGAAATACATGCCTTGCATTGTGGAGTTTGAAGAGGCCTGGGACTGTTTATCAGCCCAATTATTCTCCACCACAACCTCGAGGTGAGAAAGAGTTAGGAGAGCAGCTGAGCTCCACCTATTCAATGTTTCTGTCGGGCACAGAGGGGTGCTTCTAGACTGAACAGAAGTGAATGCATGGCTTCAGATAGTAGGATTAAAATTATTATACAAGGAGGCAGACATCAGCAAGGCCCAAATAACTTCTGACAGTTGTCTGGCAACTGTTTTAATAAGGTGAGCTCCTTACTTGTGGATATGTTCAAGCGGATCTAGCCATGTATCTGTGATGTAGGGGTTTCCTGTTGAGGGCCAAGTCACAGAATCTCTAGGATCCCTTGGGATTGTCCATAAATAAAGGATTCTAAGGAATTCTGTTCCTTACTCCCCAGGCCAAGCATCCATTTCTCATTCGTGGCTATACTATCCCAAGCCAGTATGAAGTGCATAAGATTATTATTATAGGAGCTTTGAGAGTGTTTCCGAAGAGTATCATTGCTTCTGTCATTCTGGAATTTGCCATCTTATCCTGCATTACCCCACAGTCTCTAGATATTGTTTTTACTTTTCTAAAAAAAAAGTGGAATGAGAATTCACATTTTAACAAGTGAAAGCTACCTCACTATGTTTTTTTTTTTTCAGAGAAATTTGTTTTATAATTCAATGCATGATTACAATTTGGGGAAAAAATAAGAAAAATTCAAAGGAAAATATTATATCAATCCTGCCTCTAGCTAGACTACCTAACAATAAACAGGCAGAGAATTAATCTGATGTGTGGCTCAAAGTGAGCGTGAGTTATATGTGTTGTTTACAATTCCTTTTGAGAGCACTTACATGCTCTTTATAATAAGAACAAATGGCTACTAAGGACCCTCCTAAAGCTGTCAAATTCATTTTACTTATGTCCAAGTTTTTACTTAAGTTTGCTAAGTAAATAGAAGCCAGTTGGCCCATGTGCACCTCCCTTCCTTAGGGTTATGCTTTTAAAAGCATTTTCAACAGGAAATAAGTTTCATTAGTGCTTGGAAAATAAATTGGTGAGGTGACAGATTCTGTGATTTGACGGAAGCTCAATTATAATTGTATAACATAATACAGCAAGTGCAGATGAAATCCTATTAAGGTCTGGAAATCTAATATCTCATCTCTATGACTTTTAATTGATCTTTACACTTATTATCATTGCAGTCAAATATTTGAGCTGATTCCAGTACACATAAACAAATGTAAGCATATTAACTCTGTTAATAATTTTAACAAGTAATCTGTATTTCCCCTTAGATGGTCTCCAGTTTTGCCTTGGTATAATTAAAGATATCATCAGTGATAAGTCTCATGTGTTATTTAAAGTATGCGTGCATTGAAGTCTTGCTTTTATCATTAACTACATCATGATGTAAGCTGCGCAGCCATCATTAAAAAAATTAGACCTCTTTCTCTGAAGCAAACTTGGATGGGGAAGGAGGCCCCGTGGGGAGGTGTAGAAAGTCTGAGTTCTAGTCTTGACTTTACCACTGAAATAAGCCAAGTAAGGTCTTTCTTTCTAATCTTATTTCGAAACTTCCAGTAGTGCCTCACTCTGATTTCTGTGAGGAAGATACTAGCTCCCTCCTTTGCTAATAACTGTCAGTTGGATAGAAAAACTGTTGCCTTCGTGTTCATTTTTGCTCAAGTTTCATGCAATGGGATAGTGTAAGCCCAGATATGTGTGGGGAGCAAGTGGTAAGGGAATGTGTTTCTCTAGCTCATCGTTACCTCTGCACCTTCAAACCCAGTGCCTGGCATGTGTTTAAATTACATTTGTTGAATGAGTGAGTGAATGAATAAATGAATTCTAGTCATGCCTTCCTGTGGACATGGATTGAAGGGATTGGCAGGGCTCCCCCTTCAATATCCCTTGTGGTATTACACTTAGGCTAGATGAAAACAATGTTAAGTTACCCCTGGAAGTACACCTTCAATGGCACGACACCAAATGCCTTCTTTCATCCTTAATGAAATGGAAGCAAATCAGAGCAAACCACTGCCTCCCAGACTGCCCCTTATACCTGCTTATTAAGGAAAGCACAGTGTGTAGATGCTCCTGTTAGTCAAAAGCAGGTAGAGACTTAATTTGTTAGTTTCTAGCTCACTTAAAGGGGGAACTATTTGTGTGTCAGACAAATATGACATTTGAGACTGTTCTTTGGGTACTCAGAGAACATTAAAATCTCAACCATGCTGTAAACAAAAACAACTTTTAATACTAGCTATGACTAATCCAGCATTTTTGTTCATTAGGTAGAACAAACATTCTGATTTACAATCAAATATCTAAAATTACCATGAAAGCCTGAGAAAAATCCTCCCTGGCATGAGGTCTTATTTCGGCATATGGAATAGACAAGATTTATTCCTTGATAGACCGTCTCCATGCACAAGTGATCTTAGTAAAGTCTTTTCAGAGTGACTCTTAGCAAATGGGTGGCTTATGCTAGGGTTTATCTGTTTAAGTTCATCACTTTCTGAAATTGTCTTTGCATATATTAGCATGTCGGTTCATTTTTATTTCACCAATTATTTGTTTCTTTTAATGGGGGATACTCTGCTCCTCATTTCCTCTGATTGCTTTAGAAACGAAGTGCCCTTTTCTTCTTTACGTCCTTTGAAAATGAATAAAATTTCCTGTACATTAAAAAAAAAGTAGCAGAGTGCTAATAGCATGCCTTCATTAAGGGCAGAAGGCCCATGGAAAAATTATTAGTGCTTTTCCTCCTGCATTAAAGACTTCTAGAAAGAAGATGGAGAGAAGTTGTTTGAGAGTATTAGAGATTCCTAAAGTGAATGAAATCAACTTCAAGGTGACACCCACTTCTCTCTCAGTTTAGTGACCTTTTGCTTCGTTTTTCTTGTTTGCACAAGCAAAGGCTTTTGACATATTCCCCAAGACCCTTAATTCCTCTCTATTTGGCACATTACCAGCAACATTAAAAAGAGAGAAAGAGAGAAGCTCTCATTTTATCTTTGAGCTGCTTAAATATTTATGTTCTAATTTGTTATTGACTTCATGTGAAGTTTTATCAAAATATAGATAGAAAAGTTTAAAGATTGCTCCTGGGAGAGCACTTAATCCATTTAAAAATAAATTTCTAATGGCCAGATTTTCTAGGCTTAAAATATGAAGCTATGAAGGAAAGCAAAACCAAACAGGCCCAGCTTATAGGCTGACATTTATAGACAAGGATAAAGGAAACTTGGTAATGAAAATGCTAATCAAATATCATTGTGAATGCTCATTTTTAAAAATATTTGATGGAAGCCTTTACTAGATCTCTATTTTAATTATGTTTCATTTGCAAAAAATGAAACATAATTAAAAAACACCCTAGGGTAAACTTTTGAGGATGGGCCTTTGTTGTACTTTACCTCCTATTTCTATCTCTTGTGTACTTATGTTTTCATAGCCATCGAATATGTTAATTCTTTCAGAAATATCTACATGTTTAATGCAGGGAGTGAGCAATATGAATAGCAAAGAACTAAATGTCTAATGGTGAAATTTCAGAGCACGAGAATAAGGAGTTATTTATTTATTTGTTTATGAAAGAGTCTCACTCTGTCACCCAGGCTGGAGTGCAGTGGTGTGATCTCGGCTCACTGCAACCTCTGCCTCCCAGGTTTAAGTGATTCTCCTGCCTCAGCCTCCTGAGTAGCTGGGATTACAGGCGTGGGCCACCATACCCAGCTACATTTTGTATTTTTGATAGAGACAGAATTTCATTATGTTGTCCAGGCTGGTCTTGAACTCCTGATGTTAAGTGATACACTGGCCTTGACCTCCCAAAGTGCTGGGATTACAGGTATGAGCCACTGCACCCGGCCAGGAAGGATAAATTTAACCAGATCATATACATATATTTTCTTTCAAATCTAGCCATATGGGCACCAATTCCTTGATCTGTGCTTGAAGATAGATGTACTATCTTTCTCTGTTATGTACCTCCTGTCACTACTACCTTTATGACCTAACTAACATCCTCCTAACTGGAGACATTGCTGACGTTATGTTTGTGACCAGAGTTCTTACAGCAATGAGTTACCTCTTGGAAAGAGAAAGAACCTTCTCTCATGGAGGAGATTGTAGCTGCCTCAAAATTGTAACCCACTAGGATTTATTTTATGGGTAAAAAGTAGTCTATATTTTAATTATTTTATACAGACTAGATCCTGCCTTGTGTATTTGGATTGCTAGGGGTTTTTCTTATTTGCTTAAATCAGAGTATCCCATATTTTAAACCTCAGATCAGGCCCAGTTCACAGACAATGTTCATGGGTGCTCAAGCATAAACTTGAAAGAAAGTAAGAAGAAAAGAAAGAAAGAAGAAAGAAAGGAAGAAGGGAGGAAGGAAAGAAGGAAGGTAGGAAGGAAAGGAGGAAGGGAAGAAGGGAGGGAGGGAGGGAGGGAAAGGAGCTCTGTGTACCCCTAGATTCTTGTCTTGCCTCCTGGAAGTGGATATAGCCTCTCAGGGAATAGACAAGGCTCTTGCTAAAGAGATAGAGGCAGAAAACAAACTTTCATGACTTCTTCATGGAATGCATGCCCAGTCCCTTCATATCCACCAAGCCCTGGCTCAGAGCTAGATGTGCTTCAGTCAAAAAGACAGGCGTAGCTCCTGTACTTAAAGATGTCTCACCTTTTGACACACCCCTTCTACAAGTTATGCCTTCCTGAACTAAGTACAAATGGGAGAATTTTCCACAAAGAATAGGAGATGGCTTCCAGATTGTGGGCTGTGGGTGAGCAGAGCCTCTAGAGTCCCTCCAGTTTCACTGTGAGTGATTTAATGGTATGGTAGTGATGATTGTTTGCCTGTTGAGAGTGGAGACCACTGGGTATTGGTAAGTCCTGAGAAGAGACTTTCCAAGCCTCTTGTACCACCTGCATGCAACCTCATCTAATATCCAAGTTCTGGTATAATTTCTTACTACCCTACCAGGGCCATGTCTTATAGTCATCTCAGGCATGAGACATGTGAAATGTATTAGGGTTCTCCAAAGAAACAGAACCAATAGGAGATACACATGCACATGCACACACACATATGCACACATGCATGCATACACACAAACAAGAATTGGTTCATGCAATTATTAAGCCTGAGAAGTCCTATGATTTGTCACCTGCCATCTGTATGCTGGAGACTCAGGAGAGCTGGCAGTGTAGTTCAAAGGCCTGAGAGATGAAGGGCTGATGGTATAGATTTCAGTCTGAGTCTAAAGGCTTGAGAAGCAGAAAAATGGAGAGCAGGAGAAGATCCATGTCCCAGCTCAACAGTCAGTGAGAGAGAGAGAGAGAGAGAGAGAGAGAGAGAGAGAGAGGGGGGGGGGGGAGAGAGAGAGAGAGAGAGAGAGAGAGAGAGAGAAAGAAAACACCCAATCTTACTCCACTTTTTGTTCTGTTCAAGCCATAAGTGAATTGGATGATGCCCATCCATACTGGGGAGGGCCATCTGCTTTACTCAGTCTACCAATTCTAATGCCAATCTCTCATGGAAATACTCTTACAGACATATCCAGAAAAAATGTTTATCAGATATCTGGGCATCTCATGGCCCAGTCAAGGTGATACGTAAGTTAGCCATCACATGCAGTTACTTTGAAACTGTGCATGGCTACTGATTGTGGCCTTGGAGAGACTGAGTATGGCAGGTCTGGCCCAGGCCACATGCAGCTTTCAAAACTTCCATCTAAGGGGAAGATAGTGCCACTATGTTGCATGTCTCCAGGAAGTACCAAAGTGAAGGGTACCTCCTGGTGACTGGCAATGCTCAGTTTGCACAGCCATATGTAGTGACAGATGCTGCCATCAGAATTGTGCCAAAGGAAGATCACAACAGAAATAGATGATGCTGAATTGATACACTAAAAAAGAACAGCCAAGTGTGGTGGCTCACACCTGTAATCCCAGCATTTTGAGAAGTTGATGTGGGAGGATCATTTGCCAGGAGTTCAAGACCAGCCTGGGCAACACAGTGAAATGTCATGTCTACAAAGAATTAAAAAAAAAAAGTCGGGCATGGTGGTACATACCTATATTCCCAGCTACTTGAGAGGATGAGGTGGGAGGATTGCTTGAGCCCAGGAGGTTGAGGTTGCAGTGAGCCAAGATCACACCACTGCACTCCAGCCTGGGTGACGGAGCAAGACCCTGCTTCAAAAAAAAAAAAAAAAAAAAAAAAAAAGAAAGAAAAAAAAGAAAAAAGGAAGAATGTTGGAAATATGTTACTTAGTAATATGGAGGCAAATAACTAAAAAAGTAGCTAAGAGTCTGAAAAGGTTGCTTCTAGAAAGTGGGACTGGGATTGGGAGGTGGGTTGAGGGAGATGCCATGTTCATTTGTCATTTTAAGCCTTGTGTTGTTACTTGATTTTTATAAGTCAAATGTATGTGCATACATAAACAATTCTACAGACATATACATATATATATATATATATACAGGCATGCATGTATGTCTATGGATGTACATGCATGGATGTGTGCATGTGTGCATGTGTATATGAACATGCTGATATGGTTTGGCTGTGTCCCTACCCAAATCTCATCTTGAATTGTAATTCCCACAATTCCTATGTGTCATGGGAGGAACCTGGTGGGAGGTGATTGGATTATGAGGGTGGGTCTTTCCTGTGCTGTTCTCATGATAGTGAATAAGTCTCACAAGATCTGATGGTTTTAAAAATGGGAGTTTCCCTGCACAAGCTCTCTCTTTGCCTGCCAGCATCCATGTAAGATGGGACTTGCTCCTCCTTGCCTTCCACCATGAGGGAGGCCTCATGGTTGTGAGGCCTCCCCAGCCACATGGAACTGTAAGCCCATTAAACCTCTTTTTTTCCCCCAGTCTCAGGTATGCCTTTATCAGCAGCATGAAAACAGACTAATACACATGTGCACGTGAGTGCATGCACACATACACACACACACACACATATATGTGTGTGTGTATATATATACGTGTATATATATGTATATACATGTATGTATATGTATATATATACATATATACGTGTATATGTATACGTATATACATACACATATATATGCTTCTTAAAGAATGAGGGGAAAATAACCCTGGGAACTGTGGATCTGCACTGGAACAGGGAGACCAGTTAACAAACAACTGGTGACCCTTGCAATGATTTAGGGCTAGAGAAGACTCAGGCCTGAACCCAGCAAGTATCACTGGGAATAGAATCTGGTGATCTGAGAGATGCTACAGAGGTGGAAGAAGCAAGCCTTGGTGCTCACAAACACAGTCTGAGTGATGCCCTAAGCCCTCACATACCTTCTCTATCTGACCCTCTCTCCATCTCTCTCCCCTTCAGTGAGAAGAGGTGAGTTGGAACAGGGGAAAAGAGAAGGAAAGCGGGCAGTTGGAAAGCAACCAAGACCCACAGTTCATGCTGCTGGCACAGGGTACTTATTTCTCCCCTTTCTGTGGGTGCAAAATATCTTCCCCATTCTGGAGCAGAAATGTGTGATTCACAACTGTTTTTATCATATCTATTTTGTACACTTTCCCCAAGTATACAGATGTGTACAATGATTTGGGTGTATATGTTGGCTTTCTTTAACATTTCTTCACTTTATTTCCTCTATTTTCCTATTTATTAAAAATTATTTTATACTCTTATAGAAGTGGAGTCTTGCTATGTAGACCAGGGTGGTCTTGAACTCCTAGCCTTGAGTACTCCTCCCACCTCGGCCTTCTAAAGTGCTGGGATTACAGGCATGAGCCACTGTGCCTGTCTTAATGTAATGTATATTTGTTGTATATGTGTGTATGTTTGTGTATTTGGGAAGGAGAGGTGGGTGGGGAGAGGATGAGTTGTTTAGGGGACCTGAGCTTCATAACAAAACATTTTTATTCCATTGAATAAAGGATATCTATATTATTTATTCTATCTATCTATCTTCCTTCCTTCTATTTATCTATCCATCTACCTTTTCTGCCGAGATATTGTCTGTATTACTGGCTCACCATTATAGTTTCTTTGGGGGAACTCTATGTTGAAGTCCCAAAATTTGACCCATATCAGTTTCCAATGGAGCAAAAATCAGTTCTGATGACCTTGTTATGTCAAATATTAATTGAGAGCTTCTGAGCCAGATATTGTGATAGCTCTCTAAATACTCATTCCAACCTCTTTTCCCTTGCTCCTTTCACAGAAGTTGCAAAGATCACATTTTCAGACTGCCTAGATGTTATGGGTGTCCATGAAATATCATTTAGACCAAGGAAACATGAATAGGAAGCCTTTCTTGAGACTTCTGAGAAGGTCTTTGCTTTTGTGATACAATGGACAACCCCATGCCTTTATTCTACAGTCTTTCTTACCTTTTTCTGCCTAGAATAAAGATACGATGGCTGGAGCCTTAGCAGCCAAGACATGATCATGCAGTAAAGCCACGAGAATTAGACACCATGGCTCTAATATCCATCGCCCAAAAAATCAACACTGGTAATTACTCTCAGAACTTGTGTTTAAATGCTGTCACTTGGGTTATCTAAGACTTGCAATGGAATGGAACCCCTGAGTAGTATAGGCAGACATTGGGAAAATAGTGGAAACAGAACATGATTGAGTGTCGGGCTCGTGGTTTTGTGGGCAGAGCAACTCTATAGGAGTTGAAGACTTTAAGCTGTGTTCTCCACAGTGATACCTTAAGAGTTCAGCGCTCATTTCCTGCCTGAGGAACCTGGAGCATAGAGATTTTATGAAACATGCCTCTGGCTATTAATGCAGAATCAGTGGCAACTCTAGTGTTAGTCCTGCAGGCTGGAGATAAATTATGCTCTGTCTCCACCAGACCGAATATTTACTAAAACAGCATTAATACCTATTTATATTTTTCTATCAATATTTCATAAATTTGAAGAGAAACAGCTTGAAATAATTCAGATTATTTTTTTCTCTGTGTGCGCTTTCAGAGACATCAATTATTGTGGGTATACCTTCAGCATAGCCTAAAGCTGCAATAAATTCTGTAATTCTAACTTGGAAGATTTTAGAAATGCTAATAGTGAGATGCCTATGAATTATTACTCTTGATTTAACACAGCATACTCCCCTCAAAAATAAACAAAATCTTTATTCAATTTAAGAAGGGGTGATAACCTTTTGGCTTGGGTTGGGGAAGGTGTGAGTGGGAGTTACGGGGGTGGGTAGGTGGACTTACTGTTTTAAATTTGAATTCTCACTGAAAGAACCATATTGATAGGTGAAAAAAGACCTTCAGTACAATTTCTTTATATTTTTCTAAATATTTTACATTTTCTAACTCATCTGATTCTTACAAAAATATTATTTGGCAAGAAGTTTGATTATAACTATTCCCATTTGACAGATGGGAAACCAAGTCATAAAGTATTTTTTTTTTTCGATAGGCTTGGGTGTGGCTTCCAAGTGTTTCGGGAAGATACAACTCCATTCAAAATTGGTGCAAAAATGGAAATCCATTATGCGTGTCTGCTACCTTGCTGTCCTTTAAGGTTGGCAATAAAAAAAATAACTTGACCAACTGCCCTTTATTCCAGTCTTAATAACAAAAATATCTAAAGAATGGAAATGCAGTTAGCCCTCTGTATCTGTGGGGTCTGCATCCAAGGATTCAAGCAACTGTGGATCAAAAATATTAAGAATAACAACACAACAGTACAAAATAATACAAAGAAAAATAATGTAACAACTATTTACATACTATTTACATTGTATTAGGTATTATAAGTAATCTAGAGAAGATTTAAAGTTTGTGGTAGGATGTGCATAGATTGTATGCAAATACTATGCCATTTTAAATAAAAGACTTAAGCATCCACAATTTCAGTGTCCACAGGGGTTCTGGAACCAATCTCCCATGAATACGAGGGATGGCTGTGTTTGGGAATCTATTTATATTTCATCCACATTGAGCTAGGAGAGGTAAGGAAGGGAATGAAGAAAGGAGGGAGAAAGATGGGTTGTAGCAAGTATTGAGCAGCTGTTTTGGGCTGTGAGGGTGTGGGAGCTACAATCAATGTACATCATCTCAGCGACTCTGTGAAAGAACTTTGGGAGAGGTGCATTATCTACACCTTACGGGTGGAGAGATAGGTTCAGAGAAGTTAAGTTACTTGCCCGAGGTCATATAGCTAGTATATCATGGAAGAGTGATCACACAGGGGGATATGTTTTCAGGGGCTGTGATCTTGCCTATATACTATGGCTGAAAGAAGAGTTTGGTTTAAGTGATAATGTAAAAGGGCTAGGAAACAGATTTGTGTGAAAAATCAAAGTTCTGCCTTCCCAGTAGCTACCAAAAGACAGATTAGGACCATAGTGTTTTACCTTGAACAACTACATTTGAATCCTTTGCATTTCTTGGCATTTATGTATTTACAGTTACATTTCTGTTTTTTTTTTAACTCACTTTCATGTTATCTTGTGATTATTCATGTAGTCTTGCAAGAAACTCTAAATTGTTTTTAGAAGGTGAGAGTATAAAGAAATAGTTTATATTTTACTAATATGAAAATAGATTATTTGATAATAAGTGAATTCACTTGTGGAGGAGGTGTGGAATTACTATATATAGCTTATTAAAACAATTGCTGTCACTAGTTGCACAACAGTAGAGAAAATTCTAATTAGTTATAAATGAGTGTCTGCTGTTAATATCCAGGTGAAGAAATCAGGAAACCCTCAGCTACATCTGTCTCTACTCCAACATGGTCCAGATCCAATTTTTCAAGAATTTTTCTTGTTTGCTGATCTTCTTTTGTGTCTCATATTTCTCTACTTTAAGGCTTAATTTTATATGTCATGACTTTTATATCTGTAACTAGATTATTAAAGAGCCTTACCTTGGAAGGGTATAAACATAAAATGTTTTAAAAATTTGCCTGGGCATGATGGCTCATGCCTGTAATCCCAGCACTTTGGGAAGCTGAGGTGGGTGGATCATCTGAGGTCAGGAGTTTGAGACCAGCCTGGCCAATATGGTGAAAACCCTTCTCTACTAAAAAATACAAAAATTAGCCGGGTGTGGTGGCGCACACCTGTAATCCCAGCTACTTGGGAAGCTGAGGCAGGAGAATTGCTTGAACCCAGGAGGCAGAGGTTGCAGTGAGCCGAGATCACATCACTGCATTCCAGCCTGGGAGACAGAGCAAGATTCCGTCTCAAAAAAAAAAAAAAAAGTTTTAAAAATTTTGTCCCAATTGCAACCCCAAACGGGCTATAGTGAAACTTATTTTTTAGTTCCTTAAAAATTAGTATATATTGAACTATTCTAATTATTTTTTCTGTATTTATATTGTTAATAATCACAAAAACTTTATGATAGAAATATTCTTATTAACCTCATTTGACAGAGGAAGACACTGGGGCACAGGAAGTTTCTTAGCCTGTGAGGGTGAAAAGCTGGAGTGCACCCAGGGGATGCTATGTAACAATTCCTTTTATTGCTATAGCAGTGTCTCCTGATATTCTATCACCTTCAGGGCATTTTCAGTTGTTAAAAGCATAGTTTGGCTTAAAACTCCAATCTTAAACTTGATTTAAAAATGCTTTTAACAGATTTATAGAGACATAATTCACATAGCATACAATTCATCTATTGAAAATATGCACTTCAATGGTTTTTAGTGTATTCATAGAATTGTGTCACAATCATCACAATCTTATTTCAGAATGTTTCATCACTCTAAAAAGAAACCCTGTACCCATTAACAGTCATTCCTTAGTCTCCCAAGCACTAAGCAACCACTAATCTACTTTCTGTCTCTATCGATTTGATTATTCTGTACATTTCAAATACATGGACTAATAGAATATGTGTTTTTTTGGTGGCTTCTTTCACTAAACTTGTTTTCAGAGTTCATCCAGGTTGTAGCATGCATCAGTACTTCATTTCTTCTCATTGCCAAATAAAAATCCATGTATGAATACACTACATTGTGTCTTTTCATTTTTCAGTTGATGGACATTTGAGTTGTTTGCTATGAATATTCATGGACAAGTGTTTGTGTGGATGTATGTTTTCATTTCTCTTGGTTATATATCTAAAAGAATTGTGGTGTCAAATGGTATTATACTCCAAAGTGGCTGCACCATTTTATATTATCATCAGCAGTGTACGAAGCTTCTGACTTCTCCACATCCTTGCTAACTCTTGTGGTGTTCTTTGTCTTCTTAGTGGATGTGAAGTGGTATGTCATTGTGGTTTTGATTTGCATTTCCCTGATGTTTAATGGAGCCAAACATCTTTTCATGTGCTTGTTAGCCATCTACGTTTCTCCTTTAGAATCTTTGTCCATTTAAAAACATGTTTTTATTATTGAGTTGTAAGTGTTCTTTATATATTCTGAATACAAGTCCCTTATCAGGTATATATATACAGTTTGCAAATATTATCTTCTGTCAGTTGTCTTTTCATTTTCTTGATGGTTTATTTTTCTTTTTGAGACAGGGTCTCATTTTTTCACCTAGGCTGGAGTGCAGTGTGCAGTGGCATGATCATAGCCCACTGCAGCCTTGAACTTCTGAGCTCAAGGGATCCTCTCATCTCAGTTTCCCAAGTAGCTGGACTACTGGCATGCACCACCATGCTCAGCTAATTTTTAAAACATTTTTTGTAGACATGAAGTCTTGTTATATTTTCCAGGCTGGCTTTGAACTCCTGGCCTCAAGTGATCCTCCTGCTTTGATCTCCCAACACTCTGGAATTACAGGTGTGAGCCACCATGCTTGACCTTTCTTGAAGCACAAAAGTTTATTTAGATGAAGGCCACTTTGCTTTTTTATTTTGCTACTTGTGCTTTTGATGTTTTATTTAAGAAATTTTGTCTAACCCAAGGTCATGAAAATTTACTCCTACTTTTTTTCGAAGAGTTCCACAGTTTCACCTCTTACATTTAGGTTTATCATCAATAGTTAGTAATTTTTGTGTGTAGTATAAGCATGTGGTGTGACTTTATTGTTTTGCATGTGGGTATCCAGTTGTTCTAACACCATTTATTGAGAAGATCATTCTTTTCCCATTTATTTACCTTGGCTTCCTTGTCAGAATCAGTAGATTATAAATTAAGGGTTTATTTCCATACTGTTGGTTCTATTCCATTGACCTCTATGTTCTTGTAAGAGTACTACATCATTACAGCTTTGTAGTAGGTTTTAAAATTAGTAAGCATGAGTCTGCCAACTTTGTTCTTTTTCAAGATTGCTCTGGCTGTTCTGTGTCCCTTGTATTTTCATTTGAATTTTAAGCTAAGCTTGTTCATTTCTGTAAAAAAGCCAGCTCAGATTTTTATAGAGATTGCACTCCATGTGTAGATTAGCTTTGGGAATGTGGCTGTCTTAATTCTTCCAATCCATGAACATAGGATGTCTTTCCATCTATTTAGGTCTTCTTTTATTCCTTTCATGAACATAGGATATCTTTACCTTTATTTCAATTCTTCTTTTTATGTTTTGTAGTTTCCAGAGTGTAACTTTTGTGCTTCTTTTGTTAAATTTATTAATAAAAAAATGTTTTTAAACATTATTTTCAATGCTATTTAAATGGAATTATTTTCTCAATTTTATTTTCAGATTGTTCATTACTTGCTTATTAAAATATAATTATTTTCTTTGTATGTTTATCTTGTGTCCTGAAACCTTACTTAACTCAGACGTTAGTTGGAATCATTTTCTGGTGGATTTACTAAAATTTTCTAAATACAAAATCATGTCATCTGCAGATAGAGATATTTCTACTCCCTCCTTGCCAATCTTGAAGCTTTTTATTTACCTCACTTGCCCAATTTTCCTGGTTAGAATTTCAAGTAAACTGTTTAGTAAAAGTGGTGAGTGTAGACATCTGTGTCTTGTTTCTGTTCTTAGGAGGAAGGCATTTGTTCTTTCACATTAAGTGTATTAGCTTTGAGTGTTTTTCTTAAGTGTTTTTTTTTAATCATGAAAAGATGTTGAATTTTGTCAAATTTTTTTTTCTGTGTTTATTAGGATGATTATGTGGCTTTTCTCGTTCGTTTTGTTAATAGGGTACCTTATATTAAATAATTTCCTAATGTTAAAGTATCCTTGAATTCCCAAGACAAACCTCACTTGATTATGATGAATAATCCTTTTAATGTCTAGATGTGGTTTGCTAGTATTTTGTTGAGGATTTTTTCATCTGTGTTTATAAGAGCTATTTGTCTGCAATTTTCTTTTCTTGTGATATTTGTGTCTGGTTTTAGTATCAGGATATTATTGACCCCATAGAATAGAGTTAGAAAATGCTTTCTGCTATTCTACTTTTGGGAAAGAGTTTGTGGAGAATTGCTATTATTTCTTATTTAAAAGTGAGGTAGAATTTATCAGTGAAGTCATCTTGTCCTGGGCTTTCCCTTGTGGGAAGTTTTGAAATTACTAATTTAATCTCTTTATTTGTTGTAAGTCTATTAGATTTTTATTTATTCTTGAGTCAGTTTTAATAGTTTATGTCTTTCTAGGAGTTTGTTTGTTTCATCTAAATTATCTAACTTGTTGCATACTGTTGTTCATACTATTTCCTGATAATCTTCTTTATTTCTGGAAGGTTAATAGTAACGTCTCTTATTTCTGATTCTAGTAATTTGAGTCTTTTTTCTTTTTCTTGCTCAGTCTAACTAAATGTTTGACAATTGTGTTGATCTTTTTTAAAAAGTAACTTTTGGTTTTGTTGATTTTTCACTATTGTTTTTCTATTTTCTTTCATTTATATGTATTCTAATTATTATTTTCTTTCTTCTGCTTGCTTCAAGTTTACTTTGCTCTTTTTTCCCCCTGGTTGTTCTCTTTATTATCGAAAGTGGCATATTGAAGATTTCAACCATTATTGTTGAATTGTCTATTTCTCCCGTCAATCTGTCAGTTTTTGCTTTATGTATTTTGAAATCTCTGTTGTTAGGTGCATATGTGTTTCTATTAATTATCTCTTCCTAGTGAATTGACCCATTTATCATTGTAAAATTATCTACATTATTTTCAGTAACATATTTTTGTTTTAAAGTCTATTTTGTCTGGTATTATATAGCCACTCTAACTCTCTTATTGTTCCTCTTTGCATGCTATACTTTCCCACATTTTTTATTTTAAACCCATCTGTATTTTCAGTTCTAAAGAGTGTCTCCTGGAAGAAGCACAAAGTTGGAACTTATTTTTATATCCTATCTTACTATCTCTGTCTGTTGATTGAATTGTTTAATTCATTCATATTTAATATTATTCTCATTTGTTTGAATTTATGTCTTATATTTAACTTTTTGTTTTCTGTAAATATGTCTTTTTTTCCTTCTGTTTCTCCTTTATTGCTTTCTTTGCATTAAGTTGGTATTTTCTAGTTTGTCTTTTTAATTTCTTTCATAATTTTAAAATTATATATACCCCATTCCCAGGAATCCAATTTGTATTCTCTCTTTTGGTAGGGCTGCACTATTGGGTGTTTAAAAAGACTCCCAACAGTTTTAAACAGAAGTTAGTTTTAATTTGGTACTAGAGTTAAGAAGATTTTAATGTTGCAGAATTAAATCAAGTCTAATTCTTAAAATCAACGGAATAGAAAGGATAGATATGTAATTATAAAATAAATTATAACTTTAGTACCAAGTTTAATAAATATGAAAATATTATGTTCCAGTTATTGAAATGTTACTTAACCATTTTAGCATAACTCTCAATTTCATTATACTATATAAACCCCCAACTAACATAGAAGATAAAGCAGTGGGTAATTTTCTGTTCACTAAGAACTTATCGCAAAATGCCATTACAAGTCAAACTATTTCTATAAATATAAAACATTTAATTAAAAAATTTTGGACAATGCTATGATCTGCACTCTGTTCCCCCAGCCCCCGCAAATTCATATGTTGAAGTATTAACTCCCAGACCTCAGAATGTGACTGTATATGATTATAGGGTCTTCAAAGAGGTGATTAAAGTTAAATGAGGTTATTGGGGTGGACCCTAATCTACTATGACTGGTATCTTTATAAGAAAAGGAGATCAGAACACAGATAGGTACAGAGGAAAAGACCATGTGAAGACACAGAGAAGAGGTGGCCACCTGTAAGCTAAGGAGAAAAACCTCAGAAGAAACCAATCCTGCTGAAACCATTATCTCAGAACTTTATTCTCCGGAATTGTGAAGAAATAAATTTCTGTTATTTAAGCTACTCAGTCTGTGGTATTTTGTTAAAGCAGCCCTAACCAACTAACATAGACAACTTTTCAAGAACACCTCCAATGAATAAAATAGAATACATCCTCCCTCTCTTCCTCTCTTCCTTCTTGGCCTATCTTCCTGTATGCACCTTCCCAGAGTAGAACTTCCATTGTGCTAAGATGGGTATGGAGTGAGAAAGTGGGCCATAGCTCGAGTGCCACAGATTCTTGCTGTTCTTATCAAGATCTATTAGATTTTCTTAATAAATGTTTCCTTATTTGCTAAATGCCATTAGGATAATTTCTAGAGATTTTGAAATTGTAAATCCATTGGATAAAATGGAATCCATCTCCTCCTTCCCTCATTTCCTTCCTTCCTTCCTTCCTTCCTTCCTTCCTTCCTTCCTTCCCTTCCTTCCCTTCCTTCCTTCCTCCCTTCCTTCCTTCCTTCCATGTTTATTATGGACTCTAGCCTCACCACAGTCACATAATGAGGAAAATAATTTATCCAGCCATTCTTGCTTATAAAATTCTTGAGGGAAATAACTTGTAAAGTTTGGAGATCCAGGAACTTTGAATGTGGAAACTGCCAGCCAGCCCTTGGATTCCTAGGGTGAGGTATGACTTGGGGAAGAGGTTTACATTGGTAAGGATCAGACGAGGTTTTTAAATAAGGAAATGTTTACCTCAAAAATCTTCTGTATTCAGTGTCATGGAGGAGGATACCTTAGTGGAAATTATGCACTTATTGGTTTTAGCATTTCACATTCTGGATTTGGCCCCAATTTCAAGATTTTAATTATTTTAAATTAATATAGATGATAAATATTATTGAATTTTCTTTTAATAAATTTCAATATTGGCCTAAACTAATAACCAAGTGATTATAATTATCAACTTTTACCAAGAGTGAGTTTTTGTTATTTGTTTATAACTTTATTTAATATTTCCTGTGCCTAGATACAGCTAAAATTTCATTTTATAGATACTATACATTGCATATCTTACATTAATGATTTGTTTAGATATCCCCCACAAATGATTTGTGCTGCTACATCAGAAAATTGAATAATAATTTTTAAATTTTCTTTATTAAAAATAGCTGAAGCAGTTGTTTTGAAACCAGTGAGAAATGAACTATCTAATTCAACATGTTAATCATGGATGCTTGGGGGAAATATTTCAGAATCAAAAAGTGTGAAGAATAATTATTGTCTCCTCAAACAATAGATATTCATTGTGTGTGTATGTATATTTCTGTTCAACTCAAAAAATAGAGATTAGGTGCCCCTGTGTTCAAAAACCTGTCTCTGTGCCAGAGACGGCATCAGCTTTTGGTCTACTTGGAGGTGAATGACATGTGACTAAGCTGGTAGAAAGTCTAACAAAGTTGCTTCAGAGAGTTTGGAATAAATACCAGAGCAGAGAATAAATGCAATTTGTTTGAGGTTCCGGGAAATGCACAAAGGAGATGATATTGATATTAATAATATACATAGTTTGTGCAGGAATTAATTGCTTATTCATCCACATTCTTTGTATCTTCATTGAATTATTTGTTTCATTTGGTTTTAGCTTACTTCATTTTTTCATATTTGCTCATCTGACTAGTTTTAAAGCTTCTTGAGGACAGGGAACTTGTCATAATCATATTTGCTCCAAATACTTGCTATTCTTTTGCACTTAATACTCATAATAGTTGCTAAACAAATGTTTGTTTAATTAAATTTAGCATGCTGTGATGAGAAGATTATGCAGGAGCTCAGAGCTCTAATGTATATAGGTCAAAAATATCTTTGATAAGAGGATTTAAGATGAACAGATAATTGCTGGGGAAATAATTAACACTTTTCTTTGAAAAGCAGTCAGGGCACAGATGGAGATAAGGTCAGAAGTTATGAAAATATTTTTGAGTAGCAAGGGGGGATATGGCAGGATATTTTTGTTTATAGATATACAGGGGAAAGAAGGTAAGTGGCACTTGTAACAATTAGTGACTGGAGTAGTTAATTTGTACTCATGAGAATAGATTCCATTTAACCTTTGCTGAGGATTGACTGTAGTGCCCACCTGTGCAAGGCATCATTATGAAATTTGAATGAATAAAGAAGATTTAGTTTTTGCTCTCAAGCGTCTTTTCAGAATACATTTATCTTAGAGACATATTGTCAACATTGTTTCTCTTGCTTCTGTCTTTTCAATTTCTCATTACTAGGGTTGTTGACTCTCCCTACCCAGCATCAAGTATGTTTTGATTCTAAATGTAATCCCAAGTGAGGCAGAAATCTAGCCTCACTGTTAGTATTCAGGAGGATTTGAAAATGAGTCTCAAACCAAGACCTGGGACCCAGAAACTAGGGCCTAGCCATGGGTGCTGGGCCATGTTGCTTCCTTGAATTTTCTCTTAACAGTTAAATGAGAGCTGGGCACTGTTTTGTCACATGGCTACTCCATTGCTTTCATCTGGCCTGGGACCTTCCTTCCCCTTGGCCTTTGCCTTGGTCCCCAATATTTTGTCAGTCATACCTCTCTGCCCATTTCCTCTGGCCCCAAAATCAGCTTGTTTTGCTCCTTCTAATTCCTTTCTCTGAGGGCTAGGGCATTATCCTGGAATCTGAGGTTACAGGCCCCAGCTCTATAGGAAATGAATAGATCCCCTAGGACCACCTTTACAGTTCTCCTCCCATATCTTGAGAGTTCTTGCTGTCCTCCTTTTTGAATTTTCCATTGTTGCACACTTCATCTGTCATACTAGTTTACTCAGGAGTAATAGTTTTTCTGAATTGTGCCAAGTTTGCTGTACCCCTTGGATTCTAAGCTTCAGACTTTCTGGCTGAACTTCCCTAGCTCTGTAGCTGGAGGTAGGCCAGATTCTACGCCACCCTTACCTCCATTCTTATCCCACCTGGCTTCTCATTTCTTCCTTCCAGCTCCATGTTGCTGAGCTCCTGCATACTTTAAACTGAAGTCCAGATAGGTATTGCCAAATTGATCTTGTATTAAATGATGATTCTAATCCAGTCAGAATAGTTTTCCTACCAAAGATGAGTTTCCATAGATAGATAGGTAGATAGATAGATAGATAGATATGGTATGGCTGTGTCCCCACTCTAATCTCATCTTGAATTATAGCTCCCACAATTCCCACGTGTTGTGGGAGGGACTAGGTGGGAGGTAACTGAATCATGGGGGTGGGTCTTTCCCATAAGTCTTACAAGATCTGATGGTTTTATAAAGGGGAGTTTCCTTGCACAAGTTCTCTTCTCTTGTCTGCCACCATGTGAGACATGCCTTTCACCTTCTACTGTGATTGTGAGGTCTCCCCAACCACATGGAACTGTGAGTCCATTAAACCTCTTTCTTTTGTAAATTGCCCAGTCTTGGGTGTGTCTTTATCATCAGCATGAAAATAGATAATAAAAGTATATATCCATCTAAAAATGTATCCTCTTTAAATATTAACTTTGTGCCCAAATACAAGTGTTTCCTTCCTTCCTTTCATCCATCCATCTATCCATCCATCCATCCATCCATCCATCCATCCCTCCATCCATCCATCCAACGGCTATTTAGCAAGAAACTTCTAAATTTAAGCCATCAGGCTTAAATGATGATTAGTAAGTTCAAGTCATACAAATTCTCTGAATATAAAACTCTGCTAGCTTCAGAAGACAGCAAGAGATCTTTATCTTTTTTGCTATAAAGTTATGAGTTATATATATTCTACACCATAAGTATAAATTTGAAGCTAAGCATATTTTAAGTTTGAGTAATAAAAATATGATCTCAACTCTATTATGTGGGATTTTCAAGCTAACTGTTATGTGTCAGGTACTTTACATACTTTATGAGATATATTTTATCTTTATCTACAATTTAAGATATGAAAATAAAAAAATGGGAGCTTGGATAAATTAAGTAACGTGCAAAGTCAATTATCAGAAAACAGTGGAGAGAGATTATAGCTTAGGTATTTCTAGGTATAAAATCTAGGCGTTTGCATCTCACCATAACACCTCTTTAAATATTTAATAAAGATTAAAAGCAACATTTCAATTTTTATAATCTGATCCTATTAAAATATTCTATTTTTTCTTTAAAATGGTTGCTTTTTATTTACCCTAAAAAATCTATCATTTTAAGATAATGTTACCCTCTAATCCCCAAATCCTTCCAGTGCCAGACCCCTCCCAGCATTTGTTTAACATTTAAATGATCAGAAACACAGCTAAAGAAAGGGGTTCTACAGGAGGCAGAGCTTTCAGGGAGCTAAGATGGCACCACTGCACTCCAGCCTGGGCAACAGAGTGAGACTCCGTCTCAAAAAAAAAAAAAAAAAAAAGGAAGGGGTTCTAATGAGTCAAAAAAAAAAAGGTATTGCTTTGCTTCTGCTCAAGCCGTTTACTTGGGGTGTAGTGTCTCAGACTGTCACTCAAATGCTGATAACTGTAAGTTGTGACCAAATTCTAACCATGCCTATTATGTGGTTTCCCAGCCCATGACAAAAAGAGGAGGATATGAGGAAAACATAACTGCCAGAAATAGCAGCTGCTGTATTTTGATGAGAGAAAGGATGGGAAAACCGTAAAGGCAGGAAAAGGGACTAAGAAAATATTTAAGAGGTCATTGCTGGCTGGGCGTGGTGGCTCACACCTGTAATCCCAGCACTTTTGGAGGCTGAGGCAGGCAGATCACCTGAAGTCAAGAGTTCAAGACCAGCCTGGCCAACATGGTAAAACCCCGTCTCAACTAAAAATACAAAAATTAGCCAGGCGCGGTGGTACGTGCCTGTAGCCCCAGCTACTTGGGAGACTGAGGCACGAGAATCTCTTGAACCCAGGAGGTGGAGGTTGCAGTGAGCCAAGATCGTGCCACTGCACTCCAGCCTGGGCAAAAGAGTGAAACTGTGTCTCAAAAAAAAAAAAGGTCATTTATTGTTGGACACTGTACACTAGACACATACCTCCGACAACAAGACATTGTTGTCTGATCATTGTCTCTTTACAACCATTTTGGAAGGAGCTACTGCATAGGGACATGCATAATGATGACTTTGGGGACCAAATAATAGATTAAAATTATTCCAATCCCTCTTTTTTTGGAGGGTAGGAAAGTGTGTACTATGTGGGAGAGTGCTGAAATTCAAAATGGTTTTAGAGCTTCAAGGAATAAGCTTCTATTATCTGAAAAGCTCACTGATTTGAAATATGCATCCAGTGCTACTTTTTACCTGCTTCTTGACCTTGGGAAACTTACTTCATTTCTCTGTGACTATTTGTTTTGCTATAAAATGAGGCTAATAGTAAAAAAGGAGGGTTGATTTTGAGGACTAAATTAGATCAAGTGCTAATACAGCTCCCAGCCTATGCTAAGTACTGAAGAAAGAGTTAGCTGTTGTTTTTTAGGTTCTGTCCATTTCCATTTTGCCCATGTTTTTCCTTGGATCCATGGATTTAGGTTTTTGCATTTTATAGTTTAAGAAAATTCTTCTGCAGAGATGTGTTTATTAGGGAGTGAGCTTGCAGTGTCTAGAGACCCATCCTTGCCTGAATTCCTCATTACCTTTTACAATTAAACAAGACTTGACTAGATTTCTCATTTCTTTTTCGTGCCCTTTTGCTCCATAGGCACCACACAGGAGCCATGATCTATCTAGTTTAAAGAGTGCTAGGCCAGCCTCTGGAGACCCAGATATTACTTTGTCTTTGCCAGTAACTCACTGTGGGAACTTAGGCAAGCAGCTCACTTTCTCTGGGCTTTAGTCTGTTGCTCATTAATATTGCTGTTGCCTGATTTTTATAGTATTTTCTATCAGTCTTTGGAACTATCTAAATGCCTTTGTTCAGGTAAGTTTAAATATCTACTTCGCATATTAAGGATAAGGATTCTGGAGTCAAATTGACTAGCTCCAACACTTACCATTGTGGTAGGCATGTTGCCTAGCCTGCCTGTACCTTGGTCTACTTATTTGTAAAATTAGGATAAGAGTAACTACTCCCTAGAGTTGTTATGAGGGTTAAAAAATTACTAACCCAACTGCAGCATTTGAAATCATGTCTAACATATAGTAAAAGCCCCATAAGGGATACAGAAATAAATGCATTTCTAAAGCACTGGCACTTTAGTGGAGGAGATATTCTGTACCAATAACAAAGCAGAGTATGAGACACATGCAATAGACGGACATTTGCAAAATCTGTGGAGCACAGAGAAAGGAGCAGTTAATTCAAACGGAAAGGAACAGGGAAGTTTTCGTGAATTAGGTTGACTGTGGTCTGTACATTGAGAAGTAAGCTGGTATCAAGGGAATGGACTCTTGCTAAAAGAAACAAAAAGAGCCAAGGTGAGAAAACACAGAAAGTCACTGATGTGTAGCTCTCCTTTTGCTGGAGTGTTGAGACTAAGCGAGGGTGTGCAGTGGGAGATGAAGTTGGGAGAGTGGTCTTGGATTAAATCACGAGGAGGTTTAGGGTTTTGCTAAGGAATATGGAGTTGACTCTATCAGCAAGAGGAAACATGGAAGGTTGTTGAAGTGATATGATCCTATGTGTGAGTTAGGAAGAAGACTCAGGTGATTTCATCATGGAGAAATCAGAGAAGAGAGAAACTAGAGTCAGGGAAAGAAGTTAGTTAAGGGGCCTTGGAATAGTCTAGGTGAGAGATTAAAGGGTCTGAATTGGAGAAGTAGTTATGCAGAAGGAGAGAAGCGCTCAGAATTGAGAACTGGGATGGTAGATGCTGTCTTAGAAATTCTCTTACCTGAGTATTGTGCCTTTTCTCTCCGCTATGGCCCCTTCTGTTGACCTTCCCAGGCTCCATGGAGTTCCTCCTTGGTGATCCACATGTACTCAGTAACCCACATGTGTCTAGGCATGAAAAGGTTAAATGTCAATCCTCAGTGAGCTAGGAAGCCGAAAGCTTTTATTCTCACTTGTGTTAGGTGGGAGATATTTTAGAGGCAGAAAATAATTGCACAACAAACAATAGCTTTTCTTTAGTGGGGAGAAACCTCTAAATAGTAATTAATCTGAAAGACTTACTTTCCTTACAGGAAACAAATACATCGGAAGGTGCTTTAAACATTTTTATTATATAATAAAAATATAATTGTAATTGTATTGTGTAGCAGGGGTGTGGGGGCATTTTATTATGCACCATCTGAGGTACAGGGAGCATTGTCTTTCACTATTGTCTATACCTGTGTAATAGCAAATAGGAAAGTGACCATCTAGATCAATAGAAATGACTATTATAGATAACATCTATGTATTTCAAGGCAGAAATTCTCTTTACATGAAAGAGTGCATTTTAAGCAATTTTGGGTCACGAGGATTCTCTTTAATGACTTCTATCCGGTCTCACAAAAAAGTGAAGTTCATGAATCTGTGTGAAATACAAATTGCAAATAATCAGTGAACACTGATGCGACAGAGTAACAAAAGGAGATCAAAAACATAAAGTTAACAAATTTTAGAGTGATAATCATGCCCTGATGAGAAGAGATTGTTAATTAAGCCCAGGAGCACACTGTAGCAGTTGTTCTTCATTGGCACAGAGGAGTAAATATGTATATATACATCTACACGTATATGCATATATGTATTTCCATAATACAATACATGCATATATATATCAGTGAAGAATACTTCTTTCAACAAATGTTTATTGAAAACTTACTATAGGCTTGACACTATCCTAGGTGCTAGGAATAAAATGGTTATCAAAATAGACCAAATCTTGAAGAGCTTGTATTCTAGTAAGAAAGACAGACAATAAGTATCTATCAACTCAGGAGATGAGAAGTGCTAAGAATAAAAATAGATAGCATGGGCCAGGCGCGGTGGCTCATGCCTGTAATTCCAGCACTTTGGGAGGCTGAGGCGGGCAGATTACAAGGTCAGGAGATCGAGACCATCCTGGCCAACATGGTGAAACCCTGTCTCTACTAAAAATACAAAAAAAATTAGCTGGGCGTGATGGTGCTTACCTGTAATCCTGGCTACTTGGGAGGCTCCTGGCTACAGGATAATTGCTTGAACCAGGGAGTCGGAGGTTGCAGTGAGCCGAGATTATGCCACTGCACTCCAGCCTGGCGACAGAGTGAGAAAAAAAAAGATAGTATGTTAAGGAGACAGAGTATGAAAGGCAGAGGGAAAGTTGTGTTTCATACAGTATGTTTAGGAAGGGCCTCTCCAGTAAGGTGATATCTGAGCTAAAACTTGGGAAGAGGCTTGTAGAGCTCTGGGATGGAAAAAGTGGTCCAACTAGAGGGGAGAGGAGGTACACAGCACTGAGAAGGGATGTCTTGGTGTTTTTGAGGAACAGCAATGAGGTAGGGTGGCAGGAACAGAGAGAGGGAGAAGAAGATGGTAGGAGATGGACCATTTAGGTCTTGCAGAGCCTTACAGGGTATGTAAGAACTTGGATTTTTTTCTGCTGGGAAACCTCAAAAGCATATTATTAATGTGTTTATGCTGAGTACATTGGGTTAATTTAATAATTTGCATCTAGTTCTTCGTGACCCTAATTTTTCATTTCTAAATTCCTAAAATAACAGATGTCCCAATCTAGCCCTCTCCTGTCTTCTGTGCCTTTATTCTCATCACCAGTGCCCTGGTACATGGCAAAGACAGCTCTGGATTCTGCCCTGGGTCCCACCACTGTATCCTTGGATAGCTTTACTAACGCACTCTTCTTACTCAGTTTCTTTACCAAAAACTGGGAGGACTTTCACCAAACTCACTTGATAAGTAATTCAATGAGAACATTTCCAAATTCATGATACTTTAATATCCCTTGTCATTACAAAATTGCCACAGGGCTTAGCATGTGGTAGGTACTCAACACAGGCTTATGGAATTGGATTAGAAAGATAAAATGGTGGGGATGTGTAAAACGTTCTCCAACTTTTTTTAGGGCTAATATAATTTTATTCATTCAGTTCAAAAGATACCCTTTCTGGAGAGCATAACCCTTTTTTTCCCAGAAAGTGAATTATTTTTGTCTTCATAATGTTCCTGTGATACTTTAAAAAAATAGTTTCTTGGAGAATAAAATGGTTTATTCTACTGAGATTTGTACCTTTTCTGATACTACAGATAATATCCATTTAGTTATTCCTTTCAGAAAATTTGGCCAACAAATTTAGAACCTTCCATCTCTTATAAAGCATTGTAGAAAGTGCTCTGATACTTTCTATTGATATATTTTGAGTCTAGCTTTCACGGTAGATTGTTTGCATAAATGGTCAGAAATTTTTCTTCTTATATGCGTGCCCCTTTGCAATGTAAGTTGGCAGCAACTCCCATTCGGAAGTGAATCTATTTCTTTACTCTGACTTTGGGCTTGACTACATGACTTGCTTTGGCCAGTGGAACATTAGCACATCTGATGCAAGTAGAGCCTTGAAAAGTACTTACTCTCGGGACCTTGCTGTCCCTTGCTGCTCTTGGTAATCTTGTGTCCAACAAACTCGGGCTACCTGCTGGATGATGAGCAGCATAAGGACAGTTACTTCTTGGGACAATTGCCTTTGCCAACAGCCAGTCAACCCCGAGACATGTAAACAGCCAGCTGACCATGCATGATTGGGCCCAGCCAACACCCTGTGGACTAGAGAGGAGCCATTCCAGCTGAGCCTAACTCAAATTGCTAATCCACAGGATTGTGAGCAAATAAGTGTTTTCAGTGCTAACTTTGGGATAGCAAAATGTAGTAGATACAGCTCATAACCCTATTAATTGTTTGTATTTTGTTAAGTCCAAACTATATTTCTTTTCTTGCATCTTCTTCTTCCAAAACAAACACTGTGGTGGAGGCAACTAGTTCTTCAGTATCCATTTTCTCTTCTTTCTTTTTATTAATAGATACTGTTCCTCATCTCCCACATTTGAATTTTATCTAGGCACATGGCTGTCCAGCTTGAGAATTAAATTTCCCAGCTTCTCTTGCAACTAAGGTGTGCTCATGTGACAAAGTTTGGCCAATGGGATATGAATGGAAGAAATGTGTGCTAAGAAAGCTGCTTGCTCTCCACTCTTTCCCTCTCTCGTTTTCCTTCCCCATTTTTACAGGCTGGGAAATGGAGCCATGTGAGGCCCAGAGATGGAAACCATATGTTGAAGATGGCAGAAATAACCCACCAGCTCAGGTCCCAAAATAACTTTGCAGACCACAGCCACTTACCCACTTTGGACCACTCACCTACTACTGGTCTGTTATGTGAGAGAAAAACAAACTTATATCTTAAGTATGTCACTATATCTTCAGGTCTCTTTGTTATAGCAGCTTGGCTCTTACCCTAACTCATAATTAGCAAATACACAGCAGACACAAGCATTTAAACACCCACTGCCTAATACAGCACTCAGAACTCAGGAGCTCAACAAATTCTAGATCCATGCATATATTCATTACTAGTTACTGCCTGTTGTCTTAAGCACAGAGTTGCATAGATAATTACATATTTTTTTCCTCTCTTTTTTTGGCCAGGAGCTGACAAACTAGCTGGAAAAGATAGAAAAAGAAATAATAAAGGGAAATTAAAGGTGGAGAGTACTGTAACAGAGGACTCTGTCAGGGGTGGTAGCCGGAGATAATGAAAGGATTTGGACATCTCTTAAAAGTTTGCTGCAGTGGGATGAAACACAAATCATGAAACAGAGCATCCATTCAATGCACCTGTACAATTACTTTCACAGAATTTGGAAGCCTTCTCTCACTTGTTTCTGGGTCACTGACCTTGAGCTGGGGCTGGGGTAGGGGGTGGCCACTGGCTTACTGTTTTCACACTTCAGACACTTCAGACTTCCAACACTAGCTTTTCAAAGGGTTTTGTGTGTCAGGTATAGGGGTGGCAGTAGAGATGGAGGTTAGGTTTAGAAGGATTACTGACAATCCTGTAATAACTTTTGAAATAGCTTTTTAGATCAATTCCCATTCATTTCCCACTTTACAGAGAAGAGAGGACCACAGAAGGATCAACAGTTATGAGAAAAACTAAGAGTAAAAAACTTCACTCACCACACCTGGAAATGGAACTGAACTCTCTGTTCTTGTGTTCCGTTTTCTTTCCCCACCATCTCCTGTGGCTTATTTGTGTATGTTTTTTTTTTCTATCATCCAGAAATGCTTTTATTTTATATGGAGAATATCCTCAGAAGAAGATGCTAACTGAGAAACCATTACAAAAGTTCAAGAAGAGAACATAGAGTATCTTGGGTGTTAACAAAGAGATGCTAAGCATGAAAAAGAAGCTTTTCGAATTGGGAAGTCCTATCTATTTCATCTCATTGCACCAAGTCTCTTATCATGCTCATTTGCAGTAGTGATACTTCACCTTGAGTTATAATCATCTTGCTTTTAATGAATGCCTTGCTGATATGTGCCATATGTTTTTAGACTCTCTTTCATTTCCAGGTTATAGGGCACATGCCTTTATACAAAGCACTCATCCTTGCAGGCCTCAGTTTCCTCATCTATAAGATAACTAGATAATCTCTGAAATCTCCTTTAGGTCCCAAATTCCAAAATTTGTATTTCCTTATAAGCATATTGATTAGAGTATGGTGACAACTGTAGCTACAATGACAACAGAATGATGAAACATATTAACATTAGTGTTAATGCAATAATCAGCTGTGTTTTGTTCCATATGGCAATTTATTTCAACAATTAAGCCAAACTCCATCTGTTTTGGCATCAACAATTTTTCAGATGGGTTCCTGAACCACATCTTTGAAAATTATTTTATGTTTCTCAAATATTGCTACCATCAATAAATGACAGTACGGTGTCTTTCCGTTTAAAAAAAAAAAACACTAGTGCCAAAGCCCATCTTATTTGATAAAGGAATTGTTTTGCTATTTGACCCTATGAATATGTTGTACAGTCTAATCAATAGTACCAGAAAAGGAAAATAAATCTTGGTGTCAGCGTGGAGGGAATGCACAAGGTGCACTAGTTTCTGGAGCAGGCAAAGCAAGCTTTGACACTGTCAGCAGCAGATTTCTATTTTTCTGACCTGAGGATCCTGTTGGGACAGGATGTGCTTCCATCTGTGATGGAGACAAGGCAAATGGTGCATTCCCCACATCCGGCAGGGGCGTCTTTCTTTGGCTTGGGTTGAGCTGCATTGACAGAATAGCAATAGGGAACATTTGTCTTTATCTTTATAACACCTGACAAGAGGCATGATTACTGCTGTAAGGGTATCAAAATAAAGAAAAAAAATGGGCTGTCCAAGAGCCCTGTTATTTGTCACATTCAGAAATGCTAAACCAGACTAGCAGGGTAGAAATTCCTTGTCAAATGGCCTCTAAAAATTATTATTTTCCTTCCCAACACAATATATGAAGCACATGGATCTCACCTATGCTGTCTTTTTTCCTCCTGATGTACAAGTTGGGGGCAGTCTTCTCTGGAGCCCAGGCTGTGCTTTTGCAGACTGAAAGTTGCCTCCAAGTGGTTCATTGCATGCACCAACCTGACAATACACACACCACTCCCTGCTTGTGCAGGAAATACAGAAAATCGCTAGCTGTCAGCTTATTAACAAATATTGAATGTATACAGCAAAAATTCGATTTATTTTGCAGCAAGTGTTAGGATGTCTCCAGGCAAATTAAAGCCAGAGCTGACTTCGTTCAACCCCTTTATTTATTTTCCCATTCCTTGTTTTTCTAATTAGGCAGGCTTTCTTCTGCTTTACAGATACCCTCTCTGCCTAAATCATTGCAGGTTTATTGAATCTTGAACACAATAGGCTTACACCATTCATATTAATACCGTGACAGGAAGGTATAATCCATTCCTCTGCATATAGGCTCCAAATCTCTCCAAAGTCATACTAATTGCCTTTATGACGTAGCATACATTTTCTGCTCTGGCTTATGGGGAACTGCATGTGCTGTAGCCAATGATTTTCCCAAAGAACTTGTGAAGAGTAGATGGGTCTGTGTAGTGTTTGCTTTGAAAGGCCACCTCCTTTAGTATATAGCACCAAAGTAGTATATCTTTTTTTTTTTTTTTTTTGCTTCAAAGTGTTCTCTTTCAGTAGGCCTTTGCAAAAGAGGGCACTTGCTCACAATTCCTCATGAAGAGCAATTCAAGAATCAAATCAATGGCCTAAGTCTTGTTCAGAATTCAACATTTTATTTGGATTTGACATTCTTCTGTAGGGTTTAGAGCAGTGGTTCTCAACTTTGGCTTCCCATTAGAATCATCTGGAGAGCTTAAAAGTATATTGATGCCCAAGTGCTTTTCCAGCCTAATTAAAGCAGAATCTCTGGGGGTGGGACCAGGGCATTGACATTTTTAAAAAGCCCCCCAGGTGATTCTAATGGGCAGTGAAGGTTGAAAGCCAGTGGTTTATAAGGTTCTTTTTATCAGAATATATCCAAAGAATTCTTTTCTTATTTATTTACTCATTCATTCATTCAATAAATATTTAAATGAGTATTTTCCTTCAGGAAAGGGACCATACATCATAGGGGTCTAAAAGCTATAAAAAGGAACTTCTGTGTTCTCAAAGTAGCTGTCAAGTTAATAGAGGCCACGAGGTTTTCGTTCATTCTGCATATATTTATTGAGTCATACTATGTGCTGTGAGCACTGAGGAGTCAGCAGTGAACAAGACAATTTCCCTGTCATTGAGCTTACAGTCAAGTAAACACATTTAATAAACCACAAATAAAATAGGTACTGATGATGAGTGCTGTAAAAACATGAATACAGAAATAATGTGATCGAGAGTAGCTGGGACAGGAAAGGAGTTCTGGGATGCTTCTCTGAGCCCTGAATCTGAATAATGCAAAGGAAACAGTCAAGTGAAGACCTTGAGGGAGCAAGTCCTGGGCAGCAGGAGTCAACAACTGCCAGGAGCAGAAAGAAGCCAAAGTCCTCAGACGAGGTGGGAAGTCAGAGACAAGGTTAGATAGGAAGACAGAGATTAAAAATTCTGCATACAGATAATCTTGAGAAATAGAAGCAAGCAGACAAGAGTTGGAGATGCAAATTAATGGTTGTGAGCATTTAAAAATGTAAGGCATTACTTTAGTTGGGGCATTCACTGGGTGTTCATGGGAAAAGTGGCTTTGAATTGTATCTCGGAGGAGGGTACCTGAGAAGCTAGAGGGGAGGGCATTTTAAGTAGTGGGATCATTTTCTGCAAAAATGTCCCAAATGCCAAAACCAGTACCTCACACCAAGAAGAAATGCAACAGTATTTGGTGAATTAATAAATAGAAGCTCTATTTGATGTGTGAAGAGGTATTACAGAGACATGTACAAGATGTGGATGACTCTTTTCTTGGATGGAGTCAGAAAACATTCCAGACAACGTGGCATTATAGGTTGTGTACTGTTTCTTTAGGGGGTGATATGGTTTGTCTGTGTCCTCACCCAATTTGCATCTTGAATTGTAGTTCCCATAATTCCCTTCTATCATGGGAGGGACCAGGTGGAGATAATTGAACCAAGGGCGTGGCTCCCCCATCTTGTTCTCATGATAGTAACTACTCATGAGATCTGATTGTTTTATAAGGGGCTTCCCTCGTCACTCAGCTCTCATTCTTCTCCTTCCTGGTGCCATATGAAGAAGGATATGTTTGCTTCTCCTTTCGCCATGATTGAAAGTTTCCTGAGGCCTCCCCAGCCCTGTGGAACTGTAAGTCAATTAAACCTCTTTCCTTTATAAATCACCCAGTCTCGGGTATGTCCTTATAGCAGTGTGAGAACAGACTAATACAGGAGAAGTTGGGGAGGCATTTGGCCTCAGAGCTCAACAAACCTGGCAGGAGCAGGAGAACCAGGTCATGGAAGACAGAGAGAAAGATTGATACAGTGACCAATAGCATCAAATATTGATGAGAACCTGAGGCAGTCAAGCATGATTGAGGCTTGGGAGACATTTCCATGTGTTGGTGCTAGTGGAAAATGGATCAAAGAATGAAGCAGCCTGCTGAGTCACAAGTGGAGACTAGAGTGTAGTTACTCAAGAATCTGGCAAGTCATGTGTGGATGAAGATGAGTTGGCAAACAGAGAGAGGTTGGTTTTATTTTTTAATGAAGTCAGGTCACTTGTTAATAGGCTAAGGAGAAAGAGCAAACAGAAGAGGCAAGGATAAATCTAGAAGAGGGCACAATTGATGCAATATGGTCCTGGAAGACACAGGAAGGAGGGAATTAAGAGGACAGAGAGAGGGAGAGTTTGTCCTGAAGAGAACTCATTCTTCCCTCAGAGACTAGATGCAAGCAGGAGAGGATGGGCAGCTCACTACTCATGTGGAACCCAATATAGGTACTGATGTATCATGATACTGTCATGGAAGACAGTATTGTTTTAGCTACTGCATCTTCATTGATAAACAAATTGAATCCTGTTACCTTGCTTTATGTTGGATAGCAGTCAAAAAAGGGAGCAACTGGGAGATGTCCTTTAAGAGGGATGTTCTGGAAAAAAAATGACTACCCAATTATTAGTAAACACAAGATTTTTGTGATGAAATTTTCTGGCTAACTCAGAATTTACCATAAAACTTATGCTTCCACCATTGTTAAAAGTGATTGAATTTTTCTTGCTTTTTTACTTTAATGAGAATGATAAACTGAAAAATGTTGTTTTGAAAATATTTAAATGACACAGAAGTTCCCTCTAAATTTTAGTTATTATCCCCAGTTGCAGAGGTAGATTCACACTGTGTAAAGGATTGGTATGAATGCATATGAACCTTTGAATGTCTCTGGACACAGCCTTTTTGCAAAACATTTCAATTCCAGTTGTAGCAAAAGTATTTAGTAAATTGGATACTCTATTTATTTAGGCTTTTACTTATTTTTGACTCTAAAAATTATATATGGAAATTTATAGGAATAGGAAATGGAAGATTAGAATAATGAGTGGATTTTGTGGATCAAACTTGTGCTTATAAATTTTGTATTGTGTGGATAATCTTTCTATTCTGCCATCAGCCAAAGAAATGGGTTGTCTCTGAATATAACTATTATATTATCAGCCATAATAGTTTTTCCTCAAGGGCAATTTCTCAAACAAATTATTTCAAAATCAATAAACACCCTGTAGCCTCCTGTTTCAGAATTTACTTATTCATGAGATGCTTATCTCTCTGTAAAGTCCCAGGAAGAATTCTTATTGCTTAATCCCACCATATTGGATTGAATGCTTATCAGCTCAAAATTAGTTCTTATTAAATTTTCTTGGCAACTTTGTAACTGTCTCAGGGGTTTCTCCCCTAGAGAGTTGTTCTGACTTTTAAATCTTACATGAGTAGGAACTCATTTTAACATCCTAAAAATTATTAAACATTGGCCTGCCCATTTGCAGTGAGTCCCATTGTGATGTTATTGGGACAAAGGCCATATGCCCACAAACAGTGATTTTTAAAGAGACTATTTTGTAAGGCTGCATGTTTTCATTATTAGCCACTAACAGTCTCCATCACTGACAGGTAGTGACAAATTGAAAGCTGACGCACGGTAGAGCCTAGCGCAGGTGACTTCTCGTTTTTCATGTTGAAGGCTATTTCTGCTGTCCTTTTGTCAGGCCACCGCATCATTAGTAGCTTCTCTCCCAATCTAGGGATGTGATCTGGTGTCTACGGAATTATTTTACATGGCCAGGTAACTGAAGAGTGATGGTTTGCTTTTACTGCCTGATTGTAGGAGAAGATGCCTGCTCAAGATAGCTAGAGCCTCAGAAATAATGCTCTGCTGTGGGCTGATTTGAATAATCTCTCTACTCATTAAACACAGCTGCAAGGCAAGAGGCAGCCGAGTTCAAAAGGCAAGCCAAGGGAATATATTAGTAATAGAATTATAGTTTAAGCCTTTAGGCATGTTTCCCCAATATTTTTGTTCTTCATTAATTACAACAAGAACACTTTCGTCACTTACTAAAAAAAGAAAAAAAGGTTAGAGGAATATTTTGACTAAGAAACGTAAGTAAAATGTATATATTTTATAAAAGTGTTAGGTAAGCTGCAATTAAATTTTAAGAAAAACTCTGGAAGTTATCCAACAAGTCATTTCCTCATTGTACAATTTAAATCCCTGGTGATCTGGAATTAGAAATGTCGGCATGATTTAGCTTCATGAGTCACTTTACCCTAGGCATAGTACATGGGTGTCCTCACACAGTCCTCCCAAGCTGTGTGTGTGTGTGTGTGTGTGTGTGTGTGTGAGAGAGAGAGAGAGAGAGAGAGAGAGAGAGAGAGAAAGAATTCGTTGTTCTATTTAGTGCTTTCTGGTCTAAATCTCAGAGTGCTTCTTACCCTCACCCATTCAGAACATCAAATTTATTGTAGGACTAGAAAATATTCAATGGGAATAGAAATAAAAGGTAGAAACAAAAAGCAAAAATTTCCTTTTGAGGGCCTTATGGGCAGTATTTCTCCTCCTCCCTGTCTTTGAGGTTCAGGGTCACTTTGGGTTCCTCTTGAGTTGTAGGCTCTAAGGGCATAATTTTGTCCCTGATCTATCTCTACCCCTTAATCTTGTCCACCACACCATCTTGTGTGAATGACTCACCAATGTATTTTAAGATATTAAAATGTATTTAAATTCTGAATGGATTAACTTTGAATCCAATTCTGTATACTCTCTTGGGTTGTGAATTGAATTGAATTGAGTTTTATTACCCCAGGGACTCATGTCCTCTTCCAATATAAAAGCAAATGGTATTTGCTTTGTCACATCATTTCTATAGGGAATTTAAGGAAATACTGAAGTCCAAGGGTGGACAATTCCTTTGTTTCTCCTCTACTCACACACCTACCTAAATTGACAGATAGTGAGGGTAAATGTACCACAACTAGAGGTTGCAGTATAATTCCAGTTCTTTGTTTTCATCCTTCTTTATTACATTCTTTCTAAAGCCTGATGGCAAAATGTTGACCCAAAATAAATACTGTACTTTGAAATCAAACTACTGAAGAGATTTTTTAAAAATTTTTCAATACATCTTATACATTCAGCATTGTATGAATAAAGAGTTCCTCTCAGGTGAGTTTTCCAGATCATTGAATATTACCACTTTCATGGCAAAGTTTGCGGAAGAATAAACCAATAGCTTGTTACTTTGGTTTGGGTTTAAACTCTACCTACCTATCTACTTGACTTTGTATTTGTGAGATAATAGGTAAGAAATGAGTATGGTAGATTGAAAAACGGGCCTTCAAAGATCTTCGTGTCCTAATCACTAGACCCTGTGAATGTTACCTTATATGGCAAAAAAGGTCTTTGTGAATATGATTAAATTAAGACTCTTGGGATGGAGAGATTGTCCTGGATTAGTCTCGTGGGCTCCAACGAGCCTTATAAGGATACATACAATCCCAGGTATCTATAAGAGTAAGGCAGTGGGAGAGTTGACACATACAATGAAGATGGTGATATGACGATGGAACAGAGAAAGATTTCAAGATACTGGCCTTGAAGATTTGGGGTGATGTAGCCACAAACCAAGGAATGCTTGCAACCAGAAGTTGCAAGAGGCAGGGAACAAATTCCCTCCTAGAACTTCTGAAGGAAGTGTGGCCCTGATGACATCTTGATTTTGGCCCAGTGATACTGACTTTGGATTTGTGACCTCCAGAACTATGAAAGAATAAGTTTGTGCTGTTTTAAACCACCAAGAGTGTAATAATTTGTTATGGTGGCAATAGGAAATTAATACAATAAGGCACTCATAATATTCTAACTTTGGGGCTCACCAGCCAGGCAAATGAAACTACACGATGTTTAAAAATTCGATTTTTGCAAATGATCTAGTAGTTGAAGTATAGCCCAATTTATCCATTTCAATTCAGCATTTATCAAGCAACAAATTTAAAGGGAAAAGAAGCCTACTGATTTGAGGGCTATAGAACAAAAAGAAAATAGAGACAAGGTACTCATTAGCTCATTTGTTCCTCTTATTTCTGACCTGAAAGTACCAGTTCTTACAACCTAGATGTTTTTCTCAGAAAGAAAGTAGATAGCAATGGATGTGACACAAATGAATACTTTTGGACCCAGATTTGGCTGTTGCCATATTCCCATTTTCAGCTGGTTGCCACATTCTTACAGGGGAAGTCATGAGAAGTCAACTTTGGTCTCAGAGTATCAGGTGACTCCAGTAAGAGGCACACCACCACATTCCTGTCTCTGCCTGGGACTCTGACCTCAGACCTTTGGTCCCCAATGAATAAAAGCAGCTCTGATTTTTTTAAAAATTTGATTTATTTCCTTCCTTATTTATTTCCCAGCTATATTGAGGTATAATTGACAAATGCAAATGTAAATATTTAAGATATACAACATGATGTTTTGAGATATATATATATATATGCTGAGAAATGATAATCACTGTCAAGCTAATTAACATATTCACCACCTCACCTAGTTACCTTTTTTGTGGTGAGAACCTTTAAGATCTACTCTCTTAGCAAATTTTAAGTAACTGATATAGTATTATTAACCATAGTCATCATGCTATACATTAGATCTCCAGAAGTTATTATGTATAATATAAATATTGTACACTTCAACCAACATCTTTTTATTGTCCCCATTCTCCCCAAACCCTACCAACCACTATTCTACTCTCTGCTTCTATGAGTTCTACTTTTTTACATTCCACATATAAGTGAAATCATGTGATATTTGTCTTTCTGTGCCTGGCTTATTTCACTTAGAATAATGTCCTCCAGGTCATCCATATTGTTGTAAATGGTAAGACTTTTTTCTTCTTTAAGACTGAATAATATTTAATTGTATATATGATATACACTATATATTTTTAATCCAGTCATCTGTTGATGAACACTTAGGCTGATTCTATATCCTGGATATTGTGAATAATGCTGTAATAAATATGAGAATACAGATATATTTTCAAGATACTGATTTTATTTCCATTGAATATATGTATTCAGTAGTGGGATGTCTGAATGATATGGTAGTTTGATTTTAGTTTTTTGAGAAACCTCCATACTATTTTCCATAATGACTTTACTAATTTACCTTCCCACCAACAGTGTACAAGGGTGCCCCTTTCTCCACATCTTTACCAACACTTATCTTTTGGTTTTTTTTGATAACAGCCATTCTAACAGGTGTGAGGTGATATCTCATTGTGGTTTTAATTTGCATTTCCCTAATGGTTAGTGATGAGTATTTTTCAAATACCTGTTGTCCACTTTTATGTCTTCTTTAGAAAAATGTCTATTCAGATTCTTTGCCCATTTTAAAATTAAGTTATTTATTTTATTGCTATTGAGTTGTTTCAGCTTTGTATATATTTTAGACATTAACCCCTTAAAGGATGTATTGTAGCTATTGTAAATGGGATTGTCTTCTTGATTTTTCTAAATGCTCTTGCTAGTGTATAGACAACGAATTTTTTTTTTTTTTTTTTGAGACGGAGTCTCGCTCTGTCACCCAGGCTGGAGTGCAGTGGCGTGATCTCGGCTCACTGCAAGCTCCGCCTCCTGGGTTCACGCCATTCTCCTGCCTCAGCCTCCCGAGTAGCTGGGACTACAGGAGCCCTCCACCATGCCCAGCTAATTTTTTGTATTTTTTAGTAGAGAGGGGGGTTTCACCGTGTTAGCCAGGATAGTCTCGATCTCCTGACCTCGTCATGTGCCCTCCTCGGCCTCCCAAAGTGGACAATGAATTTTTATATGTTGATTTTGTACTCTGCAACTTTACTGAATTTTGTTTATTATTTCTGACAGGTTTTTTTTTTTTGTGAAGCTTTTAGGTTTTGCTATAAATAAGGTAATGTAACTTGTAAACAGAAATAATTTTACTTCTTTGTTTATAATTTTGATGTGTTTTATTTCTTTTCCTTGACTAATTGCTCTAGCTAGGAGTTCCAGTTCTGTGTTGAGTAGAATTGACAAGAGTGGGTATCCTTTTCTTGTTTCTGATCTTAGAGAAAAAGCTTTAAGCTTTTCACTACTGAGTACAATGTTAGCCGTGAGCTTGTCATATATGGCCTTTATTATGTTGAGGTATATTCCTTCTATTCCTAATTTGTTGAGAGATTTCATCATGAAAGAGTGTTGAGCTTTATCAAATGCTTTTTCTGCATCTATTGAGATTATCATATGGCTTTTATCCTTCCTTTTGGTTAATTTGGTATATTTATTTTTGTATGTTGAACCACCCCTATATCTCAGGGATAAATCCCACTTGTTCGTGTTGTCTGATCTTGTTGTACAATTGAATTTTGTTTGTTAGTATTTTGTAGAGGATTTTTGCTTCCATATTTATCACGGATATTGGCCTGTAACTTTCTTTTCATAGAGTGTCCTTATCTAGCTTTGGTATCAAGGTAATGCTGGCCTTGTATGATGGTTTTGAAAGGGTTCCCTAATCATTTTTGGAAAAGTTTGACAAGCATACCTGCTAAGTCTTATTTAAATGTCTGGTAGAATTCACCACAGAAGCCGTCAAGTCCTAAGCTTTTCTTTGTGGTGAGGTTTTTGATTACTGATTTAATCTTACTCATTTTTGGTTTGTTAATAGTTTCTTTTTATTCATTATTCTATGTTGTTAGGCTCTATTTTTCTAAATGTATTCACTCCTTCTAGGTTATTCAAGTTTTTGCCATATGATTGTTTATAGTAATCTCTTATGATCAGACAACATGAACAAGTGGGATTTTTTTCCTGTGGTAACATTTGTAATGTTTGCTCTTTTATTTGTAGTTTATTTCTTTGAGTCTTCTTTCATTTTTTCTTGTTTAGTCTAGCTAAGGTTTTGTCAATTTTATCTTTTAAGAAAACCAATTTATAGTTTCATTGGTCTTCCTATTTTTTTTCTATTGTCTATTTTATTTATTTCTGCTCTGAATTTTATTATTCCCTTCCTTCTGCTAACTGTTGTTGAGGTGTATTTCCATTTTTATTTCTCTTAAGTTTTTTTTTCTTTTCATTTCTTCTTTGACCTATTGGTTGTTTAGGAGTGTGTTGTGTAATTTCCACATATTTATGAATTTTCTGATTTTCTTCCTGTTATTGATTTTTAGTTTCATACCACTATGGTCAGAAAAGATATCTGATATGATTTCAATCTTCTTAAATTTGTTAAGACTTGCTTTGTGGTCCAACATATGATCTGTCATGGGGAATGTTCTGTGTGTACTTTAGAATGTACAGCCTGCTGTTGTTGGATTGAATGTGCTGTGCATGTCTATTAGGTCCTTTTAATGTATAATGTTGTTCAAGTCCACTGTTTCCTTATTGATTTTCTGTCTGGACGATCTATCCATTGTTGAAAGCGGGGTGTTGAAGTCCCCTACTATTATTGTATTGCTGTCTATTTTCCCCTTTAGTTATGTTAACATTTGATTTACATGTTTAGGTGCCTAATGGTGGGTGTGTATATTTTTACAACTGTTATACTCTATTGATGAATTGACTCCATTATCATTTGATTATGACCTTGTCTCTTGTAATAGTTTTTGGCTTAAAGTTTGTTTTGTTTGATAAATATAGCTGCTCCTGCTCTCTTTGAGTTATCATTTGCATGGAATACCTTTTCTATCCCTTCACTTTCAGTCCATGTGTGTCCTTAAAGTAAGTTTCTTGTAGGCAGCATATAGTTGGATCTTGTTATTCTTTCATCCATGTAGCCAAATGTAATCCATTGAAATTTAAATAATTATTGATAAATAAGAACTTATTTTTATCATTTTGTTGTTTTCTAACTGTTATATAGTTCCCTTTTTCTTTCTTCCCCTCTTGTTTTAATTTGTGATTTAATAATTTAGGCTTTTTTTTTAGTATTATGTTTTTGAATTCTTTATCTTTACTTTTGTATGTCTACTACAGATATTTTCTTTGTGGTTATCCTGAGGCTTATATAAAGTCTTCCAGTTGTAACAGTATATTTTAACCTGATAACAACTTAATTTCGACTGCATACAAAAACTCTACATGGTAACTTCTGCTCCTACATTTTATGTTATTGATGTCACAATTTACATATTTTTATATTATATATCCATTAATAAATTATTGTAGTTACACTTTAAAAATAATTTTGTCTTTTGATGTTTGTACTAAAGGGTTAAATGTGATTTATTAATCACCATTTCAGTATTAACATATTCTAAATACATATTCTTACCTTTACAGTAAGTTTTATACTTTCACAACTTACGTTATTAGTTAGAACCTTTTTCTTTTAACTTTAAGAACTCCTTTTAGCATTTCTTGTAAGGCAGATATAGTGGTGATAAACTCTTTCGGCTTTTGTTTGTCTAGGAAAGTCCTTATCTTTTTTGTTTTTGAAGAACAGATTTGCAGAGTATAGTATCCTTGCTTGAATGTTTTTTTTGTGTGTGTGTTCTTTCTGCACTTTGATATCATCCACTCTCTCCAAGATATCATCCACTCTCTCCAAGCCTGCAAGATTTCTGCTGAGAAATCCACTTACAGTCACTTGGAAATCACCCTTGTATAAGTAATTCACTCTTGCCACTTTCAAAAATCTCTCTTGCTCTGTGACTTTAAAGAATTTGATTATAATATGTTTGGTGAACCCCTCTTTATGTTTAATGTGTGGGAGTTCTTCGGGATTCATGGATATAAATGTTTATTTCCCTCTTCAAATTGGAACGTTTTCTGTCATTATTTCTTTAAATAAGCTTTCTGTCCCTGTCTTTTTCTCTACTTCTTCTGAGAGCTCTACAATCCAAATGTTGGTTCACTTGACATTGTCGCAGGTCCCTTAGGCTTTCCTCATTTTTTTTTTTCATTTTGTCTTCTGACTGGGTAAAGTAGTCTCGTATAACCTGTCTTTAAACCCATTAATTATTCCTTCTGCTTGATTGAGTATGCTGTTGAGGATCTCGATGAAAATTTTCAGTTCAGTCATTGTATTCTTTGTCTCCAGAACTTGTTTGGTTCTTTTTTATGGTTTGACTCTCTGTTGAACTTTTCATTTGTTTGTATATTGTTTTCCTGATTTCTTGTAGTTGTCTGTGTTCTCTTAGAATTCACTCAGCTTCTTTAAGATAATTATTTTAATTCTTTTCAGGGAGTTCATAAATTGCCATTTCTTTAGGATCAGCTCTTGGTACTTAATTTTGTTCCTTTGATGGTGTCGTGTTTCCTTGATTATTTGTAATCTTTGTAGTCTTGTGTTGGTTTCTGCACATGTGAAGAAGCAAGCACCTCTCCCCATTTTTATAAGCTGCCTTTGACAGGAAAAGCCCTTCTAGAGATTCTCGGCAGATTGGCTAATGGGGTGCATGGGCAGACTTGCTGCTGGAGTCCTTGGGCAGGTTGGACTGGTGCCTAGAACCACAGGGACTGGCCTGGTGCCCGAGTTTATGGGGGTGGGTATGGAACCTGGGTCTACTGGGGCAGGACTGGAGTCTGGGTCCACGTGGGTGGGCCTGGTGACTGGGTCTGTGAGGATGGTCCCGGAACCTAGGTGCAGGGGTGGGCTTGGTGCCTCAAACCATGGGTGCAGGCCTGGAGCCTGGGGCAGTGGAGGCCAGATTGGCACTGTGGCAGGCTTGAGTCCTGATTCTATGGAGGCCGGCCTGGTACTATGGTTTACTAGAGCAGGCCTAGTGCTTGGATGTGCAGCAAAGTTGAATGTTCACTCTCTTTCCTCCATGTGGAGAGTACCTCTCTTCATGCTGTGCTTCCTGGGATTGGTGGAAAGGTGAGATAAATAACGTGAAACTGTCCTACACTCTTCAATGCTTTTTTTCTTATTTCTGTGCCCCATCCAGATGCTGTATTTCTTAGCTCTTTGAGGAAGTTTTTCTGCATGGATGGTTATTTAAATTGATATTTCTGCAAGAGGATGAGCACTGAAAATTCTTATTCTGCTATCTTATTGATGCACTAACCTAGTCTTGACTTTTTAAGGTCCTCTCCACTAAGGCTGTTATATCAGAAGTGGGAGATGAGGCTTTTCATTGGCCAATTTTCTCCTAAGACCTCCTACTATTAGTCCTACAAGTTTTATTTTACTTAGGGAAACAAGTTCAAAACATTTCTCTGGCTAGATTGGTAAAACAAGAATAAAATATATCTTTTACAGAAAAAACATGAACCACTAACTCTAACATATCTGTATGACTTTTGCTTCTATGGAGAAAAGGGAAATAGAATCTTTTGCTGGGCAACTCCTATAGCAAGGGTAACACCTATTTTATATTTTCTTCTTCAGGTTTGGAAATCTTAGAGTTTAGAACTTTAAGAAATATTCTGTGTATGTCTAAACACAGTTATTATATGGGCAGCAAGACTTCACTAATTTAGAATAATAATGTAAGGGTGGTAGAGGACAGTGACAGTTGAGAATCTGGTTGAAGAAAATTTTTAAAGAGCACTTTGATGTTAACTAGATACATACTAGACACTAAGATATACATGAATGTTGGTCAGTGGAATAAAGCAAGCTGAATTAATTTAAACATTCTTTCACAGTGAACCAAAAAGGTAAACATCACTTAACATTCAAGAATTTATTATGCCTCTTCAGTGGTCCGATTCAAAACACCTAAATTACACATTCATGAAGAAATCCTTCATTTCAAGAGCCTTTGGTTGGAAACAGCAAATGATTTTAGACTAGGTTCCTTCACCAGTGAAATCCCAAAAAGGTTTTATAGGAATGCATTATCTTGATCTTAAGTAATAGAGAAAATGGACAGATACCATGTTTGGGAATTCTGTCCTCTCCTTTAGAACAGAGATGATTATCACTTTGTTCTACATGTTACCTGATTATTAACTTCAAAGCAATGTATTTTTCTTCTTCTTTCCGACTCCATCAAAATTGTTCTTGGAAAGAGGAGTAGTGATATAGTTGTTAAACCCATTGGATTTCTTTAGTTCTGATTTTATAGACTTGGAAGAAATGTGTGATCTGGTCTCTGCAGTGAACCCAGTGACACACACCTGTCATGAGGAGAATTCTTTTGAACTGGAACAAGTATGGCCTAAAGGTGCCAGTTACCCTGATTATTGACTCAAGTTGTTGACTTCCTGTTCTGTTCTCAGTACTCCCTTTGGGTAGGCCTAGTGCTGCTAGATGAGAGTAAGACAGTAAGAACAGTCTAAGCTCTGATCCTAGGGCAGCCCATTAAAAGTTCTGATCCTAAGCTAACTTCACAGGTCATCAGGTGAAACCTACAGTTCCTTCCAGGCCAACTGGTATAAGGGTGAAATAACTACATTATTCCATACATTTTAAGACTTTTTTTTTTTTTTTTGCATTTTAGCATATTTTATAATTCATGGCATTTCAAATCACTGTAAGCCTGGGTTGATATCAACTTCCCTGAAGGATTTGAGTTTCCTTCTTTCTGCCAGTCACTGGGACCACAACCTGAAATCACTTTAAACTACATTTTCTGCTTGAGGTCTTTTTTGGCTACACTGATGGTGTGAATTCAGACCAAAGCCTGTGCTTTGGCTCATACACCTAGGGGAGGGTTTTTAATCTCCTCTTCACAAATTGCCAAGATTGAGACACTTCTTCACCATCCCTTTCTGTGTTGTGAGTTTATTTCTCATTTACTCTTAACACTGGGGATGTAGCCCTTTTGTCTTCCAGCTTTTTGTAGGGGTGCTTTTCCTCTCTTAACAGTACATTTTACAATGGTGCATAGTTTGTTCAAAGACAATAGGAGAACAACAGATTAGTGTTGTACCCAGAAGCTCTCCAGCAGGTAGGCTCAATTTAATTTCTTTAGGGAGAGCTTAAATTTTTTCTGTCCTGATGACACCTTTATTTGTAGCACACAGCCCTCTCCTCCTTCCCTTCAGCACTTTCCCAAACTTTCCCTTAAGGCAGAACAAACTTGACTGAAAATAGCTCCATGTCTGTGTTTGTTTTTCATAATACCAACAGCATGCGGTGGAGACCCCCATGACTAGGTCAACCAGAAGAGAGTTTGAACTTTATTGAAGTTTATTAACATGTAAAGTTTAGTCTTTATTGAAATTAACCTTAACCCTACTTGATCACACTCCCACTGTGTTCTTGACTTGCCTTATTGCTGGGCTGGCAAGAAGGCACAGCAGTTCACATTTCCACCATTCTCTTTCTCCTGTTTTAACTGTCTTTTCTGGTGCCCCAGTATATTCTACCCCTAAATTTGCTAAGTTAACTCTTTTTCTTTCAACTAGCTTTAAAACTTTTCTCTTCTGCTGTATACAATAGATTGACCTTCTGAATTTCCTCTCCGATTAGCACATCTCACATAATTCGTTTTATAATGCTGACACTACCTATATCTTGGAATGTTCTGTTCAGACTAATATGAGAAAATACCATGACGTAGGTAGCTTATAAACAACAGAAATTTATTTCTCATAATTCTTGGGGTTAAGGAGTCCAAGATCAAGGCACCAGCAGCTCTGATGTCTAGTGAGGTCTTACTCTTTGCTTCATAAAGGGCAACTTCTTGCTGAATCCTCACATCAAGGAAGGAACAAGGTAGCTCTCTGGGGCCTCACCTAAAAGGACACTAATTCCATTCATAAAGGTTCCATCCTCATGACACTATCACCTCCCAAAGGCCTCATCTCTTAGTACTATCACCTTGGGGTTAGGATTTCAACATATGGACTTTGGAGGGCTACAAACATTCAGACCATAGCATTTTGCCCTTGGCCTCCCCAGATTGCAGTCCTTTTTATATCCAAAATACAGCCAATAGCCCCCCAAATTCTTAACTTGCTCCAGCATTGTCTCAAAAGTCTAAAGTCTAGAGTTTTATCTAAATATCATCTGAATCAGATATAGGTGAGTCTCAAGGTATGATTTATTCTAAGGCAAATCGCTCTAACTGTGAACCTATGAAATCAAACATGTTATGTGCTTCCAAAACACAATGGCAGGGCAGACATAGGATAGACATTCCCACTCCAAAAGAGAAAAACAGGAAGAAGAAAGGAGTTGACAGGTCCTAAGTAAGTCCAAAACCCAACAGAGCAAACAACATTAAATCTTAAGGCTCCAGTTTCTTAAAGAACTAAAAGTAGATCTACCATTCGATTAAGCAATACCACTACTGGGTATCTACCCAAAAGAAAATAAGTTATTGTATGAAAAAGACACATGCACACATATGCTTATTGCAGCCTAACTCATAATTGCAAAGATATGGAATCAACCTAAGTGCCCATTAACCAATGAGTGGATAAAGAAAATGTGACATATATACACCATGGAATACTATTCAGCCATAAAAAGGAATAAAATAATATATTTTGCAGCAACTTGGATAGAGCTGGAGACCGTTATTCTAAGTGAAGTAACTCAGGAATGGACAACCAAATATCATGTATTCTCACTTACAAGTGAGAGCTAATCTATGAGTACACAAAGGCATACAGAGTGACATAATGGACTTTGAAAACTCAGAAGAGGGAGGGTGAAGGTGGATGAGGAATAAAAAACTACACACTGAGTACAATGTATACTGCTTGGGTGATGGGTACACTAAAATCTCAGAATTTATTACTCTACAATTCATCCATGTAACCAAAAATCATTTATAGCCCCAAAACCATAGAAATTTAAAAATATGTTAAAAAATCTTAAGGCTCCAGAATAATGTTTTTTGAATTGACGTGCAACCTTCCAAACACACTGTGGTACGGGTTGGCCCCTCAGAGTTCTGTGTGGTCCCACCCATGGCTATGTTAGGTGCAGCCCATGCTGCAGCCCCTCATAGGTGGGAATTTTGTGCCAGTGGTTCTCCCAGGCTGGAATTGCAGGCTGGTGGCTTCAATGATCTGAAGTTACCATGGTGGTCTTAACTCTATGGTGCCACTAAGTATTACCCTAGTGGGGATTCTGGTAGCCCTAGCCTGAAGTTAACCCTCTCCTTGGTGGCTCCATCCTTCACAATCTGGAGGGAGATAGCCATACCCTCATATTTTGTACAATCTACAGGTCAGTGGAGATGGCACTACGTGATTGCCACCAAGGTTTATAGTTTGTGCCCTGTTGAGGGGCAGCCACCTCGGTCCATGCTGCATCTGGGTGAACTGCCTAGGATCACTGGGCAAGAATGAGAGAAGCAGAGCCTTGAAATCATTTTGCCTCCAAGGCCCTGATATTCTTGGCCTGTGATGGGAAGGACAACCTCCACAATCTTTAAATGCCCTTGGGGTCATTCTTCCATTGTGTTGATGAATAGTGCCTGATTTCTACCAGTACAATTTTAATCTTATCAAAAGGTTGCTTGATGACATCCCTGGTGTTGTCTCCTAAACATACTCTCTCATTCCTTAGAGTATGGCCAGGTTGTAAATTTTCCAAATCGTTAAGATCGTCTTCCTATTAATTAAAAAAATCCATCTTTAAATAATTTTTCTTTTCTTGCATTTTACTATAAACATTCAAGGGAAGCCAAGCTACTCTTTCAACGCTGTGCTTAGATGTTTCCTCAGCCAAATATCTTGTGAGTTTTATCACTCACAAGTTTACCTTCACAAAAAACTAGGACATGAACACGATGCACTTTTTGTCACTTTATAAGAATCACCTTTCCTCCAGTTTAAAATAGTGAATACCTAAGTGGTTGTATTTCCATCTGAGACCTGATCAAAATAACATTTATCATCCATATTTCTACCAACATTCTGTTTACAATGATGCAGATATTCTCTAAGAAGATTGAGGCTTTCTCTATAACTTTCCTAAGCCCTAACCAGAATTGCCCTTATTAGTCTGTTTATGGCAATACAGGTTTTTTTCTAGCATTCAGCTCAATACTCTTCCACCTTCTACTCATTACCCAGTTTCAAAGCCAGTTCCACATTTTTGGGTATTTGTATAGCAGTTCTTCTTCTTCTTCCTCTTGTTCTTCCTCTTCTTCTTCCTATTCTTCTTCTTCCTCTTCTTCTTCTTTCTCTTCTTCTTCCATTCCACTTCTTCCTCTTCTTCTTTTTCTTCCTCTTGTTCTTCCTCCTCTTCTTCTTCCTCTTCCTCTTCTTCTTCTTCCTTTTCTTCTTCTTCCTCTTCTTCTTCCTCCTCCTCTTCTTCTTCTTCCTCCTCTTCTTCTTCTTCCTCTTCCTCTTCTTCTTCCTCCTCCTCCTTCCTCCTCGTCTTCCCCTTCCCCTTCCCCTTCCTCTTCCCTTTCCCCTTCTCCTTCTCCTTCTTCTTCTTTTCTCCCTCACTCTCCCACCCAGGCTGGAGTACAGCAGTGGTGTGATCTCTGCTTACTGCAACCTCCACCTTCCGGGTTCAAGTGATTCTCCTGCCTCAGCCTCCTGAGTAGCTAGGATTACAGGCATGCACCAACACGCCCAGCTAATCTTTGTATTTTTTTGTGGAGATGGGGTTTCACCATATTGGCCAGGCTGGCCTTGAACTCCTAACCTCGAATGATCCACCTGTCTTGGCCTCCCAAAGTGCTGGGATTACAGGCATGAACCATGGTGCCCAGCCAGTGCTTCTACTTCTTGGTACCAATTTTGTCTTAGTCTATCTGAGCTGCTGTAACAAACTACCATGGACTGGGTAGATTATAAGTAACAGAAATTTATTTCTCACAGTTCTTGAGGCTTAGGAATCTATGACCAGCAGATCAGGTGTCTGATAAGGGTATGCTTTCTCATACATGGTGTCTTCTTACTGTGTTCTCACTTGTGGAGGGGGTAAGGTAGCTCTCTGGGCCTCTTTTGTAAGGGCCCTAATCCCGTTCATGAGGGCTCTACCCTCATGACCTAGTCATTTCCCAAAAGCCCCATTTCCTAACACTATCACCTTGGGGTTTAGGATTTTAGTACATGAATTTGGCTGGGTGGACACAAACATTCAGTCCATAGCACTTGCCTTCTTTGACATCATACTCTCGGGGCTTTTTCCTACTGCCCTGGCCACACTTGACCCTTAAATGTTGATGTTTCTCAAGATTCTTCCCTAGGGCTCTTTCTAGTTTCACTCCGTGTACCTTCTGTAATCCACCTTATCTATACTCTAGAGTTTCCACTGTAATTGCGTGGCTGATGATTCATCTCCCCAATCCCTGTCTCCAGATGAGCCCATCTCCCCAATCCTCATCTCCACATGAGCTCTAAATTCATCTATCCAGTTGCCCTCAGATATCATAGGCACTTGAAATTCAGTAAGTCTAAAAAGGAGCCCTGCACTTTTCTCACAAATGTGTACCCTCTTCTGTATTTCCAATCATGGTCAGTGGCACCATCTCTCAGCCCATGGCTTATCCTCCAGACCTGGATATCATCCTTACTGTACCAGTTACTAGCTTTACAGGCCAATTATTTATTTTTCTCTAAGTCTCATGTTCCTCATTTATAAAACAGGAATAATAATAATACCTATTTCATAGACTTGTTGGGGCTTTATACATATATATATATATATATATATATATATTTAGACTAAGATGTACACTCCTTACTGCTAAGATTTTAGTTCATAGTTTGGTTAAGATTTTAGTTCCTTTAGAGTTCCTTAAGCATATTATTTCAACTGGTTTCCTTGCCTCCAGTCTTCCCAGATGTCAATCTATTTTCCAGCATTCATCCAGAATAATCTTCCTACATGACAAATCTGATCATAAAACGCCTCTGCCTAGAAACCTTTAAAACTTTCCTTTGTCCTAAATATGGCATCCAAATGTCTTTAGAGGGTCCCTGTGGTCTGGCGTCTGCTAATCTCTCCTGCTTCATCACTGTATGCCCATTTATTTTGAACAACGATGATAGACACGTGCCAGTCTCTTTCTCTCCTCACGGACATTGCACTTGCATTTCCTCTTGGAATCACTAACCTCTTTCTCTTTTCTTGGTTAACTCTTATTTATCTTTCAGATCCCAATTTCAAAGTCAGAGTTACCTGTACCTCCTTATGCACTTCTTCCCCACCCCCAGCTTTATTGAGGTATAATTGACAAAATCGTATATATTTAAGGTGTACAACATCATAATTTGATATCTATATACATTGTGTAATGATAAACACAATCAAGTTAATCAACACGCCCTTCACCACACATAGTTACCATTTTGTGTGTGTGGTGAGGGAGGGGCGTGAAGACACTTAAGATCTGTTCTTTTAGCAAATTTCAAGTGAATAACATAGTATTATAAAATATAGTCACCATACTATTCATTTGATCCTCAGAACTTGTTCATTTTGTAACTGAAAGTTTGTACCCTTTGAGCAACATCTACCCATTTCCCCCACCCTCCTTCGCCTGGCAACTATTATTCAACTCTCTGCTTGTATGAACCCGAATTACTTAGATTTCACTTAGAAGTGAGATCCTGCTGTATTTGTATTTTGAGCCTGGCTTCTTTCATGTAGTTTAATGTTCCCTAGGTTCATCCATGTTGTTGTAAAAGGCAGGACTGCCTTCTTTTTTATGATTGAATAATATTCCACTGTGTATTTACACACCACATTTTCTTTATCAGTTTATCTGTTGATGTACACTTAGGTTGTTTTCATATCTTGGCTATTGCAAATAATGCCACAATGAACATGGCAGTGATCTTTTGGCTATAAAATCAAAAAGATGGCAACAAAAATAAAAATAAACAAGTAGGACTACATCAAATTTAAAAGCTTCTGCATAGCAAAGGAAACAAAAAAAATGAAAAGGCAGTCTATGGAATGGGAAGAAATATTTGCAAATCATATATCTGATAAGGGGTTAATACCCAAAATGTATAAGATACTCATAAAACCCAATAGAAACAAACAACAAAACAAAACAAACAAAAACAAGTAACCTGATTACAAAATGAGCAAAGGAGGTGAAGAGACATTTTTCCAAAGAAGACAAATGTCCAACAGGTATATGAAAAGGTACTCAACATCACAAATCATCAGGGAAATGCAAATCAAAACTACAATGAGATATTACCTCACACCTGTAAGGATGGCTCTTAAATGTTGGCAAGAATGTGGCAAAAAGAGAACTGTTGGTAGGACTGTAAATTGGTAGATTATGGAAAACAATATGAAGATGCCTCAAAAAATTGAAAATAGAACTATCATATGATCAAGCAGTCTCACTTCTGTGTATGTATCCAAAGGAAATAAAATAAATATTTCAAAGAGAGATCCTTATGCACTTCTTTAATGTTCAGCTCACTCTTATCACTTCAATATATCATACTAGATTGAAATTGCTGCTGGGTGCAGTAGCTCTGGCCTGTAATCCCAGCTACTTGGGAGACTAAGGTGGGAGGATCACTTGAGCCCAGGAGTTAGAGTCTGCAATGAGCTATGATTGCACCCCTTCATTCCAGCCTGGGCAGCAGAGCAAGACCCTGTCTCTGAAAAATAACAATAAAAAAGAAGAAATTGCCCATTTACCTTCTATTAAGTTTACCAAATTTAATAGGTAAAAATGCAGTGCACTGAGTTAAATTTGATTTCAGATAAACAATGAATAATCTTTCAGTATAAGTATGTCTCATACAACCCTATCATCTCATACTAGACTGCTCTCACTCGAGGGCAGGGTTCACCATTGTTTTCTAACACCTACCATTTTGCTTAACCCACTGCAAATACTTTATTCACTGTTGAGTAAATGAATAAGCTTATGTGATAAAGTCCAAATATATATTTATCATTTGTATGTTATATGCTGACATGTTCCAGATCTATCATTCTGATGCTGTGCTAATCACGAAGCATGTTCCTCTAGTTCCAGTATCTGTCTTTCATGTGTGTTCTTTTAAGGCAAGCAGAGAGATTTTTTTTTTTTTTTTTTGAAATTGACCACCCCCACCAGAATTTGCCTTTGCATAAAGTTTTGAAATGCCCATGTTTGGAATCTTTATTGTATCAGAAGGCAGTTGAAATTTTAACCACGATTTTCACTGTAAAACAACACAGAGACAAAAATATAACTGTTGCGACTCAACCGCCGTTTTCTTTTTGATCAGCTAGAAGAACTTTTGTTTTTTATAATACCAGTGTTTTTCTGTTCTTGCATAACAAAGATATAATCTAATCTCCAAGGTTTATTTGTCAAAAGAATCACTAGATCTGGAAAGGAGCAAGGGTTTGAATTTTTATTAATTTGGGATGCAAGTTCACCTGAGATTTAATATGCAGGTATCTCATAGGAGTCTTTTCAAAATAAAAGCTTAACTAAGGGAAAGTTCATAGACTTTTTTCAACCAGCGAACTTACAAGATTTAGTTGCCCAAATGAAGGGGTTTCTTTGTGCAGACTGTGAATCGAATAGGAACAAACAAGTTTCAAGGTAAACTCTTTATACTCTGAACCACTGAATGATTCAGAGAGAGAGAAAAAAACAGAAGGGCCTAAGCTATTTTATAAAATTGAGAAAAGGAAAATGCCACAGGGCTTGAGGTCTCCATTTTCCTCTCTGATCCATCAGCTACTTTCACCCTTAATTATGCTTGCTCAGGGGTCTAGTTTAACAAAGTGCTGGATTGCTTTCAAAGTAGGTACAAAATACTTTACTATATTTTCCAATATATTATTTTCAAGGTGAGTAACCATGTGGATCATGCCCTGGAATGTCTAGGAAATGAGATGAAACAAAACCTTTCACAGTTAGTTTTCTAAAACTGTTTTAGATAACAATAATACTAAAAGCTTTTAGCCTTTTTAGTGGCTGTATGATTTGCACAAGTATGAGACCAAAAAAAAAAAAAATTCTACAAGAAGGGCATACAACAACTATGTTTCCCAGGGGATTAAACACATTAAAATCAAGAGGCACTCTCATTGTAGGATTTAATTGAACTATTTCTCAGTAGCTGGTATTTAGTTTGCTTTATTTATATTTAATGTAGCTGTAAGTAGGAAGGCTGTGAATTGGGTCTCTGGGCTAATCATGCTGACGTTTTTAGGATGAAACTCCGGGGCTTTGCATGTCAGACCGAGTTCTGCAGTTAGGTCAGCACTGGGTTATTGAGTTTCTAAGGCTGAGGATGCCCGTGCTAGTGTACAGTCTTCCAGATAAGGAAAAGAAAATTGCACCTGGAGGCAACAAGAAGAGTCAAGAGTAATTTGCGGTGAGTGAGCAAAATGAAATCCTGCAGGAGGTCAAGTTTGTTTTCGCCAGGAGGTGTCACTGTTGTCAACATACATTACTGGAGATGGAGGGAAGATAAGAGGCGGTGGCGAGCATCGTTTGACAATAAGAGGAGACAATTTTCTGCCCCTCTCTCCCTCCCTCCCTCCCTCCCTCCCTCCTTTCCTTCCTTTCCTTCCTTTCCTTCCTTCCCTTCCTTCCCTTCCTTCCCTCCTTCCCTTCTTCCTTCCTTCTCTCCTTCCCTCCTTCCCTCTTCCCTCCCTCCTTCCATTCCTGAAACTTACATCACCTTTTCTGTTACCTATAATAGGCATGTTAAAATGCTGTTACTGACATTGGGAAGAATGTTCACTGGTGGAGAAAGAATGGGGAGCAATTCATGTGATTTCTAGGTCAGCAACTCAGATGTATTTGGAAAAAAATATTTCTTTTACTTTTTGACTTAATGGTTCTAAACTAATGAAATTTTAATATCATAAAGGTGTGAGAACTGACCCCTTTACATCTCTCTATGCCTGCACAATTCAGTAAAATTCCTTAAGATTTACACATACTAGGTAGAATGGGTAGACCTCTGGGTTCATACTCTGTGCTATTATTTTGGTTTTTAGAAACAGCATTGGAAATTTTTGAGTCGTTTTTATTTTTGCTCAGGCTCCCAAGTAAAGAGTGTGGGTTGAGACTCTGGATCTATGTAATCCATTTATATAATCTTCTTTGGTAAGTTATTTACTCTGACAAAGCCTCAGCTTCCTCATATGTAAGACGAGGATAATACCACTACCTACTGTTAAAGGAAATATTGAGAGGATTAAGTAAGAATAAATGAAATAACATATGCAAAGCACTTAATATAATGTCTGACATATAGATAGAGTTCAATAAGGATTAACTTTTACCATTAACTATTAACATTGACATCTGAATAGTGGAGAGGCTATAGCAGGGTTTGAGAGTCACACTGTCCCTCAAGCTTCCCCAGCTTGTCTGTTGACAGTCCCTTTGGGATTTGGAACAAGACCTTATGCCCTTGTCTTTCTTTACACCCCCATGTCTGGGCTTATTCTCCATTTGAGTTGGTCCTTTACAAAATGTATTGATAATGCTTCCCAACGTCAAGCATCATTGATGATGCTTCCATCATTTTCCCTTGTTGGAAAATGGCAATTTAATTTTTTTTTCCTTCCTTTCTGCAGATCTAAGTTCTTAACTTCCTTCAATGCCAGATCAGTTTTCACCTTCCATGTGTAGCCTTCTTCATCTTTCTTTGGCTGAATTTCTGTAGCACTCAGAGTCTGTGTTACACAAACTTGATTACTATTATTACTGTTTTTTTCCCCTACTAGCATTAGATGTGTGAGCCTTATGTCTTCAAATAGATAATTTGTTTCTTAAGGGTCAAAAGGACATTTGTGTCTTCCTTTTACTCCCTGTAGCAGCCAGCTTAGTGCTGAGAATACAAGAGGGATTGAATACATTTTTGTCACTGGTTGATTTACGGAGAGTTCAGAATGTCAGGGAAACGTGTTGAGACAAACACAAGCAAATCATTTTGCAACTCTAAGTAACACGAAGGAATTCAGCAGGGACTCAGGGTTGAAGGTGGAGAAGGATGACTTTGAGAGAAGTCAGAAGCACCAGGTCTTACAGTTGAAATCTGGGAGAAAAACAAGAGCTGGGCTAGAACTATAATTGATGGACAAAGGCAGCTCTGTGAGAAAGAGACGGGCGCTCTATAGGAAACGATGCTGGAGACCTGGATTTGAGACTTGACTCTATCACTAACTGGGTATGTGCCTTTGAGAGAATCACATAACCTCTCTGGGCCTGTGTTTCTTTGGCAGGCACTGGGTTAGTGCTGATGGTGAAATGCTGGGTGAAACTGACATGTCCTTGCCTCTCGGAGTCCCAATCCAGTGGGAGGAATACAGGCAAGAAGTGCAAAGCTACAGCTATGATAAGAGCTAGGAAGGATGCTTACATGATAAGAGAGAAGGATCTAACTTGGACTGGAGTCTAGGAAACCTCTCAGTGGAAATTATCTAGGTGCATGGCCAGTAGAGGAACATTTGCTGGGGGGAGAATGGCTAGTTTGGAAAATTGGACTGTGCAGCTGGGGCTTAGAGAACTAAAGAAGAGAGTGATTGGCTGGTCGCGGTGGCTCATGCCTGTAATCCCAGCACTTTGGGAGGCCGAGGCAGGTGGATCACCTGAAGTCAGGTATTTGAGAGCAGCCTGACCAACATGGTAAAACCTCATTTCTACTAAAAATACAAAAAGGAGCCAGGTGTGGTGGTGCACACCTGTAATCCCAGCTACTTGGGAGCCTGTGACAGGAGAATTGCTTGAATCCAGGAGGCTGAGGTTGCAGTGAACCAAGATTGCACCACTGCACTCCAACCTGGGCAACAGAGGGAGATTGTCTCAAAAAAAAAAAAAAAAAAGTGATTCAGGTAAAAATGGGAAGGCAAGGGTCAGATTAGGAGAGACCTTGTAAAACATGTTAAGAACATTCTTCTCTATTTTAAGAACAATAAAAATCTGTGAGTGAGAGAGTCAGGGGAGCAGCATGGTGGTAACTGGAGTTGAAGGGGCGCTGAATTGGGTGTGAGACAGGTGGGGACAGATACAGGAATTCAGGTGAGTGAAGGCTGTAGCTTGGTCTAGGAAGGTCATGATGGAAACAGAGTGATGCAGCCTTTCAGGATCTCAGTTTCTTACTTACAGAGAGAAGGGTGGACTCAACACTACAATCCTTTCTGGCAATTTCTGTGGTTTGACGAAATGGAAATAGTTTGGAAGAGAATGTGACCATGTGACTGCTGTTTGCTACATCAACGTGTGTAGCTAGAACTCTCACACATTGCCTCTGAGGTGAGACCTTTCCCTGGATTGGGGAGTTCTTTTGGAATTCCTCAGATGGGACATCCGTTGCCCCAGACCTTCAGGTAAAGGCCAAACTTACCTATTGAACTTCTGACAACTATATTTTACAATTTTTACTTTGAGTCAAATGAGAGAATAAGATGAGTGATTATTTAAATTTTCCTCAGACTGAAAACTTTTTAGTTTTTCTTTTCTTCTTTTTTTTTTTAAATCTGTATAGAAAACACTAGAAACAACAAACCAAAGTGCTTCATCTCCTAGTTGTAATACTGGCTCCTCTGGAAGAAATGATGAGAACACTTTGGGAACATTTTCCCTCAGGAAGCATACATCCCAGGAAAATCTCAAGAATTTATACCATGACTTGGGCTTCCTAATATAACAAGAAGCGGGGCAATCTATTGTAAATTTCATGGCGTTTCTCCTGACTACATAAATACATGTTCATTGCAGAAAATTTGAAAAATGCAGAAGGCTATAAACAGGAAAATTAAGACTACTCATAATCCTACTACCTAGAGATAAATATTGTTTCATATTTTATTTATGACCAATTATTTCCTGTACATATAAATATGTGATGATATTTAGACATATAGATATAGTCCCTTTTGTTTCCACAGGGTGGCATAATATTTACGAGTATTCACTCTGCAGCTAGGTTGTTTGGCTTCAAATATATTAGTCCTTGGGTAAATTTAAGAAATTTCTACTTTTCTAAGCCTCACTTTTCTCACCTGTAAAGTGGGCATAAAAATAATGCCAATCTCTAGGACACCGTAAGAACTAAATGAGATGAAGTTTGTAAAGTCCTTACCAACATAGTAAGGACTTCATAATGCAAATTAAAGTATTAGTACCAGGAACTAATGCTTTAGTAGATAACTAATAATTTAAGGAACTTTAACACTAAAGTATTAGCTCCTGGCATTAATATTTTAATTTGCATTAACAAACACAGGTTATTTTCCTTATGTCATTTTGCTTTATAGTTTCTGTTGTCTTAGGTTTCCTTTCTTTTTTCTTTGTTCTCTGTCACTTTCAGTTTTCCCTGTGATTTGAAAGGTACACATTCTTTTTTTTTTTTTATTTCTGGTGGCTGTCTTTGAGTTCTGTTCCAAAAGTTTGATCAGTTTGTATTTCTGTAATTATGAAAGTCAAGAATTAAATGGTATTTTTTAACTTTCCCCCACCACAAATGAAGTGGGCTGTCTTAAGTACTGGGGGCTCTTCAGGACATCCAGTTCATTACAAGGGTACCTATTCTCAATTTTCATAAGAGTTACATTATTAATGTCATTGCAAGATTAGGAAACTTAAGCTTAGAGAGATTAGGTCATTTTGCCCATGATCACACAGAATTAAGTTGTGAAGCTATGAGTCAAACCCAATTCTTTCTGACTCCAAACCTTTTCATTCTTGGCCCGTTTCCTTGTTATGAAGTGGTCTCAGATGGGACATCCATTACAGCAGAGCTTTAGGTAAAGCCGAAACTTATCTGTAGAACTTCTGACAACTATATTTTATAATTTTTAGTTTGAGTCAAATTAGAGAATAGGAAGGGTGATTATTTAAAGTTTCCTTTGAACATTTCTGGGGACTAAGAATTCACTACTTTCTGAATCAGCCTAATCCATCTCGAGCAGCTCTGTAAGAAAATCTTTCCTTAAACAAAATGGAATTTTGTCCTCCCTTGGATTCTACTCCCCACTTCCCATAAGATAACACTGATCTGTTCTGAGTAGAGAAACATATCTTGATTCTCATTATGTACTTATATTCAAGCAAATATATGGACAAAACATGATCTTTGTCCCTAAGTAGGTTTTTGGGGAAGTAAGATCAAAATATATAAAGTAATTAGAGAACAATATGAAACTTTAAAGAATTAGGATAAAAATATATTGAGCAAATTATTAATGTATCAAAGTTCAACACAAGGAAAGGAAAGCACAGGCGTACAATTTCCAGTGAAGGTTTATCTCTACTCCATCTCTTACTCTATCTGAAATGATATAATTATAATTGAGAATTGGGAATTCAAAGTGCATTATTAGAGCTAAATGATAATGCAATAGCAAAGGAAACTTCTGCAGGGGTCCTTAGATGTTTGATGTAAATGTAAAACAGATTCCACTAAAATAATAAATGTCAAATATAAAATCCATTGTTTCCAATTACTGCCACTTCACAGACTTTAACTACCTAATTTAGCTAAAGCATGAGGGGAAAATATTTTGCGCTTGAAAATGTAAATTAAAACATTTTCCAATGCAGCCACAATGCTGTATTATTGAGCTTGGCAGACCCCACTCCATCGCCTATGGTCCATTACCCTGGCCCAGTGCCTTGGAGCTTATCGGGGCTGCAAGACATTCTTTGCTTCAGACTCTGCTCCTTTGATAAGGGTTATCACTTGCTAGATGGAGAAAGCTCAGATGTGCCAACTTGGGGCTTTCACCAGCAATTTATGATGAGGTAAGGGGCATGTCAATGTTGTTTTTTCGTGGCCTCATTTTTATCTCTTTACTGAAAAAAATTGGGATACATCATCTTCATGAAGCCTTTGTGGACTTTCAGTAAAAACACAATTCTGTTTGTTCAGGCTCCGTCTTGTACCAAATATTAGGTTCTTTAGGTTTCCCAGCTCAGAGAACAGGCAGGTTGACCCATACTCCAAGGAGCTGAAGGACATTTGAGAGGGGTCAGCTTGAAAATATCTTATGCTCTGTGTGTCTTTCTCATGCTTTAGAGGGTCTGTGTGACTCATGGGTTCCCCATGCACATACCCTATTCTTCTCTCAGTATTGACCTCAGAGCTTCCTAGGCATTCTCATAGTTTCTACTTTCTCATTGTTTTCTGCACATGGTGTGGGCTTTACTTGATCTTGGAGTCTACCTGATAATGACAGCCATTGTTTATATAGCTCTAACTATGTGTCAGCCATCCAAGTACTTTTCATATACATTTACTCTTTAATCCTCATACTAACTTCATGAGGGAAGTCCTGTTATCATCTCCATATTACAGATGAGAACACTTGGAGAAAGTACCTTTCCCAAGATCACATAGGCAGGAACTGACAAAGCTAACACAGGGATCCAGGCTGACTGACTCTAGCCTTCACCCGCTACTCTAATTTGTCTTCCAATGGTATTCTTTCAGTTTGAATGCCCATCTGGCGCTGCCTTGTTCCTTGGTATTTCGAAGTTCATGCTCTCAAGGGAAAGGATCTGATTGGTCTAAATCTTCATCTGATTCCTAGTTGCATCATATTTTGCTGTCTCTGGTCCAGCCAAATGTGCAACTGCATAAACTTGAAGAGATCATTTAGTTTGCAGTGTGGCCACCTTGGGGTTGCCTTGTCAACAGGGGTTGGAGAAAGGGCATAGTTGCCCAGATGAGAGTGGAGGCTATAACTAACTCCTTACACCCATTGACACACTTTTTGCCAAGTAGGATTAAAATGTTTATATGTATCCATAGACTTGTCTCTTATAGCCACTGAGTCAATTAGGTTAGATATCTGTCTGTTCAAATTTTCAAGTGTTCATGTATATTATTATTGTCTAGTGAGATGATGGCATATTGTGGCATGCCAGAAAACATGTTGCTTGTAGGTTTTGAAAATTTGCTTTCTGTGGAGTCCAGCACAACCCACTATCAGCACATCAAGCCCTACCTGCTCATGAGTGATGTGTGGGACACACAGTGGGAATAAGACAGTGATGCTGCCAAGTGGAACTTAGAACCTCCTTGAGGAGAAAAGCCGCATGCACTGTAACATAGAGCAAAACAAAGCCATGATGATGAAAGACAAATGTCACAAATGTTTATCAAGTGTTTCAGTCCATTTTGTGTTGTTATAAGGGAATACCTGGGACTGGGTAATTTATAAAGAAAAAAGGTTTATTTCAGTCATTTCACTTTATTTCTGATGTTTGAAAAAGTTCAAGGTTGGGCATCTGGTGAAGTCCTCAGGCTGCTTCCACCCATGGCAGAAAGCGAGGGAATCCAGTGTGTGCAGAGATCACATGGTGATAAAAAAAAAAACAAGACTGGAGTAGGTGCCAGGCTCTTTTTAAAACCAACTCTAGCAGGAACTCATAGACTGGGAATTCACTCACCCCCAAGGAAGGGCATTACTCTATTCATGAGGGATCTACAATGGGGACCCAAACACCCCTCATTAGGCCCCACCTCCAACATGGGATCAAATTTCAATGGAAGGTTTGAAGGGGACAGACATTCAAACCATAGCATTAAGTACTTTGCTAGGTGTTTCCACATGTGTTGTCTCATTCGGTCTTCACAATCACCTTGTGAAATATGAGATAGAGGCACGTTTTTTTTTCAGATAAAGAAACCTTGACATGAAGTATTAACTTCCCCAAGACACACTTAACAAACAACAGACATGGTCCTCATCTGAAGGTTGGCCTGACTTGTCAGTGATGATGTCATGCCTGCCTTGATGAACACTTAAATTCCCTTTTTCCAAGAGAGCAAAGTGGCCCACTCTCAGCAGGAATGAGTCACATGGGCTTTCTTTTTATGTAACTGCCTCTGAGAACCACCCAAAGCTGGAATTGATTTGCAAAACTTATTTCTGAAGACAATGAAAAATAGAGATTTTGTTATAACAAAATTCTGAAAACTTTTGCTTTGGGTCTTGCTCTGTTTCATAGACAAGAGCAGCAGGAGTGAGCTGGAGTTCAGTTCTTCCACCTGGCTCTCAGGGGAATGCTGAAATGAGATCTTGGTTGACATGAAATTTACAGAAAATAGCTTCTGAGCTGAGGACAGCTTGCTCTGCTTTTCTTTAGCTTAGGAGCTAACCATGGTCTTGGTTGAGGCTTGGGCTTCTGTAATTCCTTCTCTGGTATTTTGCATAGTGATTAAGTGTTTAGACTTTGGCAGCAGACAGACTCAGGAGTCATCTAGGCTCTGGCATTTATCAGTTGTGTGATATGAGTCAAAATGATATCCAGTAGCTTAATGTACCTGACATGTGCATGATAGATGGCATCTATTATCATTATTATTGTTATTCCTCTCTCATCATCTAGACCCTAGGTTCTCAGGAAAGAAATCTCAGAGGTATTTTCTACTTTGGGGCTGCTTTAGGCTATTTTTTTTCCTTTCTCTTTGAAAGATAAGATTTACTTCTCATTGGAAATCTGGCTGATGTGTTTTCCTGGCTAGAGAGAGCCTTTTCCTTAGGGCCAGGTGACAAAATGATTCATGAAAATGATGTTTACTGTCACCCCAGGATTAGCATAGAGAAACCCCTTGTGCATGCATACGTATGTGTCTTCATTCTCCTATGTGAACATACAGTGAGCAGTGGACTGCTTGTTTCTCTTCCAAGGAAACTGCCCACCCCATGTTGTTTCTAAGAAATGTTCTTTTCCTCACCCTAATAATGCGGTTTGGATGGAAATAGATATTTTTACTGATTCCACCAGCTAGGCCTCCACTGATTGGTCTAGGATGAGCAAGTGATCCATTTTTAGGCCAACTGGAGTACTTTCCATGCTTTTAGAACTTGGGATGGGAGAAAGTCAGAGGTAATGCCTGATGGCGTTGGTGGCCATGTTTTCTGTCAGGTGGAAGAAGACTAAGAGAATGCAACTTATGTGCAGAGAGAAGCAGAGATGAGAGAGAAAGAAAAAGGAGCCTGGCCCCTTCGGAGTATCTAGTTCCACTCTCCCTAAGGCCATGTCTCCTGAGACTTTCCTTACTTACATAGGTTAAGAGGTCCCAGTTTGTTTAAAGCTAGTTCAAATAGGAGTTGTCACTCGTTGCCTGTATTGTTATCTATCTCTGTGTAATAAATTAGTGGGTTAAGACAAAAATATACATTTATTATCTCTCAGTTTCTGTGGGTCAGGGATTCGAAGCTGCTTGGCTGGGTGGTTTTGACTTGGGATTTCTCATAATGTTCATTCAGATGTTTGCTGGAGCTACAGCCACTTAAAGGCTTGACTGGGGCTAGAAGATCTGCTTCCAAGGTAGCTTAGCCATGTGGTGATAAGCCTGTACTGACTCTTGGTAGGGGGTTTCAGTTCTTCACACAGAAACCTCTCCCCAGCCTGGCTTGTGCTCTCACGATATGGCGGATGGCTTTCCCTAAGTTAAGCGATCCAGGAGACCAAGGTGGAAGATGTAAATGTCTTTTATGACTTAACCTTGAAAATGACATACCATCACATCTTTAGTATTCTGTTGTTTACTAGGTCAATCTTGATTCCATATGGGAGGGGAATATACAAGGATATGAATACCAAGAGGGAAAGACTACCAGAGGCCCTGTTGGACGCTGGCTACAATGGAGCCAACAGAGTCCTGACCCATACACTATAGTGACAGATTTCTTATCTCAAGGTTGGATTCTATACCATGTATGTATTCTGATAACTATGATAATCAACATTTGTTCTCAAGCTAACTAACTGCCATTATTCACCACCTATCATCTTTTTGGAGATTAAATTCACATAACATTTTCTCTCTCTTTTTGCCACCTGCATAATATATAAGTGATTCATGAATAGAGGAGTTCCTTTTTTTTTCTAAATAGATTTTTCATTGGTCTAAGTTCTTTATTGGCTGTGTGTGTGCAGGGAGGTATGAGATGATGACACAAAGATTTTGAGAATACCTTACCAAGGTAGTTTCTTCCACTCTCCAAGTTCTAGCCTCTTCCCAGTTTGTAGATGGTATAGTTAGAACAAGAGGAATGTAATTAAAATATCTGACTTTTAGTCTGAATTTGCCACATATTAGCTGTGTGATTTTGGCCAAGTCACTTAACTTTGATGAGTACCTTTCTTCATGTCCAAAAAAGAGATCAACATTTTAATCTTAGAGTGAGGTTATGAGGACTGTGGCATAATGTTTTATAAACTGTAAGGTACTCTTTTTGGTTCAGAAAGGTACCATGGTATTGGCTTGGAATCAGAAACTAGCCTTGGATCTTAGCTTTGCCACCTGAGTGCCAAGTGCTCTTGCAGGTATTTATCCTTTTTTTGTTTTGTGTTTGTGTGTGTGTGTGTTTTTTTTCTTTTTTTTTGAGACGGAGTCTTGCTCTGTTGCCAGGCTAGAGTACAATAGCATGATCCCAGCTCATTGCAACCTCTGCCTCCCGAATTCAAGCGACTCTCCTGCCTCAGCCTCCCAAGTAGCCGGGATTACAGGCACGTGCCACCATGCCCAGCTAATTTTTTTTTGTATTTTTAGTAGAGACGGGGTTTTACCATGTTGGCCAGGATGGTCTCGATCTCTTGACCTTATGATCTGCCCGCCTCCACCTCCCAAAGTGCTGAGATTACAGGTGTAAGCCACCACACCTGGCCTATCCTTTTTGAGTTTCAATTTTCTCCATAACATTGGCTCAATAATAATTCCTACTTCATACAGATAGAGAGTTCAAATGAAATGGTCCCTGAATGACAAAATTTGGTGCTTGACTATTGTTATAATTATGTCTCTATTATAGAGCAGTTGAAACCAAGTTTATTGCACTCTTTGTATAAAAGTCTACATGATGAAGTAATTTATTTAATGAATAAATATTTGTTGATGGTAAATATATGCCAGGTATGAGTTGAGTGCTATAGATAAAACAGCAAATAAGACACCATCCCTGCCTTCTTACAGCTTAGAGCTTACGGGGAATCAAAGACAGGCAAAAAAAATTACAAAGCAGTATGATAAATGATGTGTGTGTGGCCACGTGGCTGCTATGACAACATATGGGAATGATTTCTAACTCTAACTTGTAGGATTATAGCAGGCTTTCACAAGGAACTAAGATATTAAATTGAAACCTGAAAGTTGAGTTGGAATTAGTTGCGTTAAGGGAGGTGGGTAAGAGTTTGGGGAAGGAGTGCCCCAGGTGGAAGAAATAGCCTTGGTGAACATTAAAAGGTAAGAGATTCCATAGGATGGTCAGAAAATCATCCAGTGTGGCAGGAGCCAGGAGGCAGAGACAGAGGCAGAATGGTGAGATGTGAGTTAGAGATTAGCAGAGATGCTTGATTATAAAGAACTTTCCTGAAAACATGGTAAGGCTTTGCCCTGGATTTTGTCTTTAGGGCAATGGGAATTTTCCTGATGGATTTTAAAGCAAAAAAGAGGCACGATCAGATTTGTATTTTAGAAAGACCACCCACTCAGTATTTGTCAACAGGGCTGCTATTAGAATTTTGGATGAAACAATTCTTTGTTATGAAGATCAGTCATTCCAGGTGTAGCTGGCAGATTCGTGATTCCCCAAAGATGTCCATGTCTTAATTCCCAGAATCTATAAACATGTTACATTGCATGGCAAAAGGAACTTTACAAACACAATTAGAGTTATAAACCTTAAGTTAGGAAAATTATCCTGGAGTACTTAGATTGGATGGACCCAGTCTAATCATGGGCCTTTACAAGTGGAAGAGGAAGACAGATGAGCCAGAAAAAGGAATGGCAGAAAAGAAGGCAGGAGGCACAAGGCATGAGAAAGATTCAATCCATCATTACTAGTATTGAAGATGAAGGAGACCATCAGCTAACACATGTGGGAGTCCCCTGGAAGCTGAGAATAATATTGCTGAGACCCAGCAAGAAAGTTGGAACCACAGTCCTACACCCACATGGAACTGAATTCTGCTAACAATCTGAATGACCTAAGAAGGGGATTCTTCCCCCTGGGCTTCTCGTTAAGAAATGCAGCCCTGCTGAAACTTTGATCTTAGACCAGTCACGCCATGGTCAGACAGCTGACCTCCAGAACTGTAAGATGGCAAATGAGTGTTTTATGCTGTGAAGTTTGCAGTACTTTTTTTTTTAGCACAGCAATAGGAAATGAACACAAGTAGGCATTTCAGTATCCTTGATCTTGCCTTTTAATGCCAGCCAGCATGCCCCACCTCCATTTCACAACAACCCCCAAACGCTCTCACACATTTTCAAATATCTGCTGGTAGGGGGTGGGAACAGATGCGGCAGTGCACCCCTGGTAAAGAACCACTGCTATGGAGAATTATGAATAGAGAGAGAGCTGGGTAGAAGGCAGAGGAATCAGTTAGGAGGCTGTTGTGATATTTAAGCTGAGAGAGGAAATGACCTGGCGGAACACCGTGGCTGTGGGAGTAGTGAAGGGAATGAATTCGAGAGATAATTAGGAGGCAGAACCAACAGGACTCATCAGTGGTATTGATTAGTGTTAGAGGTGAGTGTCTCTGTCCGTTTCCTCTGCTGCTACCCTTCCACTCCCATCATCGCTACATATACCTAAGAGCAAACTTCGTTTTTGAAGGAATCTGACTTCTCTTCTAGTGAGAGAGAGGACCACAGTTTGGAAGCCATTAGCAATTCGTACCAGAATCAGTCAAAGAAGGGGAATGACAGTAGAGCTATTGCAAACCCAAAAGGCCCCTTACGGCCAAAGGCACCCGGTTGGTGAAACACAGTAATTGCTTGAACAATTTTCAGTCACTTCATGCTGCAATAGATGATAGGAAATGAGGATAGAGTTTATTCTTCCCAATAGAAGCAAGTCAGGAGATCCAAATGGCTGAAATGCAGTTTGAAGCAGGGTGGTTGGCTAAGCCTACCAAACTCCTGTGTGCAGTTGGAGAGCATTTCACCCGAGGGATTTTTATTTATACTTTGTCCAAAAGGCTGTGCCCTTTATTGACACACATGTAACCAACTCCTTGTGCTAAATCTCTTCTGTGTGCAATACTTAATGTGGCCTCTGTTTTCCTCACTGGATTCTGACAGAGGCAGAGCATGCAACAGCGGGCCCATTCCAAACACTGAGTTTGTTCTTACTTGAGATCTCATGGCTCACTTGATCTCCAGCCCTCATCTGGCTCTTGTTGAGTTCGCTAGCCTAGTAACTGGGATAATCAACACTGAATAATTAACTCCTAATCTTGGGAACACAGCAGAGCACATAACCAGTTACCCAAGACAAATGCAAGGGCCATGGGAACTTTTTAAAGTTGGTTCTCAGTAGGAAATTAAAATTCTCCTTGTATTTGCTTTTTCCTTATGTTCTTGAAAACAGTCACGGTGACATGAATGAAACATTAAGCCAAAAAATAATGATTCAACATAATTCTTATATCACAGCAGAGAATCTGAGTTTTTTTGTGCTATTTCATTATAGTGATTGATGCATCCTGCAGATTTCTTGGCATCAGAATTCTAGGTAAAATGTTCAATGTTGAACATTTTAAGTCTGATGAAAGTTTACCACATTTTCTTATCTTGGTCATAATATGGGGTAATTTGGCTCTGGGTCTGATTAAGCAAGGCATTTCTCCCTTTCTGCCTCTTTATAAGATCCATTTAAGTGGAGTCAATTCTGTTTCTAAAAGACAAAGTGACCAGGGCCAATGTTTCTGGTTGTGCTCTATACTTACCTTGCTTTGGAATTGTTTTCAGCTCCAAGAGACCCTCTTTGTTCTTTGCCTAGGCAGAGAGAAAAAGCCAAGGACAGAATGCAGGCCTCATTGTTAAACCTTCCTTTCCTTTCCCTTTCCCTTTCCCTTTCCCTTTCCCTTCCCTTCCCCTTTCCCTTCCCTTCCCTTCCCTTCCCTTCCTTTCCCTTCCTTTCCCTTCCTTTCCCTTCCATTCCCTTCCTTTCCCTTCTCTTCCATTCCTTTCCTTTCCTTTACTTTCCCTTTCCTTTCCTTTCCCTTTCCTTCCTTTCCCTTTCCTTCCCTTCCTTTCCCTTTCCTTCCCTTCCTTTCCCTTCCCTTCCCTTCCTTTCCCTTCCATTCCCTTCCTTTCCCTTCCATTCCCTTCATTTCCCTTCCCTTCTGTTCCTTTCCTTTGCATTTTCTTCCTTTCCCTTCCCTTCCTTTTCCTTTCCTTCCCTTCCTTTCCCTTCCCTTCCCTTCCCTTCCCTTCCTTTCCCTTCCCTTCCTTTCCCTTCCTTTCCCTTCCCTTCCCTTCCTTCCTTTCCCTTCCCTTCCTTTCCCTTCCCTTCCTTTCCCTTCCCTTCCTTTCCCTTCCCTTCCTTTCCCTTCCCTTCCCTTCCTTTCCCTTCCCTTCCCTTCCTTTTCCTTCCTTTCCTTTCCCTTCCCTTCCTTTTCCTTTCCCTTCCTTTCTCTTCCCTTCCCTTCCCTTCCGTTCCTTTCCTTTCCCTTCCCTTCATTTCCCTTCCCTTCCCTTCACTTCCCTTCCCTTCCCTTCCCTTCCCTTCCCTTCCCTTCCCTTCCTTTCCTTTCCCTTCCCTTCCTTTCCCTTCCCTTCCCTTCCTTTCCCTTCCATTCCCTTCCTTTCCCTTCCATTCCCTTCCTTTCCCTTCCTTTCCCTTCCCTTCTGTTCCTTTCCTTTCCATTTTCTTCCTTTCCCTTCCCTTCCCTTCCTTTCCCTTCCATTCCCTTCCTTTCCCTTCCATTCCCTTCCTTTCCCTTCCCTTCTGTTCCTTTCCTTTCCATTTTCTTCCTTTCCCTTCCCTTCCTTTCCCTTTCCTTCCCTTCCTTTCCCTTTCCCTTTCCTTCCCTTTCCCTTCCCTTCCCTTCCTTTCCCTTCCTTTCCCTTCCCTTCCTTTCCCTTCCCTTCCTTTCCCTTCCCTTCCTTTCCCTTCCCTTCCTTTCCCTTCCCTTCCCTTCCTTTCCCTTCCCTTCCTTTCCCTTCCATTCCCTTCCTTTCCCTTCCATTCCCTTCCTTTCCCTTCCATTCCCTTCCTTTCCTTTCCCTTCCCTTCATTTCCCTTTCCTTCCCTTCCTTTCCCTTTACTTCCCTTCCTTTCCCTTCCTTTCTCTTCCCTTCCCTTCCCTTCCGTTCCTTTCCTTTCCCTTCCCTTCGTTTCCCTTCCCTTCCCTTCCCTTCCCTTCCTTTCCTTCCCTTTCCTTCCCTTTCCTTCCCTTTCCTTCCCCTTCCCTTCCCTTCCCTTCCCTTCCCTTCCCTTCCCTTCCCTTCCCTTCCTTTCCTTTCTTTTTTATGGAATGTCACCCAGGATGGAGTGCAGTGACGTGATTTGGGCTCACTGCAACCTCACCTCCCAGGTTCAAACAATTATCCTGCCTCAGCCTCTCTAGTAGCTGGGACTACATGCTAATCCCACCATGCCTGGCTAATTTTTGTGTTTTTTTTTAAGTAGAGATGGGGGTTTCACCATGTTGGCCAGGCTTGTCTCGAACTCCTGATCTCAAGTAATCCACTTGCCTTGGCCTCCCAAAGTGCTGGGATTATAGATGTGAGTCATCGTGCCTGGCGATGTTAAACTTTCTTAGTGCCATTTTTCAAATGCTGATTATGTATCCAGACTTGCATGATTTTATCATTATAGCTATTTATTTGATCTTGGATAGGCAAATTGGCTTGGGGGCCAAAGGGATGTTTTATGTCAAGGTGCTCTAACTTTGGCAATTATCTTCTGAATATTTAAGAATGGTGACAGTCATCTTTCCATTCTTGAATGTATTTCTGGCATTGTCAGACGTTAGTTCTAGCAAGGGAGAGAGACGGGCCCTATACAAGATGAGGCAGCTAATAAAACTATAGAGTTGGAATCTTTTTTCTATAAAAGAAAATCCATAAGTGACAAAATATTTCACCAAGTCATTTTTCCTCCCCAGCATCTTGCATCGTGCATGTTCTTGGCACATGCTCAAATTAGGTTTACAGATCCTGTAAAGCAATTCATCCTGCTCTGAATCTAATGCCAGTAATTTTTCAAGGAAGTCAGCAAAATGTGGCCCAAGAAGGAAAGCATTGCCATTAAAAAAAAAAAATTCTATTGTTTTTATTCAATCTGCTACTGAACAGTGCCTAAATCATTTACTCTTTACACTTAATTTTTAATTTTGTGGTATCCTCCACTCAAAATGAGGTTGAGTTTTAAATCCTCATACCCTAACATCCCAGCTGTACAGTCATATAAAGGGTTTGTTTCAGTAAAAATGATTACTGGTATCTATAATAGAATTGTAATAACTCAATACTGTTTTATAAATTTTTGATTCACTCTGCATTTTTTATTTGACAGCTTGCCAAGTTCCAGTTTTTATCTGATCATCTTTGCATCAATAATACATGAGGCTGAGATCTTCTGAAAAGCAGATACTTTTTTTCTCACTGAATGCTTTTCTTTTGCCAGCAAAAATATTGATTTGAATATAATAATCTGTAGTCCTTTTGGTTTGATCACACTTAGCAGGAAACCCTAAAAAGAGTCATGGTCACATATCCGCCAACATGGAATCAATTGTTCTTCTCTAATAAATACAATCATTGAACACCTGATCCATACTATTGCTTGTTTTGTACAACTGATTAAAGAAAGGTTTGACACGGTTTAGATTTGAATGGCCTTAGGTTTTCCTATTTAGATCCTCTCAACCAAAAGTAACAACAAAAAACCCATTTCATAGAAAGATGATGTCTCTGATTGTAATTTCTCATCCCCTCCATCAACATACAGTTTGTCAGCACTTGGCTCTTAAACAATTGCAATGGTGGTGCTGATCTCAGTCTGCTCTTGCTCCCAGCTGCTCACATTAAGGACGACTGTGTGAGTAGCAGGGTCTATCCCATCACCTGCCTCCAGCATTGTTATAAATAATCAGCATCAGGAAAATGAACTGACTAGGAACTGGGAGGGTCCTACAACAACACATCTTCATTCATTGTCTTATTTTCCATCTGTACAGAATGTAACCAAGGGCATCTTTTACAATTCAGCATTCCCATTTCAAACAAATGACAAAACACTGATAGGTAAGAGAATCGCTAACCCAACGGTTGTTGAGCAATTAAATCAGAATATCTGAAAGTACTATTTGGGCATCAAAATTGTTTTCCCAGAACATTTCAACATGCTGCTCAGGTTGAGATCCAATGTTCATTCTAAATTGAAACCTTGCTACTCTCATTGTTGCAGGGTGCCAGCATCCTGGGCTTGTTAGGAACGCAGAAATCTCAGACATCCTCTCAAGTCTACTGCATCAGAATCTGCACCTTAGCACTTTCCCCACGGATAATTTGTAGGCACATGAAAGTTTGACCAGCATCGGCCTAAACTACTATTATACGAAACACCCTCAAATTAGGCAAGCCAATTACCAAACAGACTGGCAGCTTCCTGTGTTTCTAGAGGAAGTGGAACATAGTGTCAGCTTTTGTTGTCAAGCAGTCCTGAGTTTGTACCCTGGCTATCCCAGGTACTAGCTGTATGACTTTGAATAAGTCTCTCTAAGCTTCAGTTTGCTCATCTGTGTAATGATACTAATAATAGCGCCTCTATGGAGCTATTATTAGATGATAGAGCTATTACAAACATTAATAGAAAGATTGCACGTAAAGTGCTTAAGACAACGCCAGACATGCAAGCAAGCAATATATTTTAGTAGTTAATACTGATATTAATAATAAAGTTGTACTCTTTAGAGACCCCTACAATTTCTCAGATGTCTATATGTAGGTAATAATTCTTTATTTATCTATTTACCCTTAAAGCCAATTGAAACTCTCATTGAAGCCAACCCTAATGTCTACTCTTGCACTTTCAGCTCACACTTGATCCCATTCATCATTTACAGGAGGGACAACATGAAGGTTAATGGATGCCTAGAAAAACAGGGCAGTATCAGAATACCCTTCCTAGCTCCTGAGTCTGGGTGACTTCAGCTTAATTTTCTTTGGAAGCTACTTGGCGTTGTGCATAAAAGAACTCACAAAACTGGCTTCCATGTGGGGCTAACTCTGTTCACCTAAACTTGGCCCAATTTGGAAAGCTTTCTTGGCTCTTTCCCACCCAATCCAAACAGGGATGGGAGATTTTATTAAAATGACCTGGGCCCAGCCTGCTCTGTGCTCAGAACCATTGAAGGGAGCCAAGAATGTCCCCTGGTGTCCATAGAAACATTGTTCTTATTTTTCAAAATTAATCCAGCTGAATTTGCAAGGCAGCATCACCTCCATCAGAGCTGCAGACGGTCAGGACAAAGAGCTGTTTTGATGTTCCCAGCTGGGAACCCTGCCCTCAGCAAATACAGTTGATATAAATAAATGGTCTCTTGCCTGCCTACATTCATGCCCATCTGTTTGGAGGGCATGGTGCCCAATCAAAAGTTGCCTAAGATGCTCGCCACAGGCACCAGTGCCAAGGAATGACAATCTCATGGCAGCTTGCCTGAGGCTGTGAGTACCATCTTTTCAGTCGTGGGTTCTCATCCTGGACCAGAATGGGAGCACTGGCACTGCATGCTTCCTTACTGTTGATCACACCTGTTGACAAGGCTGTGCCAAACTAGAAGAAGAGGGAGAGAAAGAAAATTGCTGTGTAGGAGCATCTTTGGGTTCCCAGGGCCTGGTGAGCCCATTAAGACAGATTCTAATTAAGTCGAGAAACCCTCTGCCCATGGATGTCCTGATGGGGCACAAGATTGGCAGGTCAAACTTTACTTGGATTTATCATGGGGGTGGAGGGCAAACTGCTCCCAGCTGATAACTCTGTTCCTGTCTAATATAGGAAGTATAACAGAACACTGGTCTTTGATGACATTGGGAGCCAAATAAACCAGGGGGAAATGAATCATATTCAGTGCAATGCAGCATCCCCTGGCTTCCAATTTTTACTCACCTACTGGAAACAATAAGGCCCGATGTGCACAATCACATAATGTAAAGCCCAGGAGCTGACTGTATTTTGTGTTGGCTGAGCTTGAGAAAGGAAATGAAGCTAGTCAGGAGAAAGCATGATGTGGGGACATTTTTATGCTGATAAATGTAAGTTCCCTCTGAGTTTGTCAAGCACAATCAGAAATAAGTTCATGTGCTCGGATATCCATATAACCACATGAATATAGTTAGTAAATTACTGATTCCAGGAAATTCTTTGGGCCCCTAAGAGGGCTTAATCAGTGGTCTCAGCCATGTCATACCATGGGAATAGGTAGTATGCAATCTTTATTGTAATAAGTTCTGGCATGCTACCTTTCCCTGTGGAGGGAAGATAGGTTGAGAAACTACTGGCTGAAGGCGTCAAAGCAATGTACTATATTTATTTATGCTTGAAAGGGCATTTTGTTATTTCAACATTTGGTCTCGATCCTAAATCTGCATCATTTTATTTAATGCTGAATATTCAGTCAACTAGACTTGTGGCTAAGTCCCAATGAAAGTCTGGACAATGTTCTACCAAAATGTCCAAGTGCTAAGCCCCAGATCCTGGGGATGTTACCTTACGTGACAAAAAAGGCTTTGCACTTTAAGAATCCTGAGGAGCAGATTGTCCTGGATTATCTGCGTGGGCCTGATGCAATCATGAGGGTCCTTATCAGAGCAGAAGACAATGTGATGAGGGAAGCAGAGATTGGGTAATGTGTCTTGAAGATGGAAGAAGGGGTCAAAACTCAAAGAATGCAAGAGGCCACTACAAGCTGAAAAAAGGCAGAGAAAAGATTCTCCTCTCAGAGCTTCCAGAGAGAGCTAGCCCTGCTGACACCTTAACTTCAGTCTAATAAGACTGATTTTGAAGTTCTTAAAATTCCTCCAGAGTTGTAAGGATTAAATGTGTTTGTTTCTTTATTTATACTTATACATATTAATGGGGTACATGTGATATTTTGTTATATTCACAAAATGTGTAATAATCAAGTTAGGGTATTTAGGGTATCTATAACCTTATTTATCATTTTATGTTTATGTGCTGGGAACATTTCAAATCCTGTCTTTGAGCTATTTTGAAATATACAATATATTTTTGTTAACTATAGTCACCCTATTCTGCTGTGGAGAATTAAAACTTATTCCTTCTAACTATATGTTTGTATCTATTAACCAACTTCTCTTCATTCCCCACTGCAATCCTTCCCAGCATCTGAGAACTATAGTTCTGCTTTCTACTTCCATGAAATCGACTTTTAGCTCCCGTATATGAATGAAAACAAGCAATATTTGTCTTTCTGTGTCTGGCTTATTTCAATTAACATAATGTCCTCAAGTCCCATCATGTTGCTGCAAATGACATGATTTCATCTTTTAGTACTGCATAGTATTTCATTGTATATATATCATATTTTCTTTATCTATTTGTCTGTTGATGGACACTTAGGTTGATTCTATATCTTTGCTATTGTGAATAGTGCCACAATAAATGTGGAGGTGCCCGTATCCTTTTGATATACTGACCTTCTCTCCTTTGGATATATCCCCAGTAGTGGAATTGTTGAATCATATAGTAGTTCTATTTTTAGTTTTTTGAGAAATCTCGATACTGTTTTCCCTATTGGCATTAATGACTTCTATTCCTACCAATAGTGAATGAGTTCCCTTTCCTCTGCAGCCTTGCCAGCATTTGTGATTTATTGTCCTTTTAATAAGATTCATTCTAACTGGAGTAAGATGATATCTCATTGTGGTTTTGATTTGCATTTCCCTCAAGGTTAGTGATGTTGAACATTTTTTCATATGCCTGTTGGCCATTTGTATGTCTTCTTTTGAGAATTGTCTATTCATGCCCTTTGCTCACTCTTTAACGGGATTTTAAAAAAACGGTTGTTTGAGTTCTTTGTATATTCTGGATGTTAGACTTGCCTGATGGATAATTTGGAAATGTTTTCTCCCATTCAACAGGTTGTCTCTTTACTCTGTTAATTGTTTCCTTTGCTGTACAGAAGCATTTTGGTTTTATATAGTCCCACTTGCCTATTTTTTATTTTATTGTCTGTGCTTTTGATGTCTTAGTCATAAAATCTTTGCCTTGACGATTGTCCTGAAATGTTTCCCTTGTGGTTTCTTCTAATAGTTTTATGGTATTAGGTCTTATATTCAAGTCTTTAATTCATCTTGAGTTGATTTTTGTATATGGTGAGAGACAGAAATCCCGTTTTCATTCTTCTGCATAGGTAATCCAATTTTTTTTAGCACCTTTTATTGAAGAAGGTATTCTTTCCCCAGTATAAGTTCTTGGTGTCTTTGACAAATATCAATTGACTGTAAATATGTGGATTTATTGCTGGATTCTATATTCTGTTCCATTGGTTTATGTTTCTGTTTTTCTGCCAATACCATGCTGTTTTGGTTACGATAGCCTTATAATATATTTTGAAGTCAGGCAGTATGATGCTTCCAACTTTATTCTTTTTACTCAGAATTTCATTGGCTATTTGGTCTCTTTTTTTGGTTCCATACAAATTTTAGGATTGTTTTTTCCATTTCTGTTCAAAAGTGACATTGGTATTTTGATAAGGATTGCATTCAACCGGTAGATTGCTTTGGGTGGTGTGGTCATTTTAACAATATTGATTCTTCTGATTCATGAGCATGGGATATCTTTCCCTTTGTGTGTGTTCTCTTCAATTTATTTTACCCATGTTTAGTCTTTTTTTTTTTTCTGTAGAGGCCTTTCATCTCCTTAAACGAAATTTAAATTTATTCCTAGTTGTTTTCTGGCAGCTATTATGAATTGGGATTGCCTTCTTGATTTCTTTCTCAGTTAGCTCATTATTACAGTACAGAAATGCTACTGATTTTTGTTTGTTGATTTTTGCATTCTGCAACTTTACTGAATTTAGTTATTAGATCTAAGAGATTTTTGCTGGAGGGTTTTCAAGATGTAAAATTGTGTCATCTTCAAAGAGGAGTGATATGACTTCCTCTTTCCCAAGGTGAATGGCTTTCATTTTCTTCTCCTGTTTGATTGCTCTGGTTAGAACTTCCAGTACTATGTCGAATAGGAGAGGTGAAAGTGGACATTCTTGTCTTGTTCCAGTTCTTAAACGAAAGGCTTTCAACATTTCCTCATTCAGTATGATGTTTGCTGTGGGTTTGGCATATATGGCCGTTACTATGTTGAGGTATATTCCTTTTATGCTTAGTTTGTTGAGAGCTTTTATCAGGAAGTTATGTAGAATGTTGTCAAATGCTTTTTCTGCATCTGTTGAGATGACAATATGGTTTTTGTCTTTTATTCTTTGGATGTGATGTATCACAATAATCACATTATTGACTTTAGTATGTTGAACCATTCTTGCATCCCTGGAATAAATCTCACTTGATCATGGTGTACTATCTTTTACATGTGGGGTTGAATTCTGTTTGCTAGTATTTTGTTGAAGATTTTTGCATATATATTCATCAGGGATATTGACCTATATCTTTATTTTTTGTTGTTGTTGCATTCTTGTCTGGTTTTGAAATCTGGGTAATGCTGGCTTTGTAGAATGAGTTAGGAAGAATCCTCTCCTCTTCAATTGTTTTGAATAGTTTGAGGAGAATTAATGTTCTTTAATTGTTTGGTAAAATTTGGCAGTGGCGGTGGCAGTGATGCCATAAGATCCTGGATTTTTCTTTGTTGGGAGACTTCTAAATTACTGATTCAATTTCATTAGTAGTTATTGTAGTTATTGGTCTGTTCAGGTTTTCTGTTCCTTCCTGACTTGATCATAGTATGTTGTATGTGTGCAGGAATTTATCAATTTCCTGTAGGTTTTCTAATTTGTTAATGGTTACTTATAATAGTCTCTGATTATCTTTGTATTTCTGTGGTATCAATTGTAATGACTCCTTTTTTATTTCTGATTTGGCTTATCTGGGTGTTATTTCTTTTCTTCTTGGTAATCTAGCCAGTGATTTATAGATTTTGCTTATTGTTTCATAAAATCAACTTTTCATTTCATTGTTGCTTTGTATTTTTATTTTTAGTCTCTATTTCATTTAGTTCTGCTCTGATCATTATTATTTCTTTCCTCCTAATAATTTGAGTTTTGTTTTTTCTTGCTTTTCTACTTCAATGATAGATTGTTTATTTGAAGTCTTTCAGTTTTCTTGATGTAGACATTTATTGCTATTAATTTCACTCTTAGCAGTGCTTTTGCTGTATCCCATAGGTTTTGGTATGTTGTGTTTCAAATTTCATTTGCCTCAAGAAATTTTTTTATTCTCTCTTTAATTTCTTTCTTGACCCAATGGTCACTAAGAAGCTTGTTGTTTAATTTCCATCTATTCATAGTTTCCCAAGTTTTTATTTTTATTTTCTAGTTTTATTCTAGTTTTCCTTATTTTTCTAGTTTTATTCCATTGTACTTGAGAAGATACTTGATATAATTTCAATTTTTAAAAATTGGTTGAGACCTGTTTTCTGTCCTGACATATGGTATATCCCAGAGAATATTTCATCTACTGATGAGAAAAATGTGTATTTTATAGCTGTTGGGTGTCATACACTGGCACTGGTGTTGGCAGGTCCAGGCAGGCTGATTCCTGGGCCTCTAGGTGGCTCGCATGTGTGTTGATAGTGGCAGTGGTAGACAGGGCAGGTGGATGGGTCCCCATGCTCTTGGGCAGTGGGCGTGACACACATAATGGCAGTAGCAGTGTCAGGACAACCGTCTGTCTTCCAAGCAGTGTGGACTGGTGTTGGGAGTGGCTATAATAAGCTCGGCAGGCCAGTCCCCAGGCCCACAGGTAGCATATGAGTGTCAGCTGTAGTGGTAGTGGCAGATTGTGTGGGCCCTTCCTCAGACCCCGAAAATGAGTGCTCAGGTGCCAACAGTGGTGGACAGGGCAGGACCATCCCCAGGTCCCTGAGTGGTGTGCTTGGGCACTGGGGTGGGTGAAGCTGGGCCAGGTGGCCCCATTCTCAGGGCCTCAGTTGGTGTGTGCAGGTGCTGACTGTGGTAGATAGGGGCACAGTTATCCCCAGGCCCTAGGGGAATACTCAGACTGAGGGCTTTGCAGCAGCTGCACTCTGGCCCTGATGATAGTGGGGGTGGGATTGCTTTCAGTGGCAGCAGCTGTAGGCAGGTGGCTGGGGAGTGTGTATGCTTTGGTTCCATGTGTCAGCTGCAGGTGGCATAGCCTGTCCTCAGGGCACTTGTAAATGCGTGCCAACCCCACTGCTGGGGACAGCAAAGTTACTGCCAATGGTTTGCACATTGGCCCTGGTCCCAGCAGCCAGGAGCAGCAGTGGCTGCAGGTGGCAGATATCCATGGGGCACCAGGAATGTGGAGATGAAGGGGCTATTGGACCCCAGGGCAGGATGCAGTCTGGTGGGGGCTGTGCTCTCAAAATGGTGCCGTGTTATAGCTGCTTAAGACTCAGGAGGTGTGTGGGACCCAGTGTGAGCTCCCTCTCTGGAACAGTGCTATTGCATGGTCTCTAGGCAGTTCCTTATGTTAGTCTCAGGGTCCATGAGGTTCAAAGAGCTTTCTTGTGGCTAGAATTGCAAGAGTCCATGGTGGGAATATGGACTGCTGCTAGGGGTCTCTCACCTCCCCTTTCCCCACACTGGGGAGCCTCGCCAGGCTCTCAGCTGTTCCTGGGAGAGTAGGCTGCCTCCTTCCCTTTCATTCCTTGCCTTAGGTGTTTCCTGCCACTTCTCTGTTGAATTCCAATGATCTCTCTTAGATGATCTATTCAAAGTGTGATTATCTACTTGCTATTTTGATTCTTTTTTGTGGGAGAGGTGAGTACCAGCTGCCTCTATTCAGCCATCTTGATGCCCTTCCTGTATTTCATTTTAAGCCACTAAATTTGTGGTTATTTGTTACAGCAGCAATAGAAAAGTAATGCAGTCTCCATTCTTATGCAGTAGACACAGGGTGGCCCAAGATCAAAGAGCCCTGAGGCTAACAAAAGCTTGGAGCAATATAGTGCATTGGCTACTCTGCTAAAACTGTTAGTTACTTCACCTCTCCCCCACCAACTTACTGTCTTTTTTTTTCTTCAATCCAAAAGACCATAATAAAATCTAATGTGTATGCTTTTTCTCACAGATTATTGTGTGGGAATTGTGCAAGCATAAGTTTTAAAACAGATTTTCTTTCAACTCTCATCATTAAACTTTCAGTGTTTAGCCTACCAGGCCGGCTTGCCATCCAAATTAATATAAGTGTAGGTAATGCCGATTCCAATGGCAAGCATTCAGTTCCCAAAGGCAGGGAACAGTTTTAGAGCAGCCATTCAGATTTATGTTTGAGTAATATTAATGTATCCTTACCATGTGCTGGGGACTGGGCATTACATGTTTGACATTTGAAATATCTCCTCAAGCAACAGTGGATTAAGTGAGAAGTTGCTGGACACACATGCAATGTGAAATAGCTGTTATCGTTAGAAGTTAATACTTACTTTATTCCTCTCAGCAACTAACCTAACACTGTAGGGCAGCTGCTGTCACTGAAAGTTATCAGCATGTGTCCATCCATATACCCATCCATCATTCCAATCTCAGCAGCTGTATTGTTTGTCATCTGCCTGCCTGCAATGGCCCTGACCTGCAGAAAGCAGACACTAGGAAAAAATTCAGACTTTATCTGTGGTTAAATTATGCTTTGGCAAGGTTTAATACTTTTTTTTCTTTACAGTGGACCTCTTCTGTTTTTATTTCTTCTTGGATGCAATATAACACACACACACACAGAGTAAACAATAATTTCACACAATAAGAATAGATAATCAACTTAAGCCCTCTCATGAATTAACCCATGTACTCCAAAGTGACAATTACCCTAGAAAAAAAGAACTGGCAAGTTAACTATTTTACTTTTCCTTCAAAGAGATTAAATATTAAAAAATTATTTTTTTATAAAAAGTTTGAGAAATTGGGAAACTGTCACTTCTTCTATTATTTATTTCTACTGAATAAAGTTAAATGAGATGTTTTCAAAGTTGTTTGAGTTTTACCATGCTTCCTATCAACTGATCTTTTTAAGCATGCATTTCCAGTACTTGGCATACTGAAAAATTGCTTGCATCACTTCTTAATCTAATAGTTAGACCTTATTTTACCCAAGCTTTCTTTCAGGCATAAAAGTAAATAAAAATATTTCTATTAGTGTAGTAGTTCTTTTCTCAATGCTATTTTCATTTTTTGTTGGCAATCCAAGTTAGTGATAATTCAATCTTCTATTATGATGATAGCCTCAATATTTGAGATGCCTATCAGAGTGAAATGAAAGCATTTCTGTAGAATTCAACAGAGCAGAGAAGAAAATAATCAAAATACTTTCACTCACTTATCAACAAACATTTATCGAGCAGTTTTAGTTGCCCTGATATCCTACTTTTTTGTTAAGTTTCTCTCTTTTCTTTTCTCTGCAAAATTGTCGCTATGTTTTAGAAACTGAGAAATCAAAGATGCATAAAATACAGCTTTATTCTTATGGACTTAAAACTTAAACAATAACAATGTAGTGCAACTAGTTCTGTTATGGAAAGGTGTAAGAGGTGCAATTGGGGTGTCAGGAGGGAGAGCCCATCTGTGCATAGGAGCATTAGGGTAGGCTTCACAGAGGATGTAACACAAACAGAAGGTTGAGTAGGAGTTCACCAAGTGAAGACAGCTGGGGGTAGTAACAAATTACCACAAATGTAGAAGGCTAAACAACAAATACCTATATTTTATAGTTTCTGTGGGTCAAGAGTCTGGGCATGGGTTACCTGGATTCTCTGCTCAAGGTCACACAAGGATATATTTAACATGTTAAGTGGGCTACATTCTCATCTGGAAGTTTGACTGTGGAAGAACTTATTTGTAAGCTCATTTCAGTTGTTGGCAGCTTTTGTTTCCTTGTGGTTGTATGTCTGAGGCCCTCAGATTTTTTCTGGCTATTAGATGGAGTCAATTTTCAGGTCCTAGAGGCCAGCCACAGTCCCTAGAGGCTGCCCAGTTTCTTGCCATGTGGTCTTTCCCTACATGGTCTCTTACTTTATCAAGCCAGCAAGGAGAATCTCTAACCTGCCAAGACAGAGTTTTATATAAGGTAACAAAATCATGTAAGTGACACCTCATCACCATTAACATATCTTATTGGTTAGAAGCAATCACAGGTCTCACCTGTACCCATGGGGAGGGGACTACACAAAGGTATGAATACCAGAATAAAGGACTGACTGAAGGTCCCATTAGGTCTGTTCACTACATAGGATGATATGAGGAAAGAGAGGAACAGATAAGTAAGAGAGTATGTAGGGAATGAACAATGTTCTATATAGCTGTAATGGATGGTGGAATTAAGGGAAAATAATTCAAGACTGGGTAGATAATAATTGTTGCTAACATTCATATAATGCTTACTCCATGCCAGAGTACTTCATATATGTCCAATCATTTAATTCTTACAAATGCCTTATGAGGTAGATATTATCCCCATTAATAGATGAGGAAAAAGAGCCCAGCAAAGTTAGGTAACTTGATGAAAATTCTAGAGCTTATCAATGGTAGAGCTGGATTCAAATTGTCTGGCTTTTGAGTCTATCCTTAACCATTATACATACTGCCTGTAAGCAAGTTGAGGTCTGCAAGGAACAGATCATAAAGGATCTTGCTAAGGAATTTGTAGTTGTTCCAGGAGGCAGTGAGAAAACACTGGAGTGGTTGGAATCAGAGGTGTGGGTGCTCAGACATACTGCCAGCATCATGGAGGATACATTGGGACCAAGGACACTGATGCAGATGACAGAAGATGAGTTACCGGATGAATCCAGGGGCCGTGGGATCGGGGAGAAAGGAACAGACAGGAAAGTGTACATGATCTGACCCAGTGACCGACTGTGAGGGCTGGGAGTACAGCGGTAGAATTCAGGAAAAGGGATGTATCTAAGATAACTTCCAGGTTTCTGGTCTAGGTGACTTGATGTGTAGTGGATCTTGATACTCATTCATCAAGCTCCAAGGTACTGGATGGAAGGGACTATATTCTTTTTCATTGCTTCATCCTTTGGTCTGGACACAGTGCTTTGACCATATTATAAAAGCAAACATTTGTACTTTTGCTTACTATGTGTCAAGTACTGTTCTAAGAACTTCACTTGTATTAACTTGTTTCATCCTCACAACACCTCTATGATATAGGAACTATTATTATCTATATTTTACAAAAGAGGAAACTGAGGTACAGGATGGTTAAGCAACTTGCCCAAGCTCACACAGTTATTATCAGAGCCAGAGTCTGAACTCAGGCAGGCTGTCTCCAGAGTTCATGTGCTTAACTACCACACTACACATCAAACAAAACTAGGTACTCAATAATATTTTAAAATGCTGTTGTGTGACTTTACTATGATAGGGCAACTATTTAAAATAAGATGTGATAAATTTAGTAACAGCCTTAATCACTTTTATATAAATCTTCATTATCATGCTTGAGAAACTGTATTCTAAGGAAGTGTTGAAACGTCTTTCATTCCCGCTACCCTTGAGCCACTCAAGCAGACAGACTCAGTTCTATTAGACACTAGTGCAGTGCACTCATGATCATTTTTGGAATGAATAACTTTTTCATATATTATATGTAAAATTTATAATTTTCAAACCACCTGTACTACATTATCTCTTTTAACAGATAGAGGTGGTAGGTTATTTTACTCCCGTTTTATAGCTACAGACATTGAGGCAAAGGAGAGTGACCAAATTGAATCTAAAAATTCAGTGGAGAGTACTTATCAATCATTTTTCCTCATTACGGTAACTTCAAATATGTTTTGACTGTTTCTTTCTTTGGCTGGCATAATGGGGACCAGTGAGAATGTCAAGTTCTAGGCTGAAATATTCAATATAATGGCAGTAATCTTTGCAATCTTTTTCTTTGTAATCACATCAGGGAAACAACAAAGTGAGAACATGGGGTATGGTAAAAACTAAAAAGATACAGGAAAGTATAATAACTGACATTGTGATTAATTAATTAATTAAATGGCCATGCAGTTTAAAAAGAGGGCCTATTTATTGAATAAATAATTTAAAAATAAAAAGCCAGGGAAACACACTTTGACAGCTATATTGCCCTCAGCCATTCCCATGTGAGCGCTGCCCACTTCTGTCACACTGACCTCTCTTCCACTCACCAATTCAAAGTAAATTTAGGAAAATAACCCTCATCAGCAGTGTGGCTTTCAAACCACTCCACTGGTAAGAATATAATGGTCTTTGTTTTTCCATTCAAAATTCACCCCTATTCTTCCCTTATCTATATCAATTGTCTCCTTTTCATTAGATTATTTGAAGCTTATCATTTTTCCAGTTTTTTCTACAAGAGATAACATACCTTAAGATTTGAGATAACTTATTTATCTTTTTTCTCATTTCTTGTTTGCTTGCCCTGTCTCCTCCATGACCTCCTACTTTCCATCCCTGTAGACTGACGTGACATTCTCCTGCTTTAAAAATCAGCTCATGAGTCCTTTTAGAGTCCACTGACTTCTAAGATGACCCCTAATGGTCCCTGCTCCTAGTATTCATGCCCTTTGGTAATCCCCTCACCTTGAGAGTAGGCTAAACCTAGTGATTTTTCAAGCACTGGCAAAAGTGATGGGATGTCATGTCCATGGTAAGGTTACAAACAATTGTGTTCATTTCATGAGCAGTTTCCCTTTTCTGCCTTCTAGGTTTGCATGCTTTGATGAAGCAAGCTGCCATGCTGGATAGGTTCACATGGCAAGGAACAAAGGGCAGCCTTCAGCCAACAGGGAGGAATTACAACTCTCAGTCCAGTAGCACAACAAAAAATGTATTCTGCCAATTACCATGAGAGCTTGAAAGTGGATATGTCCCCAGTGGAGCTTTCAGATGAGACTGCATACTTATGCTCACATCTTGGTTGCAGCCTTACAAGAAACTGTGAAACAGAGGACTGAGCTAACCTGTGCCCAGATTCCTGACACACAGAAACAATGTGATAATATACGTGTGCTGTTTTAAGCTACTAAGTTTTGGACCAATTTGTTATACAGCAATAGATACACACCTCCCTTCCAAGCAGATTCTCCACATCCTAGGTACCTCTCCTCTCTGCAGCCATCTGCATAGCTCTATTCTAGTACTTAGAACACAGTATTCTAATTATGTTTATCTTTGTTTCTTGTTTCTTAATATCCTTGAGGGAAGTGACCTGATTATCTCCTAGCACAGCACAGCTCAATAATGACTGTGGGTTAAGTAACAAACACATGTTCAATATCCTCTCTGCTCCACTGCTCTTCCGCCAGTCACCTGCAATTGGTGCTATTAAGACAGGAGAAGTTGGTTCAGCTCCAACCATCACAGGTAACTTTTTTTTTTTTTTTTGGAGACGGAGTCTTGCTCTGTTGCCCAGGCTGGAATGCAGTGGCACGATCTCAGCTCACTGCAAGCTCTGCCTCCCGGGTTCACGTCATTCTCCTGCCTCAGCCTCCCAAGTAGCTGGGACTACAGGCGTCCACCACCACGCCCGGCTAATTTTTTGTATTTTTAGTAGAGATGAGGGTTCATTGTGTTAGCCAGGATGGTCTCGACCTCCTGACCTCGTAATCCGCCCGCCGCGGCCTCCCAAAGTGTTGGGATTACAGGTGTGAGCCACTGCGCCCAGCTCATCTCAGGTAACTGTTCTAATTCTTCCCATGGCCCTGCTTTGTTCACCTCTGAAATATATATATATTATATATATAATTTATATAATATATATATTTATATATATATTATAAAAAATATATAATTTATATAATATATATACAATATATATATTATATATTATTATATATAAAATATATATTATATAATATATAATATATATTATATATAATATATTATATAAATAATATATTATATATAATATATTATATAAATAATATATTATTTATATAATATATATAAATAATATATTATTTATATAATATATATAAATAATAATATATATATTATATATATAATATATATAAATATTATAATATATATTATATGTTATATAATATATATAATATATTATATATATTATATATAATATATATAATATATAATATATTATATTATATATATAATATATATAATATATTATATATATTATATATATAATATATATAATAATATATATATAATATATATAATATATATAATATATAATGTATCTTATATATAATATATATATTATATAATGTATCTTATATATAATATATATATTATATAATGTATCTTATATATAATATATATATTATATAATGTATATTATATATATATTATATATATAATGTATATTATATATATTATATAATATATATTATAATATATATAATATATATATAAATATATATAATAATATATATATGCCAAAACTGGAAGAGCAGATTTCAGACACATTGTCATCTTTGATCTTCATAGTCAAAATTAAGAACCAGATATCAGGATTCAATGTACAAATGAGGAAATTAGTGTCTTACCCAGTGTTGTTTAGCTGATAAGCAGCACAGCCAATGTTAGTATCTAAATATGTCTGACTTCTAATTCCATAAAGATCCCTAATCATAACTATGCCATGCCACATGATCATGGACAATGTTTCCTATACACTTAAACTGCCAAAATGAGAATAACAACAAAGATAATACTTATCAGAAACATTTATTGAGTTCTTATTGTATGACAGGTGTTGTTCTTAGCCCTTTAAATGTTATTTACTCGTGATATTTTTACAAAAACTACAAGAGGCAAATGCTATTATTTCCATTTTACAGATAAGAAAACGGAGACAAAAAAGGTTAAATAACTTACCCAAAGTCAGGCACCTGAAAAGTGACAGAGTGAAGATTCAATGTAGGTGGTCTCAGATTGTAAATAAGCTTGGTTTTAGGGGACATGATTCATCTCAGTCATTTTTTATTTGCTCTTATAGGAGAGTAGGGTTACAGTCCACTGCTCTTGTGTATTTGAATCTTGGGTTTCATAAATAAAATTAATTTCGAGATCCATTTCTTTGTTAATGAGCATCAGTTTTTCTCTGGAGACAGAGCCCCCCTCCTGTTATGGATCCCCACTGCAATGTAGGAGCTCTAATTAAATCTATGCAAAATACATTAAAACAGGGAAATAAAGAGAATCTGGAATTCAGAAAGACATGACTCTAATAGTAACCTTGAACACAATGTGGCCAGATTTTATCCCTTCCTTTTAGCATCCTATGGCTGTGAGCAATGGGAAGGAGATGAAAAACATATATTAATTTTTGAAAAAGGAAAGCTTAATTGGAATATTTTCTCAAGCAGACACACAGAGCATTATGTTATCTGCCAATTCATTTGTGGAGAAAAATTTATAAATTTAATTTGATCTTTCTCGTCAGTTGTAATTGCCACGTAGAAAGTCAAATAGTTACGTCAGACTTACGAAAAAGAGCAGCTTTGTGCCCTGTCCCCCACCATGCATGCCCCCCAGAAGCTACTACTTTAAAATCTTTCAGCTGTTTCTCTTTATATTTACCTATATATTTCCAAATAGCTCGCTCATGCTTCAATCTCTTGATTATTTCAGTTTTAGACTTCGTTCTGTAGAAGGATTTGTTGCTAAAATTTTATATGTCAAGTTAACTTTTTTTTCCTGGCATTTCTTCAAGGATAGGAGAATAAGGAAAAGGGTTAATATTTCCTCCGCATGAAGAGTACATACGTATTTACACAAAGCACCTTTCAAGGGATGGTCTAGGGAAAGAGAACAGCTATATGAGATGTCAGAGCAGTAAACAGGTAGATGAGAAAACAGCCATCACCACTTTGGAGTAAAAATCACAAATCAAAGGAAGCTTGAGGTGCCATTTATAGTTTAATAAATTAGCAACAAGAAATTTTAATGAAACATGCAGTATTGGTGTGGTTGTCCTAGTTGAAACACTCATATGCTTCGAATGGAATACTTTTAAAAATCAGTATGAAAATATGTACCAAGTGCCATAAACATGGTCATACCCCTTGATCCAGTAGTCCACTCCTGGAAATGTATCTTAAGGAAATAGTACAACAGAAGCAAAAAACTGTACATGCCAACATGTTCATTGTACTATTAACCATGAGAGAGAAATAACAAAGATGAGAATGAGAGAGAAAGAGAAAGGTAGGGAGAGAGGGAAAATTTAAATACAGTGTTTAACATGGACCTATAGAGGGGTACAACACACACAGGGGCCTATCGGAGGGTGGAAGGTGGTAGGAGGGAGAGGATAAAAAAAAATAACTAACGGGTACTAGGCTTAACTCCTGGGTGATGAAATAATCTGCACAACAAACCCCCATGATACAAGTTTACCTACGTAACAAACCTGCACATGTACCCCTACACTTAAAATAAAAGTTAAAAAATAAAAAGTACAGTGTTTAATAAATTAATATAAATTATTAAATGGATTATTATCCAGCTAATAAAAGTGACAACCATGAAAGCTATATAAAAACATAAACATTTATGATGTTCTGTTAACTAAGCAAAGCTAAGCACAAAATAGCTTTTATTTTTGTGTTAATCATGAATAAAAGAGTGCATATACATGGAGGGTTGACTGCAATGCGATAGACATAGGTATTAGAAGCAGATGAACTGATTTAAGTCTTAGTCTTTCATTTATGAGCTGGATGTCCTTGAAACTATCAAAATACTATTTCTTTGAGCCTTATTTGTTGCATCTATAAAATTAGAAAGAAATATCAATCTTTTAGTGTTGATGTAAATATTAGAGAAATATGCAATTATTAAGTAATATAGTACCCAACATATTATAGTAAGGGCTCACTAGATAGTTACAAATATTACTCACATATAGACCAACATCAGAAGATAATATTTAGGAGGGTTGGGGAGCTTTGTTAGGGGGATGGAATTATGAATACTGTTTTTCTCCTTAAAATTTTGTATTTTTATATATAACATATAATTACATTGCATGTAACAAATTTTATATATAATTTATATGTAGTATAGCTATATATATATGTGTGTGTGTGTGTGTGTGTGTGTATTTTCAAGAAGGAAAACAACACCCATAGTTTTATCTCCCTAACATAGCTTCTTTACCCACATATATAATATACATTTTTACATATATGTATACACACACATATATATACACGTGTATGCGTGTATATATCTAAGTGCACACACACATGTATATATGCATATTTTAACTCAGTGAAACCATACAGGGAATCTTTGTCAGTAAGACCTGTGCCTCTGAAGGTGCCATAAAGAAACAAGCCTGGACTGAAGGCAAAGGTTTAGGAGCCTTGGTCTCCTACTCCTCTATTCTCTTTTTATTGTCCTTGGTTCTCCCAGCTCTTTGTTCTCCTGTGGACAATTGCTGCTGAAAGTGGTGTTTTCCTACTAAATGGCATTTTAACCCCAGTATTCCCACTTTATGCTGTTTCCTTAATGGACATTTGCATGGCAGATGGCTCAAATAGCCCAGCAAATATATATTGGGTCAATGTTAAGAAACTGCCAGATTGATGGCTTTGTTGGCTGCGTGCCTCCAAGCAGACACACGACTAGAAATTGCACAGAGGCTCAATTTTCCAGTCTAACTTGAGGGCTTTCCATCCCTCCCTTTCTATGGGTGATCAGTAAGACAGGTGAAGATGGAGCTAGTCTGATTCATTTCACTTTTAAATAGACATTGATGTGGGCAGATGGGTTGGCACACAGTGTGCTGATCTGGGAGCTAAACCTTTCTACTTCGAATCTTGCCTGCATCAGATTTGCTCAGGGATGGAAGCCGACATCTTAACCTGTTCATTTCCAGAGTGTTCCATAGGATAATACTAACCTTCCTCCAAGGAGTATCATGAAGGCCGATTTAGAAAGGTAGCACAATATTTCATTAAAGTGGTTAAAGAAGACTTCTTCACTTAATATTTCTTAGTCCCTAACTACTTTTTGGGAAGAATAAACCATTGACTTGACTTGCACCCCTTCTTTGTCCCTTAGGACTTTATCTCTGTAGCACAGTTATTTTTGTGTTTGTGATCTTCCCAAACAGACTGTAAGCTCTGTGGGCACAGGCAATACATCTCATAGGTGTTTGTCTTTCCGTGGCACTTAGCATGACATACAGCTTATGCTATTTATCAGTGCCTAGTAAATGTATGTAGAACAAGTACTGTTGGGCTGGTTCATACTGCTAGGACAACAGCTAGTTCTGCCCCTAGAGGAGTCCCTCCCCTGGCCCACTTGTGGCTATAGCACTGCTTTTGGGGAAAGAGTTCAAAGTTTTGTTAACTCAGTAGAAGGCTATGAACATGACATGACACATAGGTAAGATTCTACCTAAACCTCTCCCTGTTTTGTACTTTCTAGATCATATATCTCATACCTGTGACCCTAGGATTTCCTATTATAATGACAATGAGCTCACTTCCAGAGGCTGAATGAGTCTCTGTCAGGGGAAGGACTTCTTCCCTGTTCACCCGAGGGAAGATTATGGGGCAAGCATTTGCTTTCTTAGACCTGGAGGGTGGCCAAGAGGCAGCTGTTTGCAGAAGCAGGAGAGACAAGGTGGCAATGAAGCTTGGAAATGTAAGCCAAGAGGGACATGCTCTGTGAGTGTCTGATGTCCCTTGCAGTGTGGAATGGAGCTGGGGGTGAGAAGAGAGGGTGGGTGTGTAGCAGGCTGGGCGCTGATGCACCCTGTGCAGCCATGTTCAGAGACAGTACTGTGATGAGCCAAGGGCTTTAAATTTGAACCTGACCTTCAATTTTTCAGACCAAGGTAAGACTATACGACAGGTATATTTTTCAAAGTAAACATAACTTTTAAATATATGAACATATAGTTGGTGGTCTTCCATTTATATTCTCAACCCTGAGCCTTGCAAATTTTAAGAGCAGGCTGATGTCAATGAATTCAACTTGCGAATAGCATTGGGATTAAAAGGTGATATCAATCTATATTTTGTTAACTTATTTAGCCTTCTTATAGATATATACCTTTGAATGGAGTAACTGACTGGATAAAAAGGAGGAAAAACACTATATATACATGTTACCAGGGATATTTTCCTTATATAAATCAGAAACTACATTGAGTCAATCCTGATTCCTTCATATTAGGAAGTGTTAGCTAAGTTAGGAAAGAATCTGAATTATAAAGTAGTTTGGAAAACAGCACAATTTTGTTAAATGTAATCACCCAAACTGATGATCAACTAAATATTTCTAAGTTGAAGCCCTATGGGCCTCCTTTAGTAAAAAGATAATTAGCTCATTAATGGATCCGAATGAGATGATATGAAATGGCTCTTACAGTCCTTGAAAATAATATTTTCTAAAAGAGCCTAACATTTCATCTATATTCTTGTGTACAGCTAATTTGCTTAGGTCATTTCATCCCCTGATCTTTTGTTTTTTAATAGAAGGTGAACTTCAGCAGAGTTTAGGTAAGAATGAACATGGACTCCAAAATGATCAGGGCCCAGTTGGCAAGATTTGGTGGTATTAATTATAGCTTGTGAACACGACAGGTGATATGGTTTGGCTCTGTGTCCCCACTCAAATCTTACCTTGAATTATAATAATCCCCACATGTCAAGGGCAACACCAGGTGAAGAATGAATCATGGGGGCATGTTTCCCCCATGCTGTTCTCATGATAGTGAGTGAGTTTTCACATGATCTGCTAGTTTTATAAGGGTCTTCTTCCTTCACTTGGCACTCATTCTCTCTCTTGCCGCCCTGTGAAGAGGTGCCTTCTGCCATGACTGTAAATTTCCTGAAGCCTCCCAGCCATGCAGAACTGTGAGTCAATTAAACCTCTTTTCTCTATAAATTACCCAGTCTTGGGTATTTCTTTATAGCAGTGTGAGAACAGACGCATACAACAGGAGAGGTAAGATTCCAGGCCCAGTGTCAAGCTTCTAATCTTTCTTCTGGGGTAACTTTAGGAGATAACAATTACCAAGATAATGATTATTACAATTTATACAAACATTTTATTGTTCCTTTCCAAATGTTTTTTTTAAAAATCCCACTATAAGCAGGAAGAAATTAAATTCAGAGGGAAAACAAGAGCTTTATAGGCCATCTGCTCAGACTTTCAAATTTAAATTTTATCCATAAGAGCACATTAGCTGTTGGGAAATAATGTGATCACATTTTGTAGCTGTCTGAGCAATGAAGAAATTTCCCTCTTTGGGCTTTCTGTATGGAAGTGAAAGGAGCTGTTTTGTTGAAGAAAATGAAATGGCTTCGGTATGGGGGAAATTTGCTATTCACCATTTTATGTTTATGGAGTGCTGAACTTACACAGCTTTTTATAAAATATGAAATAAAGGCTTATGCTTCAGGAGTTCACAGGTGATGTTAGACAAACAGTATTTGTGGGCACCTCACAGAGAGAGAGCTGAGATGATGATGAGCTGGTGAGGAGGTGAGTCGTGGATGGATAGGGGTGATTTGCAGGGCCACAGGGGAGCCACAGAAGTGTGGCGGTGGGGAGGCTACCCCCCATACCTCTCCATCCTGAACCCAGGCCCCCAACTCAGAGCCTGGTCCTAGTGGCTTATACCTCTAGAAACCTGTCTATAGAGACAGAGAACAGTGGGTTAGAGTTGACAGAATGAGAGTCAAGGATCACACTGAGCCAAGGAGAACAGGTCACAGTAACACTGCTCACACTGACCACTGACCCCCATGAACCCACAGCTGGTGATGTTCCTAGGGATGCCTGGGACAGCACTTGATTAGGTCAGGCTGCTCCTGCTGGCTCCAACCTACCTGTCTGATGCTTGGCCACAGAAGGGAAGAAAGGTCATAGCGAACATCAAGGCAATTATGGATGCCGGTGCTTTGTTTCACTGCCTGCCTGCCTCCCTAGTCTGCCATTGCCAGAGAAACCTCCATCTTCATTTGGTCGAATAAAGCCTCACAAACAAACCAAGTCCCCTTTCCTCCCTTTGTTTTGCTGTGAAAAAATAGAAGAAACACAATGAGAACCAAACTGATGGAATGAAGTTTGACTCCAGCAGATAACACAGTCTTTACAGCCAACTGTAACAGCTGACACCTTAAAGTAACTGGTTTACAGGGAGATGTGAATCTATGGTTTTTAAATTTTATTTTATTTTATTTATTCATTTATTTTTGAGACTGACTCTTGCTCTGTCACCCAGGCTGGAGTGCAATGGCACAATCTCGGCTCACTGCAACCTCTGCCTCCCAGATTCAAGTGATTCTCCTGCCTCAGCCTCCCAAGTAGCTGGGATTACAGGCACCCGCCACCGCGACTGCCTAATTTTTGTATTTTTAGTAGAGACGGGGTTTCACTAAGTTGGCCAGGCTGGTCTCGAACCCCTGACCTTGTGATCCACCCGTCTCGGCCTTCCAAAGTGCTGGGATTACAGGCGTGAGCCACTGCGCCTGGCCTGTTGTTTATTTTTTAAAAGAGGAGTCCTAATTGAGGAAAACCAGTTAAAGGAGGAAGCTGTGAACTGAGGGTCATGAAAAACAAATTAAAATCATTTGACTTGGTGCTATTTTAGAAAAGCCTAGAAAAACTTAAATTAACCTGATGATAAATAAATGATGGGGAACACGGACGCCAACAGGAATGATAAACACTAGAAATCAAACTTCGTTTAGTCCTAAGGTCTTAGAGGCAAAATTGCACAGCAGTTAGGGGATAGGCTCGATAATCAGACCCCTGTATTTAAATCTTAGATCTAACATCTACTAGCTGTGTGACCTTGAATAAGTCAATTACTCTCTCTGTGCCTCCATTGCCTCATCTGTAAAATGGGGTTAATGATGGCACTTCTTGCAGTTTTGGGAGGACTCAGTAAGATAATACATAAGAGGTGCTTAGCAGTGTCTGAGACTTTGAAAATTCTCCATAAATATTAGCTATTTTTGTCCACTCATTTTAAAACTATGCTTCAACAGTCCTAGCTTCCATTCTGGAACAACTGTAAGTTTAGGGAAAGAATGAACAGGAGAAGCTTGGTCTCCATCTGCACCCACCATAACTGCTCAGCTTTTGAATATTTTGTTTTTAATTCCTATTTAAGATTTTATTTAAACAAAGTTCTTTAAGGTAAAAATCAACATCATCATCAACAACAACAAACCTGTTATAAAGCATCTGATTCAGTTTGTTTTTCCCAGCTAGGTCAGGAATCTTGTTCCTATTTGCTGGTCATCCTGCCTCTTCTTCAACCTCTTCAAATACTGGGCTCCCACCAATCCACGGTCCTTTCGCAAGCCAGGATTGTTCAGATTATTAGAAAGTTCTTTTCCATGTTGACTGAAAATCTGATTTTCATCCTCAGATCTTAGCTTTGCTGTCTAAATATGACTAAATCCTCTTCTGCAAAAGATCCCCTATTTAAATCTCAAATAAGCAATGATACTTAGCCTAAGTATGTCTCATGTATTTTGTCTGGTAATACTACTTAAGGTTTTTAAAAAATTTTTAACTAGAAATTTCTGTTAAACCATTGCTCATTCATCTTCTATACTGCACCTTAGAACCTAAGATAGGAATTTACATACTGGCAAAAAACCATCAGATTATTTGAAATCTTTGGGTCACAAGAAATAGGCATGGATTCTGGTCACCCTAAGAAGAAAAGGAGTTTCTTGGTAAGATATTAGGCTGCTCATAGAATTGAAGAAAAGGCTGGAGAACAAGGCTAAGTAGAAAACACAGGAATCAGGGTCGTTCTGGGATTCTGGCTATGTGATCCACTGAGGCCTTCCCATCTCAGGTTATTTCAGCTATCCCTCCTAAGATGTGGTTTCCATTTTCATTTTCCACTGTGGAGAGGGTTCAAGTTTACCAGTATCTCTCCAAGAGTGGGCCCTGGAAAGGGATAAAGCGATCAGACTTCCCCTACTGAGGTCAGTGGATCCTGGGATCTTTTTCTTTCCCCTAGTTACCATCCTTCCATTTATATATTACACAATTGATTTGCTTTCAGGTCAACCACGTCTCCAGGCCTACACTGAGCTTTCAACCAACTCAAAAGAACCTCAAGGGCCTTCCCTTGAGGGCTGCTAGATTCACTAAAGAAATAGGACACCCAGTTAAATTTAAATTCCAAATAACAATGATACTTAGCCTAAGTATGTCCCATGTATTTTGTCGCCACAGATTCTACTTAAGGTTTTCTTTTTTTATTTTTTAACTAGAATTTTCTGTTAAGCCATTGCTCATTCATCGTGTATACTGCATCTTAGAACCTAAGCTCAGAAACTTACATTTATCTAAATTAAATTTCATCCCATCAGTTTCAGCTTCTCCTTCCAACTTGTCTGAAATTTAAACTGTTGATTTTATGAAGTTGGTGTGTTTATTTTACTTCTTCACCCTGCATTAATAGTTTGATAGAATGACCAACTGGGGAAGCAGAGACATATGGAGGAAAAAGGTAAAGAGAAAGAACACAGAAAAGAGGACAGTGGTAGAGTGACAACCCATCAGAAGGAAGGACTCAGGAGAGAAAAAGGGGAAAGTTAGGGAAATTGGGGAAAGGGAAAGAAACAAATAGAAAATAGAAAAGCTATCAGTTAGAGTTTTTAATTTCAAGAAACTGACGCTGTTCAATTTAAGCCAAAAAGAAAAAAGTAATTATGTGAAGACGTGGGGGGCTCGCAGACTCAACGGGAGGCTTGGATAATGGGTAGGAACCAGGGACTGGGCATCAGGAACTGCAGCAAACGCTGTGAAGTAGGAACAGTCTGGACTCAAGGCCACCTGGGCTGCTTCTGGGCTAATGAGTGACAGCCACCTGGCCTTATCTACAATCTTGAGTCCTGGGTGAGCTCTGACACAGAGTATCCCACTGGCTAAGCTTAAGTCACGGTCAGTCCCATGGCAGTCCCTTCCCACAGAAGGTCCCATGGCCGTGTTGAGCTGAGGGAAACTGGTTGAGCCCTTTTGTTTCCATAGCGGAAAGCTCAACAAGCTTCTCAAAAAGGGATCAGGGTGCAATCAGGAAGGGGAGTCTATTGAGGAGAGCCAAAGATAAATCAGTGAGTGAGTAAATGAATAAAAAATAAATAAATACAGATGATCCCCAACTTACAATGGTTCAGCTTATGATTTTTTGACTTTACAATGGTGCAAAAGTGAAATGCATTCAGTAGAAACTGTGCTTTGAGTACTTGTACAACCATTCTGTTTTTCAGTTTGAGTATTCAGTGAATTACATGCGATATTCATCACTTTGTTATAAAATATGCCTTGTGTTAGATGATTTTGCCCAACTGTAGGCTAATATAAGTGTTCCGATCACATTTAAGGTAGGCCAGGGTAAGCTATGATGTTCAGTAGGTTAGTTGTATTATATTTTCAACTTATGATGTGTTTTGGGGGATATAACCTCATTGTAGGTTGAGGAGCATCTGTATTACTTAAGGAGATATTAAATACACAGTCACCTGCAAATGACTCACTATATTCAACCTCCAGTCCAGGCCTCTCTTCTATGCTCCTAATCAGTGTAGTCAATTTCCCACTCAGTATCTCTAATAGTATGAATCAAAGCAATGCCAACAAAATATATACACAGTCAAACTCATGCTCTGCCCTCACCCCACCCCAGCCTATGTCTTCTTCCTGGGTTGTTTATTTCTGCGAACACTGCACATTGCAAACCTAGTGTCTTTCTTGACATTTCCCACTCCTTTGTCCTTCATACACTGCCATCTCCTGCTGAATATACTCTTTATTATCACTGAATCTGTTTACTTCTTGCTACTTCCACCACCTCCATTACCCTAGTTCATGCCAGTCCTACCTTTCACCTTTACTACTACAATAACCTCATAACAGCTACTTATGAATCCTCCCTGGCCCCTAAAGATTCATCTATACCCTGAAGACACAGCAATATTTCTTAACTGCATACTTGAACATAACAGTAAGCCTCCTCTCTCCTCATCTCTCAGCTTGAAATAGTTCAATAGCTTGCCATTGCTCTTAGATAGAGACCCAGATCTTTAACCTAACCTACAAGGTTTCAAATGGCCTGGCCCCCAGATATTCCTCTCCAAACTTTGCACATGGGTTTGGAGAGAGGTTGTTGGTTGGTGGGGGTGAGGGGAGGGATGGTATCCAGTGTCAGTGTCCAGAGCAAGAGTATCTCTTGGGTAAGAGTCAACCCCTAGACTTAGAGTTAAGTGCAGCTTTTATTTTGCACCCATGGTGTTTATAGTCCTGACCCTTATGCATGCATTTACTTAAGCAGGAACAAGCATCTGGATGAGATGATGGCTCACATCTCTTTCCAGTACCGTTATGCTGTGATGCTGTAGCTGGCTACCTGGAAACATTCTGGCCACTAGAGGGCCTCATTCTGTATTTTCCCCCCTTGTAACAGTAGACAGGAACCACAAACTTTCGCCTGTCCCTGCTGCTTTTGGGTTGTGTGACCTGTGTGAGTACTTTGAATATTTTACTGAAACTGTTTTTAAAACATTTCTCTCATCATTGAGTAGTTTTACACTGAAAACAGTTAACAATAAAAAAATAAGAATCTCTTCTACAGTCTTTCCTAATTTATAGCTGAAGTGGGCAGCTCAGAGCTCTGGTGTCCTCAGCAATATCAGCCCTCTCCTGGCTTCTCTCTGCAGCTGGCAAAAGTAAAGTTAGGGTTGCAGATAACTTTGTGTTCCTGGAATGCCCCCATCTCTTTGGCAGCATTTTCGCCCAAAGCTCACGTTCTCGCCATCACAATCTGCCAAAGAGATTGTCAGAATCAACCCTATTATAATCTTTATCCAAAAGGAAATGACAGATACAGGTTTACCTAATATTGGCATTCCCTTTCACCTCAGAATGCCCTAGTTTGGATGATAATTTGTGTGGTTTGCATCAGGCATTATAAAACTCAAGACTCCCAGGCTACCCAGCCCCTGTCCCTTAAATTCTCACCCTCATATATCTCTGTGTCTGATTGCATCTCCCATTCTTTCTCAATATCCAAAATCTATTATTCATGCCATTTGAAGCTCATAATATCCCTGAAGTCCAAAATGTATATTCTGAATGCTCTCTTCAATCCTTCATCCTAAGTGAGATCTGACTCTCCTCTGAGGAATCACTTCTCGTCTGAGCCTGGGGGTGGTGCTGGTAGTATCCTTTTTGCTCCACATTGCTGCTTCCAGACCACCACTGGCCTTCCCTACACCTTAGAAACACCCTACTTTGACCCAACGCGTATCATCACACTATATCACCTGCTTCTTCCCCTAATTGCTGGGATCAATAGAATGCCCAAACACTCTCATTCATTCCTTGAAGATTTTAACTTATTACTTTTTATGGAAAAATACTTCTTCTGACAACATTTTTGGAGCTTTCAATATTTATATAGAAGATAATCCCCAAAGTTTGGCCTTTTAGCTCTTTCACTTCTTCTTCCCTACTGGTCTTGTCTTCTAACATACCTCAATCATCATGGCCATGCCCTGGTTTTTTCATTCCCAATCATGGCGTCTACTCCTTAATCTTTATTTCTGACATTCATTCTTGACTGCTGCCCACCATTGTTCTAGCTCTCTCCTGTTAGGATCCCAACTCCAACAATTCTTCAAGCCAACTAGGATCTATACTCAGTTGGTCTCATGATATTTTCAGTAATCCTCATACTCTTATATTCTAACTTTCCTCCTCACCATAGTCATTCAGTATAACCCTTCCTGAAATCCTCCAGTAGTTACACTCTTAGCTCCTAGCTTACAGTTCCCACTGCCATACTCAACTGAAGTACATCCACTTCTGGTCAAATCTTGTTGTCATCTGCTCCATGCCTGCACCTGCATAGGTGAACATCACTGGAAAAAATGCATCACAATGACATAAATTCATAAGCTTTGAGTAGGTCTGTTGTGCTGCCCATTGCCCTGACTACATTTCCCTAATCGATTTACTTTCATATCTTTCTAAAGCAGTGCTTCTCCCAAGGCTAATTTTGCTTCCCCAGAGGATATTTGACAAGGAATGGAACATTTTGGATTGTCACAACTGGAAAAGGGATGCTACTGGCATCTAGTGGGTAGAGACCAGGAATACTGCTAAACATCCTACAATGTGTAGGACACAGTACGTACTCATCCAGTTCAAAATATCAAGGGTGTCAAGATTGAGAAACCCTGTTCAAGAGATTTGCTACTCAAAATGTGGTCCATGGACCAATAGCATCTGCATTACCTGGAGCCTTATTGAAATGCAGAATCTCAGGCTCTGCCCTAGGCTTCCTAAATCAGAATCTGTATTTTAACAAGATCCCCAGGGGATTTATAAGCACATTACAGCTTGAAAAGGCCCTTTCACCCCATCTCTTATCCCTTATACTTAAAACACCCTTTCCCTCCCTTCACTCTCTCCTGAGGCTTGCTATGGCACTGAGAAAACAGAAGCATTCAGAAGATACCTTGCACATGCTTCCACCATCTAAGCTTCCCACCCAACCACATCTATATCCAGACACCCTGCCTTCCTTTTGGATATCATGGATGAATAGTCAATGCTCCCATCTAAGTCTGACTCTCTTCCTATGCACAAAATCACATTCTCTTTTGTTCACCAAACCTCATTGTTCCAGTCATAATCTGCCTCCTCTCAGCATCACTATTTTCTCATTTCTACTAGATAATTTCCATCAGCATACAAATTATCTGTTTTACCTCTTAAAAAAAAAGAAAAAACAAAATCCTCCCTTAAGCCTGTTTGCTCTCCAGCTATTACTATTTCTCTGTTCCCTTTTACACAACAGTTTCTTGAAAAAATTAATTACATTCACTTCTTCAGTTTCCATCTTTTGATTCCCTTCTGAACCCAATCCTACCAGACTTTGCTTTCACCACTCCACTATAACTACTCTTTTCAGAATCACTAATGACCACCATAGTTCCTAATCCAGTGGTTATTTTTCAGTTCTTGTCTTACTTGACCATGAGGATCATTTGACAAACACGAAGAAACATATTCTTCACGTAGGTTTCAGGATGCTACTCTCCTGCTTCTCCTCCTCTCTTACTAATTATCTCTTTTCAATCTCCTTTGCTAAGTCTCTCTTATTTCCCCAGCCTCATAACACTGGGGTGCTCTGTACCTCAGTCCTTGGATGTCTATTTCATATCTTTCACTTTTGCAGTCTATGGAACCTGCAGTCTCAGCATCAGATGGGAGCTTCTGGTAAACACAGGATCTCAGGCCCTATCCCAAACTTACTGAACCTGAGCATGACTTTTAATAAGATCACTGGGTGATCCACATGCACATTAACTGACTTATTCCCTAGAGAGCTTTGAAAAATCATGATATCTAGGCTCCATCTAAAACAATGAATTAAATCAGAATCCAGTACTAGTATGTTTAAAAACTCCCCAGGTGACTTCAATGCAAAACTGTGACAAATGGACTCTGGGCCCCCGCCAAGGTCTCCATCTCCTGGTATCCACATCCTTATAATATACCCTCTCCCTGATGGCAGAAGATACATGTGACTTACTTATATCCAATAGGATATGGCAAAGATAGTGAGATACCATTCCCATGATTAGATTGCATTATATGGTAAGGGTGACAGGATGTTACTCTTTCACTCTTGTGACTGCATTATGTTATATGTGACACTATCTTAGCAAACTAAAGCAAGAGGCTATCTTTGTTGGCTTGTTGAAGTAAGTGGTCATGTTAGGGAGTCCAATGAGGTGGGGTTGTTCTCTAGAAACTGTGGATGGTTTCTAGAAACTGTAAACAACCTTGAAGACCTAAGCAGCTTCCAGCTGACAGGCAGCAAAATGTCAGGGCCTTTGGCAGCCATGATTGAGCTTGAAAATAGGTTATTTCCCAATCAAGCCTCCAGATGAGAACACAGCCCAGCTGACACCTTGATTCTAGTTTTATGAGGTTCTGAGCAGAGAACCCAGCTAAGCTATCCCTGAACTTCCAACTCACAGAAACTATGAGTTAATAAATATGTGTTGTTTTAAGCCACCAAATTATTGGTAGTTGTTGCTGTGCAATAAAAAGCTAATATAGCACACAAGGTTGAGTACCAGTTCTCTGGTATATTTCATCCAGTCTCAAGACATTAAATATCAATTGTATTGGTGGTCTGTTGCTGGTAACAAACCATTCCCAGACTTAGTAGCATAAAATAACTATCATTTTATTTAGTTCACAATTCTGTGGGTTGCCATTTAGGCTGAGCTCAGCTGGGTGGTTTTCTGGTCTGTTCAAGCTCAGCTCTTCTCAGCTGGGCTTGCTCACATGTCTTGAGCCTCGGCTAGGATCACTAAGTGGCTGGAGCCCTCTCCATCTGATTTCTCATTCTCCAGCAGGCTAACCCAGACCTGTTTTCATGGTGTTGCAAGAATTTCCATCACAGGAATGGAAACAGCCAGGCCTCTTGAAGCTTTGTCTTGGAACTTGCATAAAACTTCTGTTCCATTCTATTGCATTCTATTGGTCAGAGCAAGTCACAAGTCTAGCTCAGATTCAAAGTGTATGGAAATTGACCTCATCTATTAATGGGACAAAATGCAGAGAACTTGTGGCCACATTTTGCAGTCCATCCCACTATTGTTCACTGTTCACTCCCAAATTTATTTTACTAGCCAGTCTTTCCCATGTATTACAGACTCCTTATATCTAACTGCTTATATAACATTGATTGTCCAAGAGTAACCTCAATCTTAATATGTTCAAAACTAAACTCCTGCTTCTTGATCACCCACCCTAGTATAGTACTGCCATTCTTGAGTACTCCTTTCAGAATCTGATTCTTCTTTTAATCTTCTCTATATCACTCTACATCCTATTCATCTAAGTCTTGTCAAATTAGCTTCAAATACATCCCATGTTCTAGACCTTTCAGTTCCATCACTGTTCACCTGTTTAGTGCCAACATCATTTCTCACCTGGCTTATTGCACTATCATCCTGCCTGTTTTCCTTGCTTCTTCCCTCTCTCATCAATAGTCTAACCTTAAGACAGCAGCCATAGGGATTTTTTTTTTATGTGAACGAGATTTTGTAACTCTTCTGTTCAAAACTCTCACAAGGCTTCTCAACTAAGTTGGAAGAAAAGTTCTCAAAGGAAAAGTGTAATGTCCTATAATTTTTTGAAGCTCTGGCCCTCTACTCCCTGACTAATTTCATCTCCTCCTATTTTTCCTTTGTGTACCTTGCTTCTCAATCACCAGCTTTCTTGCTGTGTCTACCGAACAGCAATATGGCTGTTGATTAAGAAGCAGGGTGTCTTGCTTCTGCCCCAGGAATCTTCCAGTCTGGTCTGCTCCTTTTCATGAAGTGTCTGTCCAATGCCATATTATCATTGAGGGCCCCCCTTTTTTTGTAGAGATGGAGTCTCACTATGTTGCCCAGGCTGGTCTTGAACTCCTGGGCTCAAGCTATCCTCCTAGCTTGAGGCTCTTTCTTATCACCTCTATAAAACAATAGCTATTCCTTCTCCCCCAACTTCAGCACTACCTCTTCCATTATCCTGTTTTGTTTTCCTTTAACATGTATTATCACAACATCTTAGGCTGATTACTCTTATAGTCCCTCTCCACCCTTGGATCCATTCTTAACCTTTTTTTAAATTTACAGAAGTTGACCTCTATAGATTCCATCACCCAGGCTGTCTTGCCCTTTGGCTTCTGGTTGGATTGGGCCAATGGGAGGCACTGGTGGGATAGTGAAGGGAGGAGGTTAGAGAGGTCTGGATATTTCCCCCTTGCTCCTATCTTGTATTGCTGTGCAGGTGGCGGTGGTTTTGCTCCTCTGCAGCCAAGCTCCTGTTGGATATCCCCTCTCTTATGTCTCTTGGTTTTTATTATGCCATTGTTTCCCACTCCCCTCTTCCCACCCCTTTAAGCCATTGTGGTCCTGGCTTCTTGCTGTTTCATGTCCCTGAGTGTTTTATCATCTTTTGTTGGTCCCTTATTTTTTGTACACCTTTGAACCATGAGATATCTTGCCAAATGTTTCAACTGTATGTAAATGTATATTCTATGTTTCTAAAACTTTTCACTAATTTACTCTAGCCTTTCCCCTAATTCAGTGGGGGATAACAGCCTTTCAGACTTTTCTGTACCTATTTTAATGACTTCAACTAAAGCTTATTGATTTTTAAGTCACTTATTAGTTAATTGGCACCTTTTTGGTCCCTAGCCAGTTCTAGAGGCTGGAAAGAAGGGGGCAAAATTTTTTGGAAGAGTCCTCCCTGGCTGGATGAGGAGCTCCTACTGACCACCTTAGCAGCAAAGAAGGGTTTCTGTTGCCTTATCCCCTATTTGCTGGTGAGACAGCCTCATGACAGATTTTACCTTTCAACCATGGATCCATTCCTGCTGTGCGGCTACGCCTCACTCTCACCAGCTGAAGGATCTGATCTGACTTTTTAATGGGGCAGAACTATGGTAGTAGTTAGGAGTTGGTGAGTGCCTGTCTCCGAGCCAGTGAAGCATAATGCAAAGATTCTACTTTGAGAGACAGGCACACTCTAGTGTAATCCCAGCTCCATGATCTACCACTAAGTGACCTAGGGCAAGAGACTGGGCCTGCAGAGCTTCAACTCTGTTTTCTGCAACATGGGGATAATACCACCTACTCTACAGCATTTCTGTAAGGAGTTCTCTGAGCTGCAGCCCAGTGTTTAACATGCACTGCCCACTGAAGGCCCAATGCTGTGCTAAACTCTTCCTTGGGATTCCTTCAGTTAACTCTCACAATGGCCCTAAGAAGTAAAATTACATTTAGAATCCTCATTTTATTAATAGGAAAACAGACATACTCACATACACTCAGAGTTTAAAGGATATGCTCAAGATCACATGGCCAGGTAGTAATCAGTTTCACACTCAGGCAGATGAACTGCAGGGCCTGTGGTCCTCATTGTTCTGCAACAGTGCTCATAGTGAGCATTTAATAGAAAGTCACTGGTGTTATTGATGTTGTTAATGATGTGACTCCATTCTAACATGGATGTATTCTCACAAGGCTCCATTCTCACCTGGCTCCATTCTCACAAGGCTCTATTCTCACCTGGCTCCATTCTCACAAGGATCCATTCTCACATGGCTCCATTCTCACAAGGATCCATTCTCACAGGGCTCTTTTCTCACCTGGCTCCATTCTCACCTGGCTCCATTCCCACAAAGCTCTATTCTCACAAGGCTCCATTCCTCACAAGGCTCTATTTTCACATGGCTCCATTCTCACAAGGCTCTATTCTCACATGGCTCCATTCTCACAAGGATCCATTCTCACATGGCTCTATTCTCACCTGGCTCCATTCTCACAAAGCTCTATTCTCACATGGCTCCATTCTCACCTGGCTTCATTCTCACAAATCTCTATTCTCACATGGCTCCATTCTCACCTGGCTCCATTCTCACCTGGCTCCATTCTCACATGGCTCGATTCTCACAAGGATCCCTTCTCATGTGGCTCCATTCTCACATGGCTCCATTCTCACAAGGCTCCATTCTCACATGGTTCCCTTCTCACCTGGCTCAATTCTCACAAGGATACATTCTCACAAGGCTCTATTCTCTCATGGCTCCATTCTCACATGGCTCCAATCTCACCTGGCTCCATTCTCAGCTTCCCAGCTTTTGGTGTCTGTGGCTATTCAAGGCAAGCTCCTTCTTCTCATTCAGCAAGTATTTCTTGAAAACTGACTAGATGCTGTACAGTATTCTCACATAAGGGAAGTGAAGAAGACAGATGTGGTTCCTGAATTCCTGAAATAGTTTAGTGGAGAAGATGTCCACTGAACAAAAAGTGGTAAATGATGAATCCATTGCAAGTATGATAAAGGAGAAGTTGAGAGAGCTAGGAAAGCTCTACCCTTGTAGGGAGTCAGGGACCAGGAAGGCCTCTGGGGTCAGAATAATTATCTTCCCCTTCCTGGTAAGCTGCAAGAAGGGATGCCAGTATTTTTCTTAGGAGATTCAGAACAGGCTATCAGCGCTATTTTTATGTTAAATTTCTTATTCAAAAAACCCAGCACATGGGTTTTAGAAATCATGTGGCAGACTATTAGGAAAATGGAATTAATGAATTAGGTTGAAAATGAGAATATTATAAAGTTTCCTAGTAGTTTTCTCTATAGGTGTTTCCTTCTTCATTGGTGCCAATCCTATCCCCCCTTCATATGAAATTACATCCAATCTTCCCTGTATTTGCCCTGTCTGATAAGTTTGAGTATTGGTGAAAACAGTCCATGTTCATCCATAGACCTTTGCCTCCAGCTGTCCACAAATCCTGAATAGTTCCTTCAAAACAGAGGGTTTATATCCTTGAGGGCTTTCATAGTTACCAACATGCAACTATACCAGCATATCTTCCTACATCTGTTTTAAAAATTTACATTTACTTAAGATGTTAAAATACTTGACCCACGAGGATCAGTTGCTTTTCCATGAAATGTTGTAGCTCTGCATATTATATTTCTACCTAAAAATAGAGGTTTGCAAAAAAAAAAAAAAAAAAAGAAGGGTTTGCAAAATATTTAGGACAAGAGACCATTGTACAAATCTAATTTATGACATATTATGTATATAATAATAAAGCAGTTTTCTAATTGGAAGCTGTTTCCCAAAATAAAAACATACCACAGTAGTTTATTCCCGTAGTCCTTTTATAAAAAGCCAATTCATCAGCATATCTGAAATCTATATACAAACTGGCAGAAAATCAAGATATTAATTTTATATGGAAGAGAAAAACCCCTAAAGATTTCCATTTAAATATCTACATCTTGTATTCATTTCAGGTTCTGATTTAAAATCAGGGGTTCAATATTTTAAGGCCAATTATAAGGCAGAATCCAGAGAATTAGATGAGACATTTTCTGACTCATATTATCTCCTTGACGAACCAAAGGCTTGCTTGCAGATTCATTTTCAGTCTGATTTCCCTGTTGGATACATCCTGGATGCCATGGTAAGAAGCCAGCAGGACAACCCCAGGGAAGAGGTTAGAAATGATGCTATCAGAGAGAGAAATGTCATAAGACAAGAATTGTAAATTGGAAACGATGAGAGAGAGAGTTCACATGCAAAGCAAGGGAACACAAAATAAGAAATAAGACATCGAGTATTGCCACCAATACAATTGTTGTGGTTCCTCTTCTTTAAACCTTCTTAAGCCTTGACTTGTAATTAATAAGAACTGCTATTTAAGAAATTTCAGAAGGACTTTTGTAAAGTATTGAAACATAAAAGAAAAATATTGGCTTTTCATCATCTCCAAAAAAAACACAACACAACATGATTTATGTACATACTTTGGAATCAAAACCCCTTTTAAGCCTCTTGGAGCTGGTCATAAATAGAATCCAAGCCTGATCTCTCCAAATAATAAAATAGTGAAAAAAAGATAATGCACCCTAACATTTAAGCACTTGGACCACATCATTAAGAATGGGTCAGGTAAGTGCTATTAAATGAGTCCTAAGAATGCAATTCACTGAAATTTGTAGAGGATGTTTTTCTATTTAGATGTGACTGCTGATCCATCAGTAATAAGGAAACTGGTTGTTTTCCCCAGAATAGTGATTGCATGCCCAGAGCTGGCCACTAAGCCTCCCTAACTCAGTCTCCCTTGGGACTGATGGTGCTGGTTATAGACTTTGCCTCTAAGGGGAATTCACAACCTCCTCTCTGTACTTCCCAAGTGGAGGAAACATGAATTATATATATATCAGTACTAGGATTCAATTGAGCAGGTTGCTTACTAGAAAATAGAGTTCTGATGGAGGTTTATATAGAGATAAATAGCAACCTAAGACTAAGGTTGCTTCTAAGGGGAAGGCATCCTTAGAGACAATCATTTTTTAGACAGAAAACAGAAAGGCTTATATATACAGCTGGCATTTACATGAATTCCTTTCACTGATGCCTGGGACTTTGGAAGACAAACTAAGAGATGGGAGGTAAGCAGCTGTCTGTGCAGATGTTGTCAACAAATAAAATTTACAATTCTGATCTAGTATGTAAAAGCCTGTAACCAGAGACTTTTACCTAGGGATTTGGAGAAGAAGGGCATCTAACTGACCTTTAAATGCTGATGTGTTCAAGGCTTATTCATGAGGTTCCTTCCCTATCTGTCTCTTCTTCATAAGTGAGCTCACCTAGTCCCAATCATTTAAGTGTATTCTAGGCTGAGATGTTTGTAAAGTGCTTAGAACCATGCCTAGTTCATTGTTAATGCCATAAAAGTGTCAGCCATCCTTAGTATGGCCAATTCCCAGTAACAATTTCCACTTGAATGTTTGATAGGTATTTCCAAATTAAGTCCAAAATGGAATTGAAGGTTTTACTGTTCCTCAAGCCAATCTCCCCTGTGTTGTTTTTCCATCCTTGTAATAGCAACTCAACCTACTGACTCAGGACAAAAGTTTAGGAATCATTGTTGATTCCCCTTTTTCTCTTATTCTTCATATCCAATTCATCAACACGGCATTCTGTTAAAACCTCTAAAATAGAAAACAAATCCATCCATGTCTCTCCATCTTCACTGCCTCTGTTCTTGAACAAGGCCCTACCATTTTTTTTTTGCCTGGAGAACTGCCATGGCCTTTTCTCTCCTTCCTTCCTTCCTTTTCTTTCTCTCTCTTTCTTTTTCTTTCTTTCTTTCTTTCTTTCTTTCTTTCTTTCTTTCCTTCCTTCCTTCCTTTTTTCCCTCTTTCTTTCTTTCTTTCTTTCTTTCTTTCTTTCTTTCCTTCCTTCCTTCCTTCCTTCCTTCCTTCCTTCCTTCCTTCCTTCCTTTCTTTCTTTCTTTCTTTCTTTCTTTCTTTCTTTCTTTCTTTCTTTCTTTCTTTCTTTCTTTCTTTCTTTCTCTCTCTCTCTCTCTCTTCTTCTTTTTTTTTTTTTTGAGACAGAGTCTTGCTCTATTGCCCAGGCTGGAGTGCAATGGTGTGATCTCAGTTCACTGCAACCTTTGCCTCCTGGATTCAAGCAATTTTCCTTCCTCAGCTTCCTGAGTAGCTGGGATTACAGGCATGCACCCCCACACCTGGATTTTTTTTTTGTGCTTTTAGTAGAGATGGTCACCATGTTGGCCGGCGTGGCCTCAAACTCCTGACTTCTAGCGATCCACCCACCTCAGCCTCCCAACTTTTCCTTGTTTCTTTTGCTTCCATTCTTCATTATGATCCATTCTCCACACAGTGATCAGAACTATCACTTTAAAATGTGAATAAGGGTCAGGCTTATGGCTCAAGAATGCCATACCAGGACATTTAGCACAAAATCTAATCTCCTTCCATGGAGTACAAAGCTCAAGCCTTTTACAATCTGACCTCCTCCAGCCTCACCCTATTCCTTGCTCACTACATTCCAAGTAAACTGGATTTCTCTTTGTTCTTTACATTTTTCCCTTGCATTGCCTTTCCTCCATCCCCCACCCCTGTTTCCCACTCACAATGAGTCCCTTCTCAAGATTAAGATTGCAGTTTAAGTGATTAAGGCTTTCCCTAACCCCTCACCTCACTCTAAATGATCCCCCACCTTCTCTTGCCCCAAGGCAGTTTTGTCACTCCCTCATCACCATTTGAAATCATCTTTGTTTGTGTATCTCCTTGCCTGTTAGGGTAAGCTCTATGAGTACAGGGGCCTTTTTTAGCTTAGGACAGTCCTGGAATAATAAAGTGGCTCATTAAATACAAATGATTACACACTTATCCAAAAGTCAGGTGACCTGATCACATAATCAATATATGAGGGGGAGGAGCAAGGAATAAAACCATGAATCTTGTTTACAGAGAGCAGCAGCATATATGACTTGAAAGAATATTACAAGAGGAGGAGCTTAGTGATTTACTTCGAAAAAATAGGGGCTGGAAACTGCACACAGCCTCGCTGTGTTGATATCTAAAGTGAAGCTCTTCAGTTGCCCATGAGATTCCATTACTGCACCAACTCAAGGACACCATTCTGGAAGTTTTGTTTTCTCTCCAAAATCGCACATTTTTCATGCTCTACAGGATCATTTTCATTATCATGCAAAGATACGATTTTTCTCTTCTTAAAAAGCTGAAAAACAAAGAAACAGCCTAACTTGCCCCATATCTCCCTATATTTCTCTGCTCCCTTTAAAACAAAGTTGACAGAAAGGGATGTCTATTCTTGCTGCTCCAATCCCTCTCTTTCAATTCTTTTTGGAATTCCTTTCAATCAAAATTTCACAACCATCACATCACCATAACAACTGTTGAGGGCCACATGAAACCTCTGGTTACTGAGTCTTTGGTCCTTGTTTGACTTTTCCTATGAGTTACTCTTGGTAACTCTCTGTCCTACTTCATATGCCTTTTTACTTGGCTCCTATTACTCCTTATTCTCCTGGTTACTTCTTTTTGTTACCTCCCTGACAACTTCTTCTCAGCCCTCTTTGCTGGTTTCCCCTTTCCCTTAAACTATAAGTGTTCAAGTCTCCCAGGACTCAGAGTTTGAGTCTCTTTTCATTCCTATTTTCATTCACTTCCTTGGTAATGAAACCACCTTTGCAAAGATGATGACAATAAGAGAAGTCTAGCATGGCTGACTCCATCTTGCTTCTAGCCTCACAGCCTGGGTGTCCTCATTCCTTCCTGGAAGTAGGCCAAACTAATCATGCAAGTAACTTAGTTTGTAGTTTACCCTGGAAGCAAGGTGATAAGAGTCCCTCCCTAAAACTAATCCCCTCCTTTCTCAGGGACTGAAACTGCCTTTGTTAAGCTAATGACAGACCATGAGACTTAAGATTATGGAAGGGGCATGAATTCTGCGAAGATGTAGGCATTGTTAAATGATAAGGAGCCATTGATCCCTAGCTTGCTTTTCTATCATTCCGTGCTGCTGGGGAGTCATGTGGCCAGAGGTCACAAGATTTGTGACTTCCCCAATTGCTTCTAAAGATAAATCCCTATTGTAGAACTTAAGATTAGTCTTTTCAAATGTTTTTCAGACTTTTGCATTCTGACAACTGATTGATTTCACCTAGACCCATGACTCATGATTTAATCAGTCCTGTGGCCCCCACCCAGAGGCTGACTTAGCACAGGACCACCATTTTCCACATCTCTTTGATTTCACTTCTAACCAGTCAACATCATCCATTCCCTAACCCCCTGCTTGCCACTTGCCAAATTATCCTTAAAAACCCTAGCCTCTGAGTTTGCAGGGAGGCCGATTTGGATAATAAACTGTTGTTCTTCTGCCTGGTTAGCCCTGTGATCATTAAACTCTTTCTCTACTTCAATACCACTGTCTTGGTGAATTGGTTTTATCTGTGCAGTGGGCAAGAAGAACGTGCTGGGTGATTAAAGTGACCTCATAGAGCATCATGGTTTTAGCTTCCATCTATATGTTTACAATGCCCAGATTTTTTATCTCCAGTCTGGACATTTCTCAAATCTTGCCTATTCATCATCTGCACTGGGATTCATAATAAACCTCTCAAAATTAAAATGTTCAAAACAAAACTTCTGTGTTTTTTGTTTTTTGTTTTTTTTCCAAATCTTCCCCTCTACTGCTGCCTTCAGCTGAAAAAATGGTGACTCTGTGATCTCTCCAGGGTGGGGTAGAGGGCAAAACTTGGAATCTGGGATCCATCCTGCACTCTTCTTTCTTTCAACTCCTTCATCCATCCTGTGAGCTCTACTTTTAAAATACACCTAGAATCTAAAAATGTCTCTTCACTGTTACCTTGGCTGATCTTTTGCCTGGATCACTTCAATATCATCCTTCTAATTGTTTTCCCTTTTTCCTTCCTGTCCTATTATAATTTATTTTTAGCATGGCACCCAGTGTGATCCTTTTAAAATCCAAGTTAGCTAAAGTCACCACTCTGCTCAAACTAGTGCTTGCCTTCTCTCTCAGAGTAAAAATGAAAGTCTCCACAATGAACACTAAAGGCTTTATTTCCCAATAAACTGTAAGGTTCCTGGGAGTTTTAATATAGTGCTTACAATGGCATCTAGCACATTGTAGGTGATCAATAAATATTTGCTAAATCAATAAATTAAAACATAGACTTCTCAAGAAGGGAGACAGAGTAACACTTTTTGTCAATAATATCTTAAATTTGCTCAGAAGCTCCCAGTGTGGGTAAAGTACATGTAGAACTTCCAACAGACCCTCTTCTATTTTGTCTTCTGCTCATCACCTTCTGTCCTCAACTCCTAGTCCTCTTCCCCTCATTCATTCCACTCTGGGAACACTGTCCTTCTTACTGTTTATTCAACATGTCAGGCACATTCCTGTCTTGGGAATTTAGTACTTATTGCTCCCTTTGCTTGGAACCTCCTTACCATAAATACCTGCATGGCTTGCTCCTTCACCTCCTTCAATCCTTTGTTCAAATGAATCAGCAAATTCCTTCATGACCTTTCTTTTTAAAATTTTAATCCACACTCACACCAGCCTCTTTTTCTTTCTTCCCTAAAATATTTACCTCCATACAACTTATCACTCTCTGGCACTCTATAATGCTACATTTTTATTTGATTAAATGTAAACTCCTTGAAGGATTTCTTCCTGTTTTCTGATGAATCTTCAACATTTCCATCAACACTTGGTACATAGGAGGCTCTCAGTACATATGTATTGAATGAATGAATGAGGTAAGAAATAAATAAACTCTGGTATAAAGGAACTGAAACCTCAGCCGGATACTGGACAAGAGTTTGAAAGGCAGACAACTGAGGTGCCACAAATGACACTTTTTTTTTTTTGCACTTGAATGCAGATTATTTCTCATGGTTGTTGATAATTTGTAAGTCAGCTCACCAAACTTTTATTGCATATTGTTGAGGAATCAAAGAGAAGAAAAGATGTTCTAGAACAGTATGGACATTTTAAAGAAGTCATTCTGATTTAAAAAGCAGGGTAAATTATAGATTCAGAAAACCTCAGATAGGTACACTTGCTCCTGAACACAATTTTAGAATTGATCATTACAGTCTGTCTCTGTCTACTAGAAAAAGTTTATCACCAATATCAAATATAAATATACTAGGTACAAGTTGTGTTGGACTAAATTAATTTCTTATTTGCCTTGTTGAAAACTAGAATGCCGGAGAAATGTGAGAGACAGAGTATATTTGCATTTTAGCAAGTCGCTGATGAAAAACCTCCCATTATTTTCCCATGGATAAAATGGCGGAAAAATAAGCTAGACTTGACATAATTAGATGGATTAATGACTTGTTTAACAATTAAGATGACAGCTATTATCCTAGGTAAAAATTCTCCTCAAAAAGTTTTAATGAGTTCTCCATGTTTTGGTGAACATTCTCCATTTTTCCCTTTTCAAAGTAGGGATCATTGGTATTCTGTGGACCTCCCGTTGGTCTTAATCAACAAATTGTTTACCAATGACTTTATAAATATTTAATTTTCAGACGACATTTGGTTGGGAAGAATAGCAAGTATATTGGATGACATAATCTGAATCCAGTACAAGCTAGATTGGTTTGGAAGACAAGTTGCCTTTAACAAGACTGAGTATGCAGGATCCTGCCAAGTTTAAACAGCTGCCTACACCCATGTCAGATGGCAAAGACATAGCTTAGTAGGAGCCCATGTGAAAAACATTAGAAGTTTCATTCAGGAAGGTGGAGGTAAAGTTGCTACAAAAAGTAGACCCCATAGATGGCAGATCAGACTACTGGGACGGTTGTATTCCATGTGCCATTTCTTGGCCACCCACTAGGATATTATCTTTGCTTGCTTGGAAAAATGACTCAATTTCATGTCAGTGTCCTAGGGTGTAGGAAGAAGAATGTACAAAAACAAAGGAGAATCTTTTTTCCTTTTAAAAATTATCTTAAATTTTACTATATAGTAAAATTCACTTTTTGGAGTGTACAGTTCTATGAGCTTTCAACACATGCATAACTTTTAGTAATGACCGCTCTTGGTCCATCTGGCCAGAGAACACAGGCTTCTCTTGGAGCTTCCTCTTTGCAGTTCCATTTTTGAGCTGCCCTAGAACCTAAGCCAACACAGAACAGAGTTACCAACAAGTCAACAACAACAATAACAATATTGCTGGGTTGCTTTTAAGTCCTGAGCTTCCTATCCAGTCCTTCTGTTCTTACGCACTTTTCAGAGTTCTCTGATAGTTGTTTTATGCATTTTGTCCAGGCTTTTTAGTTGTAATAAGTGGGGGAATATGGGGTATGGGGTATGCTTACTGCATCTTAAGTAGAATCAAACCTCATGATTTCCTCTTAAATGCATGGAGTGACACTCTTCAATTCAACTCACTTCTACTGGTGAGAACTTATTAACAGGGTCACACTTAACAGCAAGGGAGGCTGGCAAATGCATCTTCCAGCTGCAGGTGATGGTACAAGCTAAAATTCTTTTACTAGGAATGAAGGAAGAACAGATTTTGGAGGACTCTGGCAGTCTGACACAGGGGTATAAGTGAAGAATACATTCAATTTGGCCTGAAATAATATGAAGGCTAATAATATCTTGTGCTACATGTTTATGAGTCTAAAACAGCAGAAAAGAATGAAGTCTTCCTCCCGCCATTTGATGGTGGACTCCAACATGATAGATGTTATAGATCAAAAAGTTAGGATCACACAAATCAATATATGTATAACTGCAAAAGAGATGACTACAAACAAGATCAGAATGCAGACAGTGGGAAGACAATTTCTTTGGCAAAAACTATAACCTTCATTTTCAGCCTACCAAGCAGAGCTTCCATAAAGCCATTTGGACAGCTTCAGTGTGCTCATTACAACTATGAGTCAGGAAAGTGGATGTCTGACTAATACCTGGGGCTGGAGGTGGCTGCATAAGACCGTTTGACACACCCAAAGTTTATTAAGACAACGGGGGGACATAGAGGAGAGAGAGTTGATGTGAGGTTATCTTGAATCTGTCTACCTAGAAGACAGAAAGGGTCTTAGCTCAGGAACATAGAGAATGCTGAATTCTAAGGGCTGTGGAAGGGTCTCAAGCAACAATAGTCAAGACAACAAACTGAAGTAGAGAGAGGTGGTAGGGTCAAAAGATTTTCAGAAAACAAGTCTCCACTGATGAAATTCTCAACAAAAGCATACAAATGTACCCACATAAGAAAAAAAAAAGCATTAAACATCTACCAAACACAGAGGGAGTAAAGTCAGGTTATGATTCAAGACTTTTTCTTTCCTCTTACTCACTCCAACTCTGAAAAGGTTAGAAATTAGCTAGCAAGCAAAGAAACGGATAAGAAGCCAACTACCATCAACACCACCACTACCACCACCTTCCACACACATGCAACATCTACCCTTTTCGTACTGTGGCCTTTAGCTTTGAGCTGAGGAAATGGAGAAGATATAATGTTATATCAAACTGACAGTTTTAACTAGTAACTTGGATGGAGCATTTTAATTGCTGAACTAAACTGTGTGACTAAAATTGATCTTAGGGATATCTATTATCTAAGAGCAAGAAAAGTATCATGGTTTTTAATTATATATAGAGAAAGTTTACCCTGTCTGATCACATTTTAAGGGGAATATAGGAGACAAAACAGTGTTGCATTTTAGTTGTGCCACAAATTGTACTTCATCAATGTACCAATGACAAGTATGCAGTATTTCAGGGGAAAAAGAGAAAATTTGCTCTCATTTCCTCATATAAAAATTTTAACAATTTATGGGCATTGTACATTAAGAGGAATACAGAAAGGATTCATTTTCATCAACAGGACCATAAGGAGATTCAGAAAAGTTATGTTACTGTTTTCCCAAGCTGAAGGACTGTCATGGGGTAGAAAGATTAACTTTGCTCAGTAGTCTCACAGATCAACTAGATGGGAACTTCAGAGTAACCTGTATTTAACATAAGGAAGACTTCTTTAGTTATCCTGGGTTCCCACATATAGAATGGGCTGCTTTGAAATGTGGTGAACTCTGCATCATTGGAGATGCTCAAGTTTCACTGGATGATGTGTTAAGGTTGTTTATAGACAAGATCTGAACACTAGGGGGAAGGTTGGAGTCGATAATCTTTAAGGTCCTTTCCAACTTTAAGATCATAGTGTTCTATAATCTCTTTGTCCAACTGTGCTTATACATTTTAGAAACTGTAATATTAAGTTTCAAACACTGTGAGTTAAATTTAAAAGTACATATAATCTCTTATGTAACAAGCATCTACTCTCTCTGATCATTTTTGTCTATTTGAGTCTCATAGGAAGCTGGCCAACTGGAAAGAAACTCTAGCAGGTTTTAAATAACATGAAACCATAACTAAAAAATCCCTTGAATAATGACAGTATGGCTATATCTAAATGATAATTAAATTTATGGTTTGTTTTGTACCACAAACAAGAAACTCCCCAGCTTCCCTCCACTTCCTTTGCTGCTCTCTCTGTCAGTCACCCTCTCCCAGTCATCCACTAGCTCTTTGCAACTCAACCCACAGAGAGAAAAATAAATCTTTGTTCAGTGTGTCCAGGCCATTGTCTAGGTACATCTCTCTGGAATATAGCAGAGAAAGCACAGCTGCTCCTGGCTAAAGATGCTGCATGGGGTTTCATGTGCTCGCTTGTTCTTTTTAAGAGTTGTTTATGCCAATGGCGCTTACATTTTTCTCAGATTCCACAATAGTGGGGAGCACACGGTGGGTGCTCAATGAATAGAGAAACAGTGATTGCCTCTTCTTTTCATCTCTCACTTTGGAGAGCTACTGAGAGAGAACCAGATTGGTTTCGCAAAGATCACACAGGTTTTAAGAGTGTGGGGCATCGCTTTCATCTTCAAATATTTACTGACCATGTGGATTATAAAGACAAACCACACAAGATCCCTGCCTTTACCATGTCAGTAATCTAGTTAGGGAGATAAATTATGGACAAATAGACATAATAAAAAAAAAGTATGAGTGTGACAAATATTGTGGGTGGAAGATTAGGACCTCAGCAGTAGAGGGACATTAAAGATTTGTGAGGTCATACTCTTCTTCTTTCTTTTTTTTTTTAAGATGGAGTTTCGCTTTTCTCGCTTAGGCTGGAGTGCAGTGGCGTGATTTCAGCTCACTGCAACCTCTGTCTTCTGAGTTCAAGTGATTCTCCTGCCTCAGCCTCCCGAGTGGCTGGGATTACAGATGTCTGCTACCACACTTGGCTAATTTTTTTTATTTTTATTTTTAGTGGAGATGAGGTTTTGCCATATTGGCCAGGCTGGTCTCGAACTCCTGACCTCAGGTGAGCCACCTACCTCAGCCTCCCAAAATACTCTTCTTTTTATAGTTAGGTAGACTGAGGTCTCTTCAAGTCTCCTGCCCTGTTGAGTACTTCCATCTCCCGATTACTTGATGTTCCATCCCTCCACGTGACTGACATTGTTGCTGACCTTCCCAGCAGCCATTGGTTTCTGCTTGCTGACATGATTTTGTTGTTTGTTTAGCAATGTACCCAGCCCAAGGGATGAGTCATAATTGGTTTAAGGCATGATTATCCCATTTCTCTTTGTCAATGATTGATATAGAGATGAGAGTGTACCAATGAGGTTTTCTTTTTTTTTTTTTTTTTAACTTTTAGGTTCAGGGGTACATGTGCAGGTTTGCTACAGGGGCAAATTGCATGTCACTGGGGTTTGCTGTACAGATTATTTCATCACCCAGGTAGTGAGCATAGTACCTGATAAATAGTTTTTTTCATCCTCACCCTCCTCCCACCATCTGACTCTTAAATAGGCCCCATTGTCTGTTGTTCCCCTTCTTTGTGTCCCTGTGCAGTTAAAGTTTAACTGCCACTTCTAAGTGAGAACATGCAGTATTTGTTTTTCTGTTTCTGCATTAGTTCACTTTGGATAATGGCCTCCAGCTCCATTAATGTTGCTGTGAAGGACATGATCTCATTCTTTTTTATGGCTGCATAGTATTCCATTTTTTATATGTATCACATTTTCTTTATCCATTGATATCCTAAATGCCACTGATGGGCATTTAGGTTGATTCTATGTCTTTGCTATTGTGACTAGTGCTGTGATAAACATATAAGTGCACGTGTTTATGGTAAAATGATTTCTATTCCTTTGGGTATATGCCCAGTAATGGGATTGCTGGGTCAAATGGTAATTCTGTTTTAAGTTCTTTGAGAAATCATCAAACTGCTTTCCACAATGGCTGAACTAATTTACATTCCCACCAGCAGTGTATAAGTGTTCCCTTTTCTCCACAACCTTCTGAGCATCTGTTATTTTTTGACTTTTTAATAATAGCCGTTTTGACTGGTGTGCGATGGTATCTCCCACAAAGATCTGAGGAAGTCAGCTTAAGGCTTCTGGGAAAGTTTTCATTCCTGATTTAAAAAGATAGGTAAATGAGAAAGCTTTATTGCTTTTTTTTTCACTTCATTTCAAAGGTAAATGCTGATGTCTGAGGATATGAAACTTGGAGCTGGGACAGATATATTTGTGCCATGAGGGGAGATATTGCTGACCATGGTAAATGACAGATTGGTAGAATCAGAGGAGTCCAGGACAAACCTCTGTCTAGATTTCTTGTTATGTAATGATAAATGTCCTTTTGGTTTAATTCTATTTTTGCTTTACTTTATTTGCAACCAGAAATATTGCTTACTTCTTTTTTTTTTTTTTAATCTTCTGTAACTCTTCCTCCTATTGCTGTCTTCCCTTCTTACTCACTTTACTGGAACTTCTGGAATGTGGCTTCCATTGTAAATAATTCGGATGCCATCACAAAAAAACCTCTCATCTCTTTGCCTAACCTACACCCTAGCTCTCCTCAGAGGGCACTGATTCTTTTGTAGCCCTTTCAGAGAATCATGTCATTCTCCACTCTCCAAATGTCACAGGGATCAGAAGTAAGGATGTCATTATCCTAGATGCCTATTGCCCGGTAGACCATTAATTCTCTACTATTATGAGAAAAAATCTCTCCTCCTTTGAGAAGGCAGGAGGAAACAGATTGTGATTATACCTGATTATGCCTAATAATAACTACCATCTGGCTAAGACGTCCTCTACTCCTGAATGTTGTTGCCACATTCCCCATCCTCCGGAGTAACTCCTTCACATCTCTTTTCTGAAGTCTCCAGCACCTGGTTTGCAGACTTCTTTTTTTTTTTTTCCAAATACTGCCATTACCATGGGTGACTTTGACATCAATATAGATGACCTTTCCAATATTTGGGTTCCAGGAGAAGTGTTCAGCCTTTCACTGAAATAGTCCTTTCATTATGTACAATACGAATACAGTAATTTAAAACATGTCAGCAAATTCTTGGACACCTCACCAATCAAGAGGACAGATTTATATCCTCCATCTTTGCACTGGACTGGCCTGAGTGACTCCCTATTAATCAACAAAATACAGTGGGAATGATGCTTCATGATATTTGGGGCTAGGTTAGAAAATCTGTGCAGCTTCTGCCTGGTTCTCTTTGGGGTGCTCATTTTAGGGGAGGTTAGTCTCCATGCATGAAGACCAATTACTCTCAGACAGCCATGTTGAGGAGGCCATGAGTGGGTGCCACAGTCAACAGTTCCAGCTAAGCCCCAGCTGACAGAGAGCATCGTCAGTGGACAGCCTTGTTAGGAAGCCATTCTGGACATTTAGTTGCACTTTCAGATAATTCCATCCCCCAGTCATTGAGTCACCCACAGCTTTTAAGTCTTTTCAGCTGAGGCCTTAAATATCATCGAGCAGAGAAAAACCATACCCACTGTGCTCTGTCTGGAATTCTGGCACAGAATTTGTGAATGTAATAAGATGGTTGTTTTAAGTCTTGAGATAACTTGTCATGCAGTGACAGCCATCAGAACCACTGCCACTGGGCCAGGCACAGTGGCTCATGCCTGTAATCCTACCACTTTGGGAGGCTGAGGGGGGAGGATCACATGAGGCCAGGAGTTCGAGACCAGCCTGGCCAACATGGAGAAACCCTGTCTCTACTGAAAATACAAAAATTAGCCAGGAGTGGTGGTGCACATCTGTAATCCCTGCTACTCAGGAGGCTGAGGCATGACAATTGCTTGAACCTGGGAAGCGGAGGTTGCAGTGAGCCAAGATCATGCCACTGTACTCCACCTTGGGTGAGAGAGCAGGACTCTGTCCAAAAAAAAAAAAAAAAAAAAAGGAATCATTAAACTTCTCAGGAGAGGACATTCCAAAGCAGGGAGGCAGGACAGAACAGAACAGAACAGATTGTGATTATATCTGATGATGTCTAATAAAAACAACCAGTTTTTGAATGCTACCATTGTGCTAGGCACTGTGGTTAGGTTAAGAATGTGGACTGATGTCAACAAACATGGGTTCAAATTTCTGTCCTGATACTTGTTGGGTGCCAACAGCACTCAATTATATACTGTATCTTATTTAATCTTCAAAACTATTCTATGTGATGGGTGATATTTTTTTCTCATTTTACAGATGAGAAAACTGAGGCTAAGAAATGTAAACAGGCTTTTTGCTCAGTGGAGTTATTTTGAGCAAAAAGCTTATTTACATTTCTGAGTCTCAGTTTCCCCAACAAGTAGCTGTTATTTTGATAACCCAGGAATACCATGGTGTGTATAAGGAAGAGGCGAGAAATGAAATCATAATGAAAGGAGGAAGTAAAGCTGTAGAACCTTAAATATTGAGCAAAGGAGTTTAAAATGTGGGGAAACTATAAGTTGTGTTTTAAAAAAATTTCAAATAAATAGGTTCTTGTTTATCGATTTAATCTTCTAATTATGTGTGAGAGTGGCATTAGCCTTCTAAAATTATGTTTCAGACACACTATGATATTTATTAACTTCATTTATAAATATTTAGTTTAGGAATATTTCCAGTATAAAGCAAAGTACAGAAAAAATAATATATTTGACACTGGGAACCATTCCCCCTTCCCCATGCTAATATTTATAACCACCTTGATGTTTTAGAAGATGAACTCGAGAGAGTGGTGCAGAATGAAATGTAGAATCCCAGAACAGGGAGGGCAGTTGGGGTATTTTAATCCTAGAATTACTGGGAGGTAATGTGGCTGTGATTTAAAGATGGGTGGGAGACTGGCTGCGAAGGTGTAGGTGTGACAGACCCCTTAAAGGAAAACTTGACAGGCTTTGATATTCCGAGAGATCTTGGGTCAAATTCCCTTTCCCAGCCCTCAACTTCATATCATTAATCATTTCTCCTTTTGCTTGGGAAAAAAATAAAATTGACAAAGTGTGACTACTAAGCAAGTTACACTAAGATGTGTGAGCAATTTTGTCAGAAATATAAATTCTGCATATTGCAGTAAAGGAAACATGGAATGTTTGCCAAGTTCTTGTGAGAAATCTGTCTAAAAATTGTGCCAGCTTGCTAAATATAGAGTTGCTACAGAGAACAGAGCCAACCTGCCTGTTAAACCCACCTCAAGTGAGATAATGGAATTATGTTATGCTGGATCTTACTCCATCAACTGCTTCTACCCCTAGTGAGTTGGGAGTGGGGTTAGGGCATCTTTCTTCCCTTGAACCATAGTTTCCCAGTGTCTGTAGCTGCCCCTTTCCACAAAAGGTGGCAGGAAGCATCTATAGGTCCTCACACATCTGAGAAAAGAAGAAATGTCATAGTCACATGGCTGAAACCAGGTCAGGCACTATCTGTATATTAATATTTTTCCAATTAAATAGTTAAGAAAGAGCAGTAGAGAAACTCTCTGAATGCTCTCATAGTGTTCCAAGATTTCTGTCTCATTGCTTCCTTTTAAAAAATAAAAATTGGGTCTGGCTCCAAGGAAAGAATCATGCCTAATATTAGAAAGCACTTAAAAATACTGGTGACTAACGGAATATAAAGGAGTTAAAATGGTTCAGGGTCTGAAGTCTATAACAGGAAGAAGCAACTGGGTAAAAGAGTCATGCGTAGTTTGGGATATCATGGAGATAAGCAAGCGAATCTCTGCTTGGGAAGGTGATTTGAGTCCTTGTGCAAGCCTGCATCTGGTTAGCACTAGATCTGAGAGAAGAACTGCTTGTGGAAGAAGGGGATGGAAAACCACTGAAGTGGATTAAATTGTGTCTCCCTCAAAGACTTGTTCAAGTGCTAACCATTGGTACCTGTGAAAGTGTCCTTATTTGGAAATACGATCTTTGCAGATGTAATTAAGGATCTTGAGATAAGATCATTGTGGATGTAGGTGGACCCTAAATCCAAGATTGGTGTCCCAGTAATAGAAAGGAGAGAGATATTTGAGACATAAAAACACAGAGACACAGAGAAGTAGGTGATGTGAAGACAGAGGCAGAGATCGGAGTGAAGTGTCTACAAGTCAGAGGACACTAAGATTTACTGGTAACTGTCAGAAGCTAGGAGCCAGGCATGAATAGCTTCTCCTTCAGAATCTCCAGAAGGAACCAACCCTGATGACTTGATTTTGGATTTCTGGCCTCTGCAAATATTAGAGGATGCACTTCTGTTGCTGTGTGCAACCCAGTTTGTGGTAATTTGTTAGGGCAGCCTCACTTTAAAGTAGTACAACCACCTACAAACACACACACACACACACACACACACACACACACACACACACACACACACACACACGAGACCCAGGACTAGGAGAGGGAATCTTGGTAGGTCTAGAATATGGTTGCATTAGCCACCACATATGGCTATACTAATTTAAACTAGTTATGGTTAAATAAAATAAAAAGTTCAATTCCTCAGTTGCGCTAGCCACAATAACAGTGCTGACAGCCACATGTGGGTCACAGTTACCACATGGGACAGCGCAGATAGAGAACATTCTTGTCACTGCAGAAAGTTCTCCTGGATTGTGCTGCTCTAGACAGTAATTGCTGTAAAACCCACAAATCAAGGTTCCATCTTTATGGGCAAGCAGCATGCATGGGGACCATTGGCTCAAATCTGTCTTTTCACTCACACCTGCACCAGAAGATAGCAGTTATCGCTGGTAGTCACTTTTGATTATGAAGGAACAACAGCAGCTAGATGTAAATATAGTGCAACCACCTGTCTCAGGTTTCCTCCCACATACCGTCTTCCAAAACAACAAACATATTAAATGGTGGTATTGATAGACAATTCTCTCCCATGCCAACATCCCAAATCATTAGGATAGAAACTATCAAATATGTTGCTGTTATCTATGAATGTTGCTGTTATCTATGAATGCTAGGTGAGTCATACTCAGGTGAATATATTTACTCAATGTCCTTCCTTGTATAATTCTATTTCCTTTAAAAATTTTTAGAGGGATTACCACCCCCGCCTGATGCAATATACCCTCAGCTGGGCTTCATGGTTATTGAGAACAGCGGGAGCTCCTCGATTGGAAAACTAAGGGAAGATTTTTAACAGGGGAGTGACGTGATATACCCAGATGTGATATATTTTTCCCAGAAGGTGAATCTGGCTTGACGTTATGATGATTTGAAGGGGTAAAGACCGGCGGCTGGGTGGTCTTGATGGAAACGGGAAAGAAATTATGCTCTGAATTGCGAAAGCTGTCTTCACTAAGATCCACCTGTTCAGAGCTATCTTTAGCTGCATTTGGGAACAATTTATCTACATAACCTTTTTCTCCCTTACTTCTCTTCCCTCCAGGCACAGATGAGGAGGAATTTGCAGCATTAAGATGAGAAACAGCATTACAGGATTGTGTGTGTGTGTGTGTGTGAGAGAGAGAGAGAGAGGGAGAGAGTGTGTGTGTGTGAGAGAGGGAGTGTGTGTGTGTGTGTGAGAGTGTGTTTGTATGTGTGTGAGAGAGAGTGTGTGTGTGTATGAGAGACAGAGAGAGAGAACAATGGGATATATGTAAGTGTGGTAGAGCATTTGGTTGGTTACAGATATTATGAATAGACCCCAAATATATCATCCCTTTAATCCTAAATCCTTCCCTTAGAACAGCTAGCTTTCCCCCTAAGAATGTCATGTACAACTGTGCCTTCATCTTTTGTCCATACTCTTTACTCTGCTTAGGATGCTATGTCTTGTCTTCTCCCCATGTCAATTCAACATTTACAAAGCCAGCACATAGTTCACCACCTGTAGAAAGCTTTCTTCCATCGTCCTCCTCTCCTTTCAGAAGATATTATTGCCTCTTCTGGTTTTCCCTCACTACTGTCAATTATTCTCATTTACATGCAGAATCTGAGCCAGTTGACTTGTTATTATTTTCTTTATTTTTCATCTGCAGAATTTATTCCTGCACTGTCCTCAGTGGACACTCAAAGAAAGGAGGCTGAAGGGAGATGTCAGTTGGGCTAGGTTGACTTGGAAGACGAATGGGAAGTTGGTACCCACCTTCAGCCTTTGTCTTAATTGGTTTATGACTTAGAGGTGGCATGTCATTGTATATCCAAATAAATTACTTATCATAAGTAAGAGATCCCTTCATTCCCCTCACCCCTCCACATGCATTGCCTCAGTTATTTCATCTGCCCATCTCTATTGCAGTCTTAGTCAATGGAACCCCACTCTGCCTAATTTCAAGCCAGAAATCTGGGTATGATCCTTAATTTTGCTCCTCTCTCTTTATGTTTCCTCTTCTCATATCCAGTCCATCAGCATAAATAATCAACACTATCCTCAAATAATCTCTCGTTCTCACCCTCTCCACAACCGTACCTTGGCCCCCACCAGTATCTTTTGCATGAGTTACAGCTATCACCTCTTAACTGGCCTTGCATGACTGCTCTTGACTGGATGACCAGACTGATAGTTTAGAAACATAGTTGGGACTGGGCATGGTGGCTCACACCTGTAATCTCAGCACTTTGGGAAGCTGAGGCAGGAGGATTGCTTGAGGCCAGGAGTTTGAGACCAGTCTGGAAAATACAGCTCTACAAAAAACTTAAAAATTAGCCAGGCATGGTGGTATATGCCTGTAGTCCTAGCTACTCAGGAGGCTGAGGTGGGAGGATCGCTTGAGTCAGGATTTTGAGGTAACAGGGAGCTATGATTGTGCTACCATATTCCAGCCTGGACAACAGAGCAAGACCCTGTCTCCAAAATATAAGAATAAGAATGATATGGCCTGGTGGGGTGGCTCATGCCTGTAATCCCAGAACTTTGGGAGGCTGAGGTGAGCAGATCACGAGGTCAGAAGTTCAAGACCAGCCTGACCAATATGGTGAAACCCTGTCTCTACTAAAAATACAAAGATTACCTGGACATGGTGGCACATGCTTGTAGTCCCATCTACTCAGGAGGCTGAGGCAGAAGAATTACTTGAACCCGGGATGTGAAGGTTGCAGTGAGCGGAGATCATGCCACTGCACTCCAGCCTGGGTGATAGAGGGAGTCTCTGTCTCAAATAATAATAATAATAATAGAAACATCTTTGGAAGATTTCTCTTCTCTGGTGAAACATTTTAACAGCTTCCCACCATCCTTTGAACAAAATTGAAATGCCTGATCATGCCTCGGAGACCCTGTGCTAGCCTGACTGCTTCCCAGCTCATCCTGTTGCTCTTCTCTCTCCCTCATTCACCAGGCTCCTCAGAATCAAGTTTCTTTCTTCACTCCAAGCTTTGCACAGATTCCTTTGATTGGAGCAGTCTTCCCTCAGCTCTTGAAGGATTAGTTACTTCTCACATGTAGGTAGGGATCAGTTTCTATGTAACTTTTTCAGAGAGGCCTTACCTGACCTTCACTAAGGAAGGTTCCCTTTTCACAACTTATTTTGTTTCCTACACAGTGCTGACAGCATTTGTCATGAGTTCAGATATTATTAAGTTTGGCTATTGTCTACTCTCCAAGTGGGTCCTCAGCTCCACAAGGACAGAGATCACGGCTATCATGTGCATTCAGTCACTAGCACAGTGCCTGGTACAAAGCATGTGCTCTATAAAATATGTATTGAATGAGTGGATGAATGAGTGAATATTTGGACTCTTCTTACCATTCGTTAGCAATCATAATCTTTCTCATGCTTTAACACTTTCCTCAAATGTCACCTCTGCATAAAGGCTCCAATTCCCCTATTCAAAATGAAGGTTTACTTTGAGCTCCCATGTTGTTTGTTTAAAGCTTTGATGCTGAGAAGCAATATATGAAGTAGTTGAGAGGGCAGGCTTAAGGGTAAGCAAAACTTGGGTTGAGTCTTTGTCTAGCATTTGTCACCTTTATGATCTACTTGAGCAAGTAACTTAAACTCTCTGAGTTTTGATTCTGTTATACCAGGAAAAATATTTTCAACTTTATTTGTATAAGGTGCTTATACATGGAAGGAGACTTATTGATGGTTGATAGCTGCTATTACATTGGTTCATAATTTTCATGTATCTTTATGTAAACATTTTGAAAGCAAGGAAAGTGAGCATTGAGCATTAAATAGCATTACTGAAGGCATTTCATATCTGTGGATCAGGTGAAAAGCAGCTTGATATTAAAGAGTATCCCAGGTTCTAGAGTCATAAAAATCTTGTATCAATCCCTAGCTTTACTATTAATTGGCTATGACCTGTGTAAATTTATTATCTTTTGGAAGTTTAGCTTTCTTAAATAATAGGAGTGATGCTAACTATCTTAACAGGGTGTTGTGAAGATTAAATATAACATATATAAAGGTTAGGGAAAAATGTCTAATCATAGCTGCATAAAATAACTTTAACACTTGATCTATTTCACTCAACCACAACAGAAACCTAGGCAAAATAAACATGATCAAATCTGACATGCCTAATGATGCTAGTAGAACTCCTGTCAATTTCTTAAAGCAGCCAATTTTACCAAAACCTGACAATAAAGAATTTTCTCAAATTGATGAATCCAGTGTAAAGGTCTGGGCACTTCTCCAATGTCTGCCCATCTGTTCTAGGTAGTCACCTCAGTCACCCTTGCAATAACTGTGGGTTCAAGGTGAACTCTGGCTGGGACTGAATTAGCCCTAAAATGGGGTGCTGCAATGGTTCCTAATCAGCTGGTCGAATTATCTTCTTGGAGAGACATCTGAGAAGGCTGAAGGCATATAGAACACAAAGCTTTCTTTAAATGAGAACAATAAAAACCTACTCTTCTAGGGAATGGTATTCAAACATTCCTAGTATTGAATTAAGGAAATTAACATATGCATAAAAATATTAAAACACAGTTTTCACATATTTCCTAAGAAGAACTTTGACTGGCTTGAACAGTGTTCCCCCATAAGTCATATCTACCCAAAACCTGTGAATATAATTTTATTTGAAACCTTATTTAGAATCTTATTTGGACCCTAGTCTTTGCAGACATAATCAAGTTATGATCAGATCATACTGGATGAAGGTACTTCCTAAGTCCAATATGACTGGTTCTTTATAAGAAAAGAGAAATTTGAAAACAGGCACACAGACATAATAGGAATATGGTCATGTGAAGATGAAGGCAGAGATCAGAGTGGTGTTGCCACAAGACAAGGAATGCAAAGCATTGCCAGCACCCACCAGAAGCTAGAAGAGGATTCTTCCCTAGAGCCTTCAGTGGGAGCATGGCCCTGTTGGCCCTTTGGTTACAGATGTCTGTCCTCAAGAACTGTGAGAGATAATGAGATACCACCTTACTCCTGCAAGAATGACCATAATTAAAAAGTTAAAAAATAATAGATGTTGGTGTGGATGTGGTAAAAAGGAAACACTTTTACTTTTCTGGTGGGAATGTAAACTAGCATAACCACTATGAAAAACAGTATGAAGATTCCTTAAAGAACTAAAAGTAGAACTACCATTCAATCCAGCAATCCCACTACTGGGTAACTACCCAAAAAGAAACCATTATGTGAAAAAGACACACACACATGCATGTTTGTAGCAGCATAATTCACAATTGCAAACATATGGAACCAATCTAAATGTCCATCAACCAATGAGTGGATAAAGAAAATGTGGTATATATACACCATGGAATACAACTTAGCCATAAAACAGAATGAAATAATGGCCTTTTCAGCAACTTGGATGGAGCTGGTGGTCATTATCCTAAGTGAGGTAACTCAGGAATGGAAAACCAAACATCATATATTCTCACTTATAAGTGGTAGCTAAGCTATGAAGATGCAAAGGCATAAGAATTATATAATAGACATAATGGACTTTAGGGACTTGGGGGGAAGGGTGGAAGGGTGGTGAGGGATAAAAGACTGCATATTGGGTACAGTGTACACTGCTTGGGTGACAGGTAAACCAAAATCTCGGCAATTGCCACTAAAGAACTTATCCATGTAACCAAAAAACCTGTACCCCAAAAACTTTTGAAAATAATTACAAAAAGGAACTGTGAGAGGAATGACATTTCTGTCATAAGTTATCTTGTTTGAGGCGATTTGTTACAGCAGCCCTAGTACACTAATACAGGCTGAAATCTCAGTGTAAGACAATGAACTCTGCTGGACACTAATTCTGTATCTTTGAACAAGCTCTCCAAGCCTCAATTTTCTAATTTAAAAAGTTTGATATCAAAGCCAGATAAGGAAAATACAAGAAAAAAATGACAGACCAATTTCCCTGCTAAATATAGATGTAAAAGTCTTCAAAAAAGTACTAGCAAACTGAATTCAAAGCACATTAAAGGGATCATATACCATGATCATGTGGGATTTATCCCAGAGATGCAAGGTTGGATCAACATAAGCAAATCAATGAATGTGATATACCACATTAATAGAATGCAGGGTAAAAATCACATGAGCATCTCAATAGATAAAGTCTTTAACAAAGTTTAACACCCTTTCTTGTTAAAAACACTCAACAAAGTATGGAAAGAATATATCTCAACATAAAAAAGGCCATATATGACAAACCTGAAGCTAACATCAAATTCAACAATGAAAAACTAAAAGCTTTTCCTCTAAGATCAGGAACAAGTAAATAATGCCTACTCTTGTCTCTTCTATGAACATAAGACTGAAAGTCCTGGTCAGAACTACTAGGGAAGCAAAATAAATAAAAGGCATCCAAATTGGAAAGGAAGAAAAAAAATTATCTGTGTTCACAAATGGCATGATTTCATAGTTAGAAATATACATACATGTTTCTATATTTTAACAATGAAGTATCTGAAAAGGAAATTCAGAAAATAATTCTACTTAGAATAGCATTAAAAATAACAAAATAGAAATAAACTTAGCCAAGGAGGTAAAAGACTTGTACACTAAAAACTGCAAAACACTGATGAAAGAAATTAAAGAAGACACAAATAAATGTAAAGACATCCTAGGTTTATGAATTGGAAGACTTAATATTGTTAAAATGTCCATTTTCCACAAAGTGATCTACAGATTCAATGCTATTTCCATCAGAATCCCAAAAAGTATTACGTATAAAAATAGGAAAAAAATCCTAAAAGTCACATGAAACAACAAAAGGCCCTTAATGGCCATAGCAATCTTGAGAAAGAAGAAAAAAGCTGTAGGGATTACACTACCTGATTTCAAAATACATCAAAAAGCTACAGTAATTAAAACATATGGTACTGGCATAAAGACAACATAGAGACCAGTGAAAAAAATAGACAGCCCAGAAATAAACCCATGCATAGCTGGCCAACTGACATTTGACAAGGGTGCAAAGAATACACAATGGGGAAAGAATACCTCCTTAAACAGAGGGTGTTGAGGAAACGGGATATCCACATGCAGGATAAAGTTGGACCCTTACCTTAAACCATATCAAAAATCAACTCAAAATGGGTTAAATACTTAAATGTAAGACCTGAAAATATAAAACTCCTATAAGAAAACTTCAGGGAAAAGTTTCATGACATTGTTCTTGTGCAATGATTTCATAGATATGACACCAAAAGCACTAGTGACAAAAGCAAAAAAATGGACAAGTGGGACCACATCAAACCAAAAGGCTTCTGCACGGCAAAGGAAACAATCGACAGAGGGAAAAGATAACCCAAGGAATGGGAGAAAATATTTGAAAGCCATATACCTCTTAAGGAATTAATATCTAAATATATAAGGAACTCAAACAACATAGTAACAAGAAAACAAATATCCCAATTAAAAAATGGACAAAGAACCTGAACAGACATTTGTATACAAAGAAGACATACAAATGGCCAACAAGTACATGAAAAAGTGCTTCACAAATATGAAAATGTACATCAGGGAAATGCAAATCAAAACCACAATGAGATATTACCTCACACCTGTGAGAATGCCTATTATCAAAAAGAAAAAAAAGGTAGTAAGTATTGGCAAGAATGTGGAGAAACTGAAATTCTTGTACATTGTTGGTTGGAATGTAAAATTGTGCGGCCACTATAGAAAACAGTATGGAGGCTCTTCAAAAGTCAAAATAGAACTGTCATAAGATCCAGCAATTCCATGCTGGGTATAGATCCACAATAATTGAAATCAAGATTTCAAAGAGATATCTATACTTCCATGTTCATTACAGCATTATTCACGATAGCCAAGGTATGAAAACCACCTAGATGTCTAAATACAGACAAATGGATAAAGAAAATGTGGTATATGCTACACTGGAATATGACTTAACCTTAAAAAATGAGGAAATCCTATCATTTGTGACAACATGAATAATCCTTGAGGATATTCTGCTAAGTGAAGTAAGTCAGTCACAGAAAGACAAATAACTGCATGATTCCACTTATATGAAGTATCTAAGAAAATCAAACTTACAGATGCAAAAAATAGAATGGTGGTTGCCAGGGGAAGGGGACAAGGGGAAGTGAGGAGTTTTTCAACGGGTGTAAAGATATAGTTATACAAGATGAATAAGTTCTGGAGATCTGCTGTGCAACATAGTGCCTGTAGTTAACAATAAGATGTCATTATGCATTAAAAATTTTGTTAAGTGTTCCTACCATGCCCCCTGCTCCACACACACAAAGTTGAGGAACATAAGGAAACTTTTGGAGGTGATGGATATGTTTATTACCTTGATTGTGGTGATGGTGTCCTGGGTGTGTGCATATGTCCAAACTCATCAAATTGTATATATTAAATATGTGCATTTTTGTTTATCAATTATACATCAATAAGGCTGTAAAAATGTTGATGAATAAAAGAAATACTAATGTCAGAAAAAGAAAAACAGTACTTACAGGACATCTGTTGTGCCTCACTTCATGTCATCTTGGCCCACCATTTTATTACTCTAGGTATAGTTGATGGCAGTTCCCCTCAGCTGCCCTTCGCACACCTGACTTTCTTTCCCATGGCTTCTCTGATGCAGCCACATAGGTTACCTGCAGGACTCCTTCCTCTCACTCATTGCAACCCTGTAAATGTTACTGCCTTAATAGTCTATGGGAAAACTCTTGACCAAGAATGGCGGGATACAAGGGAAAAATACTCTCCTCCTCAGAGCCTCAGACACATAATTCTGGAGCACTTTCCGCAACATTCCTCAGAGCTGTCCTCACCAGTTAGAACTCCAGTTGCCCGCACAGTAAATCAGCCAGACAGCACACCCTTGGGCTGGCTTTCCATTCTTCCCTGTTTCACTCTTCCCAGTCCCCACTCTTTTTCCCTTGTGATTGTTCCATAAAATAAACGACCTGCATGCAAGCGCTTTGTCTGCTTTTTGGGGAACTTAGACCGAGACACCATGACAAATATGGTATTAACCTCACAGGTTTGTTCTGAAGATAAATATTTAAATGTGTGTAAAGTGCTTGCTTAGTCTAGTGCCTGACACATAGAAAGCATCCAATAAACGTTGGCCATTTTTTCTATCTGAGATGGAATGTTCTGGAAGATGAATTTGAAATGTGCTATCATCAATCTCTCTTCCTAAGTGTTGAGTGGATGCATAACAGTAAAATTCATTTGTGGTTTTTCAGCTTCAGCTCCCATCTTCATTAACACAAGTGGGGCTGTAATGGTAGAAACAAGATATCAAATTTTACTCCCCCTCAAGACACCCACTCAAAGCCCTGAACCCTAGAACTAAAAGCAAAATAAAACTATTTACCAGCCAGAGGGAAGGAAGAATAATAGCATGTGGCTTGTAAACTTAACAAATGTAATCACAGTAATTGAGAAGCCCAGGAAATAATTTGACCAGCATAATTATATTACAAATTGCATATTGCACAATTAAACAATTGCATTTTGGCCACAAATGGAGCTCCAAGTATACAATTTGTGGTGAAGGGGAGAGGTAATTTAAAATTAGAAAAGAAAAGCAAAGGCCCAGAAATACATTTACATTTATATCCATATTGGAGGGCATAAAAAAAGTAATAAGGAAAAAGGTCAGTGTTTTCAAGAGAAAATAATACAACTGGCTTGAATGAATTTTGCCAAATACTTTGTGGATGTTTTACCACTATTTGACTTTCCAATGTGTATAAAACATTTCCAAATGGCTCATTCCTTCTTATTAAGTAAAAATTCCTGTATTAGGAGCTCTTGTTTTTGGCTCTTAAATTGGATTAATAAAGTCCTGAATTTGGTGGGAAATTCCAAAGTCCAATCATCAAAAACATGTTGGAGGAGTTATGTCTTATTTTTTTCTTGTCAAATACATATATTCTTGAAACATGTAAAAGAAAAATATATTGCTTTTCTCATTCTGCTATTCAAAATGGGAATTTGGGCATTTGGTCTGACATTCATCAAATATTTACTATGTGCTATCTACGTTCCGGGTTTTATTCTAGCAGGTACAGTGGAAAACTTAGTAAACATGGTCCTCTCAGGTAAAGAAGGTTAGATGAGAGAAAACAGACATTAAACAAATTTTTACAAATAATTCGTGAAATGATTACAGTTGTGCAAAATGTTAAGAAGTACCATGCATGCATGTAGCCTAATGAGAGAGAGAGGGCCAGATCAGGGAAAAGACCCTGAAGAATTTTATTTACACTGAGACCCAAGGATGCCCAAGAAATACAGGACTGTTCTCGGTCAGAGACCTACTTATTTGGCAAGTATTTTAACATTAGTATAGTTCAAGTATCCCAAATCTAAAAACCAAAAATCTGAAATGCTTGAAAATCTGAAGCTTTTAGAGCACTGACCCAAGACTCAAAGAAAATGCTCATTGGTGCATTTCAGATTTCGAATTTTCAGATTAAGGAAGCTCAATTAGTAATGAGTAAAGAAACACTTCTGCATTTCTGCTTTTTTTTTTTTTTTTTTTTTTTTTTTTTTTTTTTTTTTTTTGCCTGCAGGCTCCAAATTCTAACTCCTGCTGCTGCTGATGGGAACCATCTAAAGGCAAAAGCTATTGGAGAAAACATTCCACTATCAAAAAGGAGCCTTGTTTAAAAAAACAAAACAAAACAACAACAACAAAAAATTTCAGTGATTTTGAGATAAATTCTATAATAATTCTTGGTTCGTGTCCTGGAAGGCTGGAGATTTAATACATTTTGCCCATTGGATTTTTGATAAATGCTATTCAAAACACCCAGGCTCTCTTTGTGCAGAACTTGAAGTTTAGGATATCACCAGGATTTTTTTGAAAACTGACAAAACAACACTCACTGTGATCACCCTTTATTGAATGCCAAGATCTCTGTTGAGAGCTTCATAGGTGTTGCCCTACTTAATCCTCACAACAGGTTATGTTCTGATCTAATTTTGTAGATAGGGTGCTTGAAGTTTAGATAGGGTAAGTAAATTGTTTCAGGACCTCAGACAGTGGAGTATTTCTTATTGAGCCCAGTCATATCTCTCTGAACATATAAATGTCTGCTGTCTAGCATTTTGCTATAAGGCCTTTCACATGTTCTTAAAAAGAAGAAGAAAAAGAAAAAGTGCCTGCCACTATGAGATTGCCCCCAGGGTCTAGTTTGCTATTGTCTAGGCCTGATTCTCCAAGTGTGGTTCCCAGAACAACACTGTTAGCATCACCTGGGCTCTTGATAGAAATGCCTGCATTACAGAATCTGAAACTCTTGAGGTGGGACCCAGTAATCAGTTTTACCAAGCTTTTGGGGTGGTTACGATGCTGGTAAAAGTTTGAGAACAGCTGTTACAGGCAAATATGGAAGGCTCTGTTTGTTTGGTGTGTGCTAGTCTCAGATGACAAGGTAAATCTAATTCATTTCCCTATGTTGAGACAACAAATCAGGAAGTAGATTCTCCAACCACGCTGCAGAGTCATAGCATTTTGAGGGGCTGGGATTTCTCTCTCTGCTGCTTACTCCATGCTGATTTATAACTGATCTTTGGTTCCTGAGCTTTTATTTTTGATGTGTATCCTCTGCCTTTTTAAGAACAGATTATCTCATTAAGAAACTTTCCCTACGCCCCTCAAAGTATTGGTTTTGTTTATATTAGATGTATGTATCTTTACTGAGAAATGTGTCAGACCTAGAGTTAGAATGTGAAAATCTGATGGGATCCGGGGAAATATAGACTTCCCTGGTGAATTTAATGAAGAAGCTTTCTCCACAAGACAGATGAAGACCAACACCACAGGGAAGAAGTTAGTAATAAAAACAAAGGAAGTAAAAGGCCCTGGCGAAAAAGGAAAATATTAGATATGTGGAGCTAGGTCTTTCTCATAAAACAGAAAACAACATCTCAGTGAAATCGGAAGTCATTGGACTAGTGACATGTCCTGAGTTATGTTTCTGTCATTAGTTTCTTTCTTTGTCTGGTACGTACTGACCTGAGACTCAGTTTAACATGACTCAGGGTCATGTCAAGGAGAAAGAATGACCTGAGATGGGTTTTGGGAGTCACCTGCCTCAACACTAACCCTGCACGCTAGTCGTTAAATACATTTGGAACACGCTGCACACTTTCTCCTCATCTTGGAGGTTTCAGTGAACACTAAAAATTCAGAGAAGTCCCTCAACACATAAGCTATGCTTTAATAAGCGTTTCTCAATTTTATTTGATTTTAGAACCACTTTTATAACAATATATATTAATATCCTGGGAGCATGCTGCTCTAAGGTCTTCAAGTACCAAATAGTCATCGGTCCATTGAGGCCAGTGTTGATGAATTTATAATACAATCTTTTATATCTGTCTCACAAGTTGACACTTGGGTGGCTGGTGCTCACTATTTCCGGAATGAATGGTGGGTCTTTAGGTGTGGTGGATGGGGTGGATGGAATATGACCTAGGATAGCCGGGTAAAAGCATGGAGACAGAGAAATTGAGCTAATGACATGATTAAAGGTTTTTCTTACACTTTCATGCTGTGTTGAAGGTCTATCCACTGGACACCTCTGTTGCATGAACCTCCCACAGGTCATTTTCTGGTCCCTGATGGAAAGTATTTCCTGATTGACAACTCGTTCTCCATGTTCTCTTTGCCAGTGACTCATTCGGAGATGAAGGTGATAAGACTCAACCTCGTCTAAAGGGTTTTGGGAAAACATCATTCCTGGAGGCAGCAAAGAGGACTAGGAGAATAATGAAGTTGGCATAAGCCTGTCCCAGTCTCTTAGTTTTGGCACTGAGATCTCCAACCACAATCTCAATCCTGCTCATTTGCTGATTCAGTTTTGCTGAAGGGCTTCTTAAAGCGATCTGTCAGATTCGGTCCCTGAAATACATGATGTTCTCCTTACCATCCCACTGGCTCCTATTATTTCTTCTGCTCCAAACACTTTCCCTTTGCCCTTTCCCTAGCTAAACTCTATTTCTCTTTTACATCTCAGTTTAGACATCACTTCCTACAGAAAGCCTTTTGTGTCTGTTGAGATTTTTTTAGTTTCAGCTGTTAGAAACTAAACCTGGCTTAGTAAGCAGAAAAGGATCTTACATGGCTCATCAAATTTCGGAGCATGCTGGCTAATTAAGCTCAAGCCTCACTTACATGGACAGCCCCCCAAGCCATACCGCAGGACTCACCTAATGAGGAAACTGTCACCACTAATGTCACCTAGCCTTGGGTGCTAGATGTGAACCACAGCCAGGAACCTGACTTGACTGGAATTTCCACTGCCATCAGCATCAATGGGAAGCCTTAGCCAAGAACCTGGCTTTCCCACTAGTGTAGACATAGACATAGAAGCTGGGTGCCTTGAAGGCCAAACTTCCATGTGGGGCCTTTGTATTTGACTCTCTTAATTCTAAATCAAAGTCTCTCATAGTTGAGTCTGAATGGTGTAATTTAGGGAATGCACCTGTGCCTCAGTTGTAAAGGAGGCTGGGGTGGCAAGTTTTCTGGGCTCTAAACTGGGGAGGTAGAATGTATAAGTCTTGACATTTCCCCTGGATTCAAACAGGGCTCAAACATGCTGGACCACCAGATAGCATGACAAATGCTCACCAACTTCTCCTAGATTCCTAAAAGCTTTTCCTATATAAAATATTTTATTGTAACTTTGGGTTAACTGTCCCCTCGACCCACTGTGCTTCCCCATCTGGGTGTCATACCCCACTCCCCATATTGTAATTGTCTGTTAACTGTTTTATAGTTCTCCCCATACTGCTTATAAGAAAAATGACTGTGTAGTATGATTTTTTTTTTTTTTAAGATGGAGTTTCACTCTTGCTGTTCAGGCTGGAGTACAGTGGTGCAATCTCGGCTCACTACAACCTCCACCTCCTGGGTTCAAGCAATTCTCCTGCCTCAGCCTCCTGAGTAGCTGGGATTACAGGCCTGTGCCACCACACCTAGCTAATTCTGTATTTTTGGTAGAAATGGGGTTTCACCATGTTGGTCAGGCTGGTCTCGAACTCCTGACTTCAGGTGATCCGCCTGCCTCGGCCTCCCAAAGTGCTGGGATTACAGGCATGAGCCACCACGTCTGGCTGAATTTTTTTAAATTCCCAATTGTATTCCCAGTTCCCAGCTTAGTATCATTCTGTACACAGTTAGTGCCCAGTAAAGATCTGTTGAGAGATTACATTTGGCCCAATTAATCTGATCTTCATAAAGCTGGCATCTAAGGAAGCTTCACCTCATACCTTCTGTATTTGTCCTATTGTTACTTAACCCTAGCCTTGCACTAAATTCTATCAACATGTACTAAATTCCATCATTGAGGCAAGGAAAACTACGTTTTTTTCCACCCCTTTCATTGAGCTGGGCCTGGAAACTGTGACAAGCATTTGTCAGCTCTGTATTCCTGGAAGCTCTCCTTTTGCAACCTCAACCATTAAATGGAACCATATTCCTAACCAGGGGGTGACTCATGCACTCCCATCTGCCTAACTTCCACATTGTTCTAGCCTCCTGACCTCTGCTTCCACTATGTTAGTTTCTCTTGTATATGTCATTCCTGTGGCAATTTGCCTTATTAATTTGAATAGGCTTGATCATTGAGGTTTTTTTTTTTTTTTTTTTTCTGTAGCTCTGGACTGCTGGTTCCAATTCCTCCCTTTCCCTGCTAGCCTAACACAGAGGGCCTGGCATTCCTCAGGGTGAAGTGCAAAGGAGGGTGGGTACATAGAAGAGTTTATAACATTATAACATTTCCATTCTGACCTCACTAAATTTGAATTATGAGAATATCCCAGTGAGAACATCAACCAGGCAGCAGTAGGAGACACTGGTCTTGAGTCATGCATGAAGTCAGAGCCAGAGCTGAGAATTTGAGTCACTAGCAAACAAGAGTGGTTAGAGTACAAGAGAATTTCAGAGACCTAGCACAGGATGAGAAGAGAGGCTAGACCCAAACTCTCAGCCTATTTGACAACCAGGGGGAGGAGGTTGTTTAGATTGAGGAATCAAGGGTGTAAAGAAATACAGAGGGAAGGCATAATTGAGTGAGGTTGTGGGGAGATTGAAGAGTATGAGGTAAAGCAGGTAACTAAAGGGATTTTCTGTAGAAAGAATGGGGAAAATACCTTTGAAATGAAAAGGCAAATAAATAAGAAGTGAAGAGCCAGAGAGATAAAGAGGTGGGGAGGGGTCTAGGTAGTTTTATGGCTGATAGTTTTTATTTTTAAAAAATCTTTGGTTGATAGTTATGGAACAGAGAAATCCTTGAGGCCTTGAAAAGAATGGAGAAGATTTGAAAGCTGCTAAAAGGAATGGGAAAGGGATATTTAGGAAAGGAACGAAGCATCAGGGTCTGACAGAACTGGAATGATGTGAACCTGTAGTGGCCCCCTCATCACCACTATTATATGAGATGATAGCAAATTCTTCACATTTTAAATTCTTCTGAAATAAAATAATATTTTGCGATGTGGTTGCAGTTTAAAAATAGAAATAAAATAAAATACCAGATTAATTTCCAGTGACTCACATTCCAAGTTTTCATAGGAAATGTTTGTGTGGTATGTCTCCAAACAGGGCTGGAGGAACTAGTAGTGATTCTCTATGGCACACCTGAATCAGGGCCAGGTGCTTTTGGGGTGTCATCTTATTGAGCCCTCACAGTATCCCTGAGTGAAGACAACTAATATCTCCATTGTTGAGTTGCAGAAAATAAAATTTACAAAAGTAATGTATTCAAAGTTATTCATGTAGCAAGTGGAAGAGGGGAGATTTGAATCTAAGTTCTTGCCAAACCTGGGCTATTTTAACTTCTTTATGTTATCTTTCAATAAGACCTTCAAATCATTTTATAGATTTAGCCTTTTATTGTATCCCTGTTGCCATCAAGGAAATTCCCAATTTTGGAAGTGATAGAAAAGTTTGAAAACATGGTATAATCTGCTAGTCCTCAGAAGTCAAGCATAATAGACAATCAAGGGAACAGATAGGTAAAAGAGAATTTTGGAATAATTTCCAGAGATGCCACTGGGAAATTCTTGCTTTCCTCTAGAAAATGCCAGAGATTTTCCAGCCTGGAAGTATATTCATAATGAAAAATAAGAAAGATAGGCCGAGCGCGGTGGCTCACGCCTGTAATCCCAGCACTTTGGGAGGCCGAGGCGGGCGGATCACGAGGTCAGGAGATCGAGACCATCCCGGCTAAAACGGTGAAACCCCGTCTCTACTAAAAATACAAAAAATTAGCCGGGCGTAGTGGCGGGCGCCTGTAGTCCCAGCTACTTGGGAGGCTGAGGCAGGAGAATGGCGTGAACCCGGGAGGCGGAGCTTGCAGTGAGCCGAGATCCCGCCACTGCACTCCAGCCTGGGCGACAGAGCGAGACTCCGTCTCAAAAAAAAAAAAAGAAAGATAAGGTGAGAAAAAGAAAGCTCAACAAGAATAATCTTTTGTCTATTTTTATCTTTGGGTCCTGTGCGTCTTCATTTAGATTACTTTCTCACCTTATTCCGATTCCTCCCAGCAAATTAAAAGTAAGAGGTAGAGATTGACTTATAGACATAATGTCAAATCAGTAGGACTACTACTGGTAAAGTTAAAAGAAAATGTAATCCGAGAACCCAAAGTGATGTTCAAACAAATTACTAAAACTACTCAATTTAGCAAAGTTACTAGATAAAAGATTAACATAAAAAAATCCATTACATTTTTATCTTAGGGCAATAAACGCATTAAAAATAAGCCTAAACGTGATCATTTACATTAGTTTTTGAAAGCATCAAATACATAAGAATACTTTTACCAAGAAAAGTGCAAAACTTCTGCAATAGAAACTTGAAAACTACCACATAGCTGACAGAAATGAAAGCTGTGTTAAATAAATAGATCATTATGGATAATATTGTTAAAATATCAGCTATCCTAAAATCAATCTTTAGATTCCATTGATTCTCAATTAAAACTCAGCAGGTTTTTTTTTGTGTGTGTGGAAATTGACAAGCTGATCCTAAAATTTATATGGAAATGCAAAGAACCTAAGATAGCCAAGAACAAAGTTAGACTGCTTATACTACAGAATCAAGACTTATAATAAAGTTACAGTAATTAAGGCAGTGTGGTATTGGTGTAAAGCTAGACAAAGAGGGCAACAGAACTGAAGAAAGTCTAGAAATAGAAACTCTTGACAACCAATAAATTTTTTTGACAAAAACTGTAATGCATTTCAATAGGAAAATAGAACCATTTCAATAAATGGTGTTGAGATTACTGAATATTTCAATGGAAAAAGTAAATCTTATGAAGTACCACATACAAAAATTAATTAGAAATGGATCATGAATCTAAATATGAAAGCAAAGTGCATAAAGCATTTAGAATGACATGGAAAAGAATATTTTCATGACCTGAATGTAGGAAAATATTTCTTAAACAGGACACAAACAGCATTAACAATAAAGAAAAAATGGACTTTATCAAATTAAAAAAAAACTTCAGCTCAAAAAACATACCATTAAAAACATAAAAAGGCCTGCCACAGACTGAGATAAAATGTTCACAATGCATTTATCTGACAAAGATCTGGTATTCAGAATAAAGAACTCCTACAAATCAAAAATCAAAAGATCGAATAAAAATGGGCAATGACTTTTATCATTTGATAAAAGAAGTTATCAAAATGCCCTTTAAACATGTAAAAATGCACTCAACATCATTAATCATTAGGGAAAATTGTTTGGCAGTTTCTACTAAGGTTAAACATATACCTACTTATAACCCAGCAATTTCACTCCTAGATATATAGTAAGAGAAATTAGCACATATATCTAGAAAAGACCTGTTTAAGAACTTTTGTTGCAGCTTTATTCACAATAATAAAGTTGAACTCTGACCTTATACTGTATACAAAAATTAACTCAAAACATATCAAGTACTTAAATGTAAGTGCCAAAACTACAAAACTCAGAAGAAAACATAGATGTAAATCTTCATGGCCATGAATGAGACAATGGTTTTCAATTTTTTAATGTTAATCTGTTTATTTTTTACTTTTTAAAGAGATGAAGTCTCACTCTCGCCCAGGGCGGAGTGCAGTGGCATAACTGCAGCTCGCTGCAGTCTTGAACTGCTGGGCTCAAGCGATCCTCTTGCCTCAGCCTGCTGAGTAGTTGGGATGACAGGCAAGGGGTATCACACTCAGCTAATTTTTAAAAAATATTTTATAGAGATGGGGTCCTGCTATGTTGCCCAAGCTGGTCTTGAACTCCTGGCCTCAAGCAATCCTCCTGCCTCAGCCTCCCAAATGATTGGGATTATAGGCATGAGTCACAGCACCTGGCTCATTTTTAAAATATAACAAAAAAGGCACAAGCAAAGAAAGAAAAATAAATAAATGTGACTTCATTAAAACAAAAAGTATTTGTGCTTCAAAAGATGCTATCAAGAAAAGACATCTACAGAATGGGAGAAAATATTAGCAAATAATATATTTGATAATGAACTACTATCCATAATCTATAAATAACTCTTATATAACTCAGCAACAATAAGCAAATGACCCAATTTTAAAAATAGGTGAAGGATTTGAGAAGACATTTCTCCAGAGAAGATATAAAAATGTTCAATAAACACATGAAATCAACATCATTAGTCATTAGGGAAATGCAAATCAAATGAGATGCCACTTCATACCCACTAGGAGGACAACAATAAAAAAGACAGACATAAATTTTGGCAAACATATGGAGAAACTGGAATCTTCAGACATTCCTAGTGGGAATGTAAAATGATACAGCCACTTTGGAAAACAGTTTGGCAATTTCTCAAAATGTTAAAGATAGGATTACTCTAAACCCCAGTAATTTCTCTTTTAGGTTTATACCTGAGAGAAAAAAAATATGGTCACTCAAAAACTTGTACACATAACGTAGCAACATTATTCATAATAGTCAGAAGTGGAAAAATCCAAATGCCTACCAACTGATGAGTGTATAAACAAATGCGGTGTACTCATTCAGCTAGTAAAAGAAATGAAGTACTGAAACACGCTAAAACATGTATGAGACTTGAATACATTGTGCTCAGCAAATGAAATTAGGCACAAAAGGTTGCACAACTTGGTGAACACACTAAAACCTACTGAACTGTCTATTTTAAAAAGGCGAATGTTATGGTATGTGAATTATATGTCAATTTAATAAAAGAAAAACATTATGCTGAATGAAAGACATGAGGTATATGTTGTACGATGCCATATATATGAAGTTTAAGAACAAGTAAAACTAATCTGTGGTGACAGAATACCTCTGGGCAAGGTACTGACTACAAAAGAGCATAGGGAAATTTGCTGTATTAATGAAAATGTTCTATATTTTTATCAGGGTGGTGGTTACATGGACATATATTTGTCTAAAACCTCATCAAGCTGTGTACTTGAGATTTGTTTGCAAATACAAGATTCTATAAAAAATAAGAAAAAAGACAAATGGAGTGATCCATTCACTTATTCAGATAAAATATTCATTAAGCACTTACCATGTTCTGGTTACTGTTCTCAGTGTTGAGAATATAGCAGTGAACAAAACAGATAAAAATTCTTGTACTTTATGGAGGTTTTATTTGGGTTGCAGGATAGTGGTGGTAATGGTGGAGACAAATAATTTTTTTAAAGTAAAATGAAAAGTCTATGAGATGGCAATTCTGCTACTTACAAAATAAGGATGTAAAGAGAATAGAGAATGTTCTAAAAAGGGAGGAGAGTGTAATTTTAAATAGTTAAATAAGTCTCCAGTGAGAAGGTAATATTTGAGCAAAGATTTGAAGCTTGAAAGAGGTGAGAGAGTAAGCCATGTAGATGGAGGGGAAAGAGCATTACAGGGAGAGGCACCATAGCTGCATAGAATCAAATGGGGGCATGCCTGGATGGTTTGCTGAATGGCAAAGAAGCCAGTGGGGCAGAAGTAGAGTTTGAGGTCGGATGCTGACAGGGAAATCACAGATCATAGCACTTAGGTGATTAGGAGGACATTAGCCTTTGCTTTGAGAGAGATACGTTTTGTGCCAAGATATTATAATTTGCATATTTTAAAGATTCACTCCAATGCTGTGTTGAGAATAGCTGTGGGTAAGCAAGGGTCGAAGCAGTGACACCAGTTAGATCATGGTGATTATAGTCTTCTATCTATTGACTTAGAGCATGGTGGTAAATGTGGATTTGGCATCAGATTTGTGGAAGGGGCAAGATCAGGAGTTCAGCTTTAGACATTGTAAGTTTATTTCAGTATACTGAGGATATCATTCTTTTGTCTTCTCACTTCTCGTGCTGTAATTGAGAACTCAGTTATAAAACCAGCTATCACCCCTTTTAAGGGAATCTGTCTTGTCTCTCTGCCTTTAAGATCTGTCTTGGGTGTATTGCATGTAATATGATCCAGTGTGAAATTATTTTCATTTATCCTGCTTGGAATTCATTGGACTCTGAATTGGAATCCTTCATAAGTTCTGGAAGAGAGCTGTTATTCTTTAAATATCACCTATGTTTTCTCCATTCTCTTTCTTTTCGTCTTTTATTACTTTGATTGAATAAATGTTACACCATTTTACTCAATTCTTCATATATGTTAATATCTTGTTGTATTTTCCTTCTTGTCTTTTGTGTTGTATTTTTCATAATTTATTTAAATGTATCTTTCAGTTTATTTAGATTCTCTTCGAAACACTCTGTCTAATCTTCTCATAAATAAATCCATTACATTTTCAACTTCAATATTTTTATTTCTAGTCTTATTTGGCTCTTTTTAAAACGTCTTCTATATTCTTCATAGTTTCTTGTTCCTGGAATGTATTTTCAAGGTTATCTTTAAAAAATGTTATTTAAAAGTAGCTAACACAGTCAGTTTATAGTTTGTTGAATAAATTCCATTTTCTGAATGGAAATAAAATTTCTAGTGACTGTTGTTTCTGCTGATTCTTGTCCCTGGTAACTTGTTTCTTTACACATTTAGAGGTTTTTGTTGTTTTGTTTTGTTTTTTGTTTGGTTCTGTGATATTTTCATTTACCTTGTAGTTTTATTTGTGGGAATTCTTTAAAACCTAGGATAAATGCGGGTTCCTCCTGAGAAGATTTGCATTTGCCTCTACTAGATGCCTAAAGGTACTACCAGTAAATCTACAATCATCTAAATTAAATTCTCAGCCCATACAGGCACTACATATTCAGGCTGAAAATCACAAAAGAACTGATTTGTTGTTATAAATTTTTAGGAGATTATTTTCCCTTCTCCATTCAATACTAGTTGTCTAGTGGCTGAGAGGGGTTTTATTTCTAGGTCACTTATAAATGGTGTAGCCATTTTGGGGTCCCAGTTTTACAAGGAGAGCATTGCCTATTAGATTTCTGATCTTTGGCAGGCTGGGTTTTTTTCCCCAACTTTTCCATGTACCATATGAACCATAGAAATTGAACCTCATAGTTATTCTATGGGGCAATGTAACTGGGTGTGAAAGTAAGCTTCAATACTCTTAATCATTCAAAATCCCTGCTTCCTTTAAGTCCTAGGAGTTACTTTATTACCTGATTATTTATATTTTTAAGAAAAAATTAATCCAGGAATTTTATTTTTCAGCAAAAGATTGCTTCAGATACCCAGGTAATCTTATTATCAGAAATAAAATTCTCCTGAACATGTGAAGTTTGAAATACTTTTTAGAAACCCAAGAATAGACACTGAATAGAAAATTGGTACTATGAGTCTGCAGTCAAAGAAAGAATCTAGACTAGAGATAGAAATTAAATGTTGTTGTGGAGATACTGTTTAAAGTCATAAGCCTGGATGAGGTCCCCAAAAGAATGAATATAGATGGAGAAGTAGTGTAAGGACTCTTGGGCACTGAAGGGTTTAGAGGGTGGGGAGATGAGGAACCTTTGAAGTCTAAGAAAGAGACATCAGTGAGGTGGGAGGAAACTATAAGGGTGTGGCCTCTTGGAAGATAAGTGCAGAAAGTTTCAAGAACGACAAAATGATCAACAGTGTCAAATGCTACTGAAAGTTTAACTAAGATGAGAAACTAAAATGAGTAGTTTATTGGCTTCAATAACTGGAAGCAAGTGACCTTGACTAAAGCAGTATTGGTGGAGTGTAGGGAGCAAAGCCTGATTTAAATAGATAGAAGGCAGAATAGGAAGGGAGAAAATGGGAACCAGTAAGTGTCCATAAGTATCTATATTAATCAATAAGGAATGGAGAAATGAGGAAGTAGTTTAAGTGCATGTGGTATTAAGAGATATTTTAGAACTAACAGAAATTACAGCATTCTTGTACATTTGTACATTTGACCCAGTAAAGAGAAAAAGTTGATGAGGCAGCAGAGAGAGAGAAGAATTTCAGCAACAATGCTCTTGAATAAGCAGTGTGGAAGAGATTTAATGCCCAAGTTGGCTTTAGGGAGGAACATGGACAGAGCATGCCCAGGAGTGAAGGGAAACTCTCTGGGCTCAGATGTGAGTGGGTGGGTAGATATAGTGGTGTGAGCTTGTGGGAATTATATCTTCTGATTTCTTTATTCAGTGAAATAGGTAGCATGTTCATCAGCTAAGAACAAGAAGATATTAGATCTTGTAGGGGAGAAGAGGCAACATATAATGTTAATCTAGGAGAATGAGCAAATGTGGGGTGACCAGGCAGCACTATGGCCACTAGTGGGTAGGGGATATGAATTTAAACTGGCTGGGCACTGTGGCTCATGCCTGTAATCCCAGCACTTTGGGAGGCTGAGGCAGGCGGATCACTTGAAGTCAGGAGTTTGAGACCAGCCTGGCCAACATGGTGAAACCTCATCTCTACTAAAAATACAAAACGTAGCCAGGCATGGTGGCGGGCACCTCTAATTCCAGCTACTCGGGAGGCTGAGGCAGGAGAATCACTTGAACCCAGCAGAAGGAGTTTGCAGTGAGCTGAGATTGTGCCATTGCACTCCAGCCTGGGCAACAAGAGCAAAACTCTGTCTCAAAATAATAATAATAATAATAATAATAATAACAACAATAATAAATAAAGTGAAGCCAGCCAGTATGGTTGTGTTTTTCTTCAGTTCTGTTCAGCTGTGTTGGTACAGTATGGAGCAGGCAGAGAATTGTATTTAGGCAGTGCTGGGATTGTGCCAGATGGGATAATGAAGTCAGAAAATGGCAAGAGAGTTAGAGTTGTATAGAAGGGAGTGATGATTGTGATTTCTATGAATTTTAAGCCAGATATGGAAAAACTGTAGATGGTGGAAAACAGGGAAAACAAAGTAGAGTCAGTGGATTGTCAGAGTCAGTGGGTTGAAGAATTGTTGAAGTACTAAAGGGAATGCTCTGGAAAGATGGGAGATGGTGTAAGATAGAGGAAACTTACAATTGGATTTATGGGGAGCGGTTGCAGTTTTTGGTAGGGCTAACACATAATCATGGTAATGAGTATCTGAGGTTGGGTGAGCACAAGATCATTGGAAGAAAAGAGGTTACAGATTAAGAGATGGAGATACTGAGATGATAATTTACATCAAGGGATGTCAAACCACAGCCCAAACTGGCCCACTGACTGGTTTTACATGGCTCCTGGCCCTGCTAAAGCTGCCTAGCATTGTGAAGCAGAGACAAGCCAGTGCATCTCCCAATCCCATGCCCACTTCCACTCTTAGTGCCAGCCTCCTGGCTGGTGGCCATAATTCACCACTCCCCAAGACTCATGCTGGTCATCACCTGCCCATCAGAACTTCCTCTTCTGTCAACTGCTGGGCATGAAGCTATGAAATCTCATCCCTGGAATCAGTGATCCAGTGAGTCACTTCACGTCCTTTGGTCAGCTGCCCAAGCTGAGATGGCTGAGCTCTCTAGGAGGAAAGAGTGTTCTGGAATCTGGGTCCCTGGGGCAGATGATGAAATTGACAATGGTGGCATTCTGGGCAAATGGGATGAGTAGGGTGGGGCGGCAGTTTTCTGCTGTTGTGTAACTCTCATAACATCCTTATTTTTGTGCCAGCAAAGCCTAGAATATTTATTACCTGGCCAGACGCTGATCTACAGAATTTACCAAGAATTGTGATGAAATAGCATTGAAATGAGTGACAGTGAGATAGGAAAAAAAATTTTCAATAATTACAGAAAGTAAACTAAGGGTTAGTCATTGATTCTACTAAGTTGGTTAGTATATGAAATGGTCTGATGACATGAGATTAAAACCTGGGTCCTGGCTGATGCACATCACTCTTTTTTTTTTTTTTTAGACGGAGTCTTGCTCTCTTGCAAGGCTGGAGTGCAGGGGTGTGATCTTGGCTCACTGCAACCTCTGCCTCCCGGGTTCAAACAATTCCCCTGCCTCAGCCTCCCCAGTAACTGGGACTATAGGCACACACCACCATGCCCAGCTAATTTTTTGTATTTTTTTTTTTAGTAGAGACAGGGTTTCACCATGCTGGCCAGGATGGTCTCCATCTCCTGACCTCAGGCGATCTGCCTGCCTTGGCCTCCCAAAGTGCTGGGATTACAAGTGTAAGCCACTGCACCCGTCCCCCACCACTCTTTTTAAATATTTTTAAAAATCCTGGAGAGAGAATGGCCTCAGAGTGACAAAGGTTATTGCCAGGAATAAAAATAGAGTTTCAAATGAGCATAAAAATTCACTGTCATACTACTATCATTATGGAAATATAAATGGTCATTGTGTTGAAGTAGAATTTAATAGATACTTAAAAAGTATAAAAACATGAAGTGCATAATCAATAGTACTATCAATGTTGAATTTTTAGAAAGTTTTAATGCAATTCTGAAACCAACTTTTCCTATGAAACTATTCAAAGTGTCCTTGGTTTCAACTCTAATGTCTTGCACAGAAGAAAACTTGCCATGCAAATTATTCATTGCCTGAAGAAACCAGGTCCACAGAAAGCTAAAATTAGAACTACCATCCAAGGAATTGTTATTGAATATTTCAAACAACTGATGCTCAATTCCATCATAGCCATGACAAGGAACAGGAGAGGACAATGGAATAATTTTTAATAGATGGATACTTTTCTAGGCTACTTATTTTTCTGAAATTTATCTCCAAGAACTAAATCATCTCCAAGGGCTAAATAGGAGACAGCATAAAATATGGTGAAGACCACTGAATGTAAGTCAGAATTCCCAGTCCATTTCCTATAATGTGATATTGGATAAGTAGCTAATCCTCTTTAAACCAAAGTTTCCCAGACCGTAAAATGGAAATAATACTACTAAAATGCACTGGGGTTTAGTGTAGTGTAATTTAAATGTATGGAGGAGTTCTTAGCAGGGTGTCTGGCATACGCTGGGTACATCTCATGAGATAAGACTAAACCTGAACTGACTAGGTGGTTCACTGATCCTCAGATAACATTCTTTCAGGGCCATACCTTTGAATCAGTTAATAGATTCATTAAAAACAGGCATTTTGTTAAATTATTTCAACTGGCTATTATGTGTTGTTTAAGTAATAAGGGAGCTAAATTAGCAGGTCTCTATAGAGGGAATACAAAAGAATATATATAGAAACTTAATTCATTGCACTCATTTATCCCATATAATAGGTTAGTGAGTGAAAGTTTCAATGAGTGCTGGTAACTGACACATATTGGAGAGTCCATGTTCCATTGAACAGCATTCAGACTCTTTTTAACAATTTTCTCCTCCTTTCCCCCAAATCACCAGGTGTAGCTTGTGGGCCATCATTCTGTGACTCTGTATGTAGACTCTTGGTTTCATTTATAGAAATGTCCAGATCTTTATGAATGCTTTCTTAATTCTGTTTTGATTCACCAACTTCCTAAAGTAGCTCTGTGGCTCATAGCTAACTGCATTTTTAACTTTCACTAAAATTTAATCTCTCATTGTATGGTCATTTCTCATAAGGAAACAAAGCTTTATGACCTCATGGGAATTCTGCACACCTCAATAATGAGCCAGGAACAGCAAATGCCCATTGAGATATGACTCCTTGGTTAGTCTGACTTTCAAGCTAAGTGGTTTGTTCTCGGAAGCTACCTTCCAAATCACCTGAGACTCAGATTTCTGTTTCAGCAAAATAAAGATTTACTGTAGTATGGCTGAAAGTTTGAGATCCCTGGCTGCAGTCTTAGGACCTGGTTCAGACCCTAGCTCCTTTCCTTATTGGCTGTGTCAGTTTGGTTGAATTGCCTAAGGTTTCTAAGGCTTATTTCTTTTGGGAGTTTCAGCTTCGCCAGGCCAGTGATTAGTGCTAATGGTTAGTGGAGTGAGAGGTCAGGATAAGCAGTAAGCCTTATCTAGGGGAAATTGAGTTCAAACCAAGAAAAATAATGCTGTTTATGCAAAAAGCAAGAACAAAGTTGAAAATTGGAGATGTCGGCTGGGCATGGTGGCTCATGCCTACAATCCCAGCACTTTTGGAGGCTGAGGAAGGTGGATGGCTTGGGCCCAGAGGTTGGAGACCAGCCTGGGCAATATGTGAGACCCTGTATGTAGCTCACGCCTGTAATCCCAGCACTTTGGGAGGCCAAGGCAGGTGGATCAACTGAGGTGAGGAGTTCGAGACCAGCCTGGCCAACATGGTGAAACCCTGTCTCTATTAAAAATACAAAAATTAGCTGGGCATGGTGGCTGGTGCCTGTAATTTCAGCTACTTGGGAGACTGAGACAGGAGAGTTGCTGGAACCTGGGAGGTGGAGGCAGCAGTGAGCCGAGATTGCGCCATTGCACTCCAGTCTGGGTAACAAGAGCAAGACTCTATCTTAAAAATAAAAATAAAAATAAAAAAATTAGCTGGGCATGGTGGGTGTGTGCTTGTAGTGCCAGCTATTCAGGAGGCTGAGATGGGAGGATTGCTTGAGTCCAGGAGACAGAGGTTGCAGTGAGCCAAGATCATGCCACTGCACTCCAGCATAGGTGACAGAGCCAGATCCTCTCTTAAAAACAAACAAACAAACAAAAAAAACAAAAAAAAATACGAAGAAAAGAAAAAGAAAATTGGAGAGATGTTGCCACAGCAGTTGAGAGCCAGGTAGAAGCAGAATTGAGGGAGCAAAGAATGAGGGCAGGACAAAGCAAAGAGAGAGAAGCCAGGCATTCCCAAGAAGCAGGGTCTATTATCTAAGCTTGGTTTTATTGGATGCTAAGTGCTTTCTGAGTTGAGTTTCAGTTGCCAAGGTTTAAACTGCAACCTGGAGGCTCACAGGTCAAATTCAGCTTGCAAGTCAGAGGTAATAATAAGGTAATGGCTAACATTTACTGAAAACTTACTACACATGAGCCATGCTCCAAATATTTCACATGTATTAGCTCATTGCAATCACTCAGCAATCCTTTGAGATGGATACTACTTAAAGCCTCAGTTTACAAACAGGAAGACTGGGATAACAGCTGGTTACGTTATAGCATTGGTCTTTAAGCCTAGTTAGACTGGTTCCAGAATTGATGCGCTTCACCACCATCAAGGAATAGGGGCCATGTCCTTTATTTGGGAGAACACACACAGGGCTTGGTGACAGAATAAGCCCATACTCTCTCTGTCTGGTGAAGGAGGCAACTCATAAAACAAGGTTCCACCCTTTGACTACCTTCTTTATGCATGTCATGGTCTTGCTTTCACACTGTTTTCTCAAGCATTGTCTTATTACTGTCTTATCTGTCATCAACATATTACCTTCACAGGTTATTTTAAGATAAAATGTCCAATATGTTACTTTAACATTTCTTTGAAAAGACTTTGTTTTCTTTGGCAAACAAATATTTTACCCAATCAGTGTTTTTTAAAACACTGGAAATAGTTGTCAACATTTTAAATTTGGGAGACTTCCCGTAAGAATCCTGACTTCTGGCTTTTCTTGATACATTTCAGGACTCAAGTAAGTTTAGAATGGTGTTCCTGCTGATGACCATCATGGCATCTGGATGAGCAGCTGCTCTTTTTGCAGGGCAGGGGCTGCTTCCCAGGACCCTGCAGTCCCCACCCATCCCCACTGCATTGGCTCATTTATGTCACCTGCCTTACCTTTGGAGGCCTTTGTGATTCCTCATTTAAAGGTCCAGATGGGTTGGTAGCATCAAGAACAGTGGACTGGTGCCAGAATTACACAGAAAGATGTGCAGAAAATGATTTAATTTAAAATTAAAACAGTAGTACTTAAGCAATTGAAACTAAACTATGCAGCTAACTATACCTATTTATGTTTGTAGAGCTTTTGATCCTATATATAAAGCTAACATCTGTTTAACCCTTAATAGTGCAGACAGAATGCTATGCATTCACCAGTTTGGCTCATGTTATGTCAGCACACGTAATATGTGTGCCAGTCCTCTTTTTTCTAGGTGGGGTTCTATGATGTGTTCGGAGGGTAAGTGACACTTGCCATTACCCAGCCTGGCCTCTAAGAAAATCTTCCAGATGTAATTTTTCTCTCTTTTCCTCATCCATGGAATCTTGGATATCATACATTAAAGATGATGGCATTACAAGATAGAAAGAACTAGGTCCTTAAGTGACTACCTGGAGAACAGCCATCTGGCAAGAACCATTTTCAATGGAGAAATAACATTCATTTTGTTCAGCCACTGAAATTGAGGATTGTTTGTTACAACAGCTAGAGGTAATTGACATCACTAATATTCTTGATATTACTCTGTTTTAAGCACTTTTCATGTAGAAACTCATTTAACCCTCATTGCTACCTTATAAGTTCTCCATTATCCCTTATAAGTTCTCTTATATGAGGAAACTGAGGCATCAGGAGGTCGGTAATTTGCCCAAAGTTACAGGGCTAGTCAGTAGCATTGCCAGGATTTGAACACTTGCTGATGGCGCCAAACTTTTACCATTGCCCATACCAGGTCTCAACAAATTTCTGCTGAGCAGAATGAAAGTTCAGGAACAAAGCCAGGCTCTGGGGATGCAAAGTCAATAAAAACACACGGTTCTTATATGTAAGCAGTTCACAGTATAACAGTAGAAACAGTCTCATAAACCAACTCAGTAATCTGACATACTTTTTGAATACATACTATGTCTCAGACGCTGTTGTAGGAGGAAGAGGGTCATCTGTTGTAAAAGACAGTAAAGGGCAAGTAAGGATAGAGATGCAGAGGAAGGAGAGAACCACTTCATGCAGGAAAAGCAAGGGACATTTCTCATAGGAGATGACAGTTCATTTGGCTCCTGAGGGATGCTTAGGCTTTTGCCAGCACTAGACCAATTCTAAGGGCTCTTTAGGCATGCCCTGTTTCTGTTTCTCCTCAACTATACACAACCTGAAGCCCTTTCCCCTTTGACAGCCCTTTTTTTCATCCACTGAAGTGATCCTTACTGCATAGTTATTTTAGGAACAGGAACACAGAACAATTAAAAAAAATCATCAATTACTGTAAATAAACTTGACAGCCAATATTCCTTATGATATCATAAACCCATGCAGCTATTGACTCACTAACAGGTGAATCATTCCCTAGGATCAATGGTGACAATAATGCTTTGCCAAATTTAGAATCATCAAAATAAACATACAAGTACGTAGGGTCAAAACAATTCCTCATATCCACAAGGGAAATTTTCATCAAATTAATGTGCCATGATAAAGCAAAAACAAGTGGGAAAAAATTCACTTCTTCTTGAAATGTACTTTTTTCTTCCTGTAGAGGATTCTAGAATTATTTTCTTTGTTCCTAAACTTTATGGTATTCTGTGCAACAATGATATTAGCTGAGAAAAATGATGACTAGTCAGCATCAATACAGGGTCACTCCTTTCAAGACATTTGTGAAGAAGTTCAATAACCTTTAACATCCCATGACTTCGGCTTGGTTATTGCAGCAATTTTTTGTGTTCCTCAGTTTTTACTGTTTTCCTTGTATTATATAGGCTGTGGTTGCATTTAGGATATTCTCCCCATGAAATGTATAAAATTTAGAAATTTCTCTTTTCGCAGTAGAATTTATAATCAGCTGAAATTTTATATGACCTTATATATTCAAATACTTATTGACATAACATATTTATGTACATGGATATGTGGAGCTATCCACTGCATTTGAATGAGGTCAGTGAGATCTGAGTTCTAATCTTATCTGTGCCTGGCTCTAGACATGGCCAACCTTCCTTACCTCCCTGAGCCTGTTTGCTGACTCACAAAATAGAGTTAGTAGAATTGGAAGAGTATAAATGAATGAAATGGCTGGTTCATAGAGAAAATGTAGATAGGGATGAATAGAATGAAGAAAAAAAAGACACCCAATTTCCTTGGTCATAGTCTTGAATTATTTTCTATCACATACAAAATAAATTTTAAGGTGTAAATTCCTTAGCCGGATGCCAATGTCCTATATATTCCCACCCCAATTTACCTTTCTAATTTTATCTTTCTCTAGTAGTCTGAGGTTAGACTTAAAAGAAATGAGGTTTTGCCCAGAATTTAGCATTTATTAACAGTGTGGTTTGAACAGGCCGTTGAACCTGTCTAAAAACTTTGGTTTTTCTTAACTGAAAAATGTAGATGGTGATTTTTGTAATGGTGAGGGCTGAATGAAACATTTAGCATAGAGCCCTATACATTGTATATAATTCTCCCTCTTTTTTGCTTATATGAAAAGTCCTCTGTAAACTGTAAGACATTTGGAAGGGTTACATGTCACTATTATTCTGAAAGAGCAGTTGGCGTGAGGACCCCTGTCTTTATGCAGCTTCATAGACCCTGTATATACAAATGCCTGGGTAGAACACAGATAAATTTCACTTCCTACTGGTATTGAGTTTCTTAAAGGTAACCATGAGCAAAAATCTACTCCAGTGGAATACACATGAGAACGATGCCATTACAAAATGTAATTATGACAAAAGTTGTGGAACAGAGATTAAAAATTCCATCGTATGGAATATTGCAATTTGTCCAGAAAGTATAGTCAGGAGAAAAAAAAAAAAGGAGAATTCTGCAGAGGACAGGTTTTCCATGGGCTTTTCCCCTGGGTGAGACCAGTGGCATGCCTGGAAAGCCCTCCCTGCAGACAACACTTTGGTCTCACACTGGGCCGGGCCTGGTGGCTCATACCTGTAATCCCAGCACTTTGGGAGGCCCAGGCAGCTGGATCACGAGGTCAGGAGATTGAGACCATCCTGGCTAACACGGTGAAACCTCGTCTCTACTAAAAATGCAAAAATTAGCCGGGCTTGCCTGTGTATCCCTTCTGCCCCACCAATCTTTCTCTCTCTTGAAAGCCTTGTTCAAGAACACTTTGTGTTAAGTCAACTACCCCTTCTTCCTGGACCCAGTAAACACAGTTCTCCACGATCTTTTAGGAAAAAAGCAAATTTGTCCACCATTTAAAGCAGCTTCGGTCTAACCCCATGACATTTATGGGTGTTGGCCAGACTTCACCTAGTAGCTAACAGACATCAGTATTTCAATTCCTTTTAATTTCCTTTTGGTTCAGTTCAACCGACCTGTGAAAAGTACTGACTGATCTTTAATGAGACAGTCAATTCACCTTTTTATTCTAACATCTACAAAGTTTTTCATTTTGGTATTTATAAAAATTACTGTGATAAATCATGTTGAGTTCCAGTTCCATTTCATTTCCTATTAGACCCCATGGCAAACTTTGTCAGACCCACATTCAATCTGTCTTCACCTACCAGACACCTGTGCATCTAAAGAAGGAAAGTAGTCTTTATTTTCCTGGGGGTAAAAAAAGAATTGTTCATTCTCATACATGCATCAGGGAAGGCAGCTCCTCTTAAAAATGCTTCAAATTCTCTATAAGAAGGTGGTTTATGTCCATGCTGATAGGTGACAAGACAAAATAAATATAATAACTGTGGCATTAAGTCATGAGACAACTACTTTTGACTATTTTTTAGGCAATTTAAAATGTATGTTCTGTTTTTTAAAAAAAATAGTAGATTAAAGAAATACACCACTTCTTAAGTTCAGACCAGGTATAGGTAATAAGCTCCGTATACTTATGAAATTTACCCAATTTAATCTTGCCAATTTTATAAGGTAGTGTTGTAGCTATTAAGAAACTTCTCCAAAGCCATGTGCTTGCCAAGTGGTGGAGCTCATTTTGAATCCAGGTCCACTAAATTCCAAAGCCCAAATTATTTTTGATATATTTTGCTAACTATCTCTAACTATAGAAACCTGGAGGCAGTACCAAATTTGTGTTGTGAACTTCTATATCAATCATATTTTTCTGCACAGCTCTCTCTTTTTTTTTATTAGGTTGGTGCAAAAGTAATTGCCATTACTTCAAATGGCAAAAACCACAATTGCTTTTGCACCAACCTAATAAAATGGCTTGGTAATCTTTGATTAATTGGAAAGAACATCAACCTGCTTTTGTAATTCAGACTCTGAAACTTGCTAGCTATGTGATCTCAATCAAGAATCTGTAGATGCTCGAATCCTCAATTTTCTTATCTGTAAAGTGGGGATAACAATATCTGCATTGCAGGGTCATTGTGAATTTGTAAATAATAGATGCAACTCATCCAGGAGAATGTCTGGTGAATTGTTCAACAAAAGACAGTAGTTTTTTGTTGTTGTTGTTGTTGTTTGTTATACTGAGTGGATATTTACCTGGTGACCCTGGAAACAGTTACACAAATTGACGCTAATGTTTTGAACCAGAAAATTAGAAATGTCGCCTTCATAAAAGATCTTATGGAAAAGAAATGGATGATAAATGGTTTCTTCACGCACATAACTACTAGCAACCTGCAAGGCAAATAAGTCTGTAAAATGTTGAAATAACAAATGCATTCCTTTTTTTTTCTTAGGCTTAAAACGCTTAGGGTGAAAATAAATTTGGAGTTTTTCCTGAGCCTTCTTATTCATTTTCTTTAAAAAAATTTATGCCATAAATTTACCAGGTCCTAAACTATAAGTTAGAGTAATTTTTAAAGTGGTAGACCAAATTGTATGTATGCTATGTAGAAGCATTTTTTTCTGAAAACACTAATATTGCTCTAAGTAGTGTCAAAATTGGCTATTTCTGAAAAAGCAGAGAAGAAATGTTGTGAGCATTTTTAATAGCATTTGATAGTACTCTGGCTGAAGACTCAAATTGGGATTATTCTGGATAATAAAAATAAGTGAAAGCAAACAAACATCACCTTGTAGGTATCTTCCCTTTCTCTCCTCTTACTCCTTAGTAGCAGCAAATATGCAGAAGACATTGAAAATTTCAACTGCGGGCTTTTATTGAGTTTTAAATCACTGGAGACGATGCCTAATGAAAATCATTGCACCATGCAACTATAGGAAATCAAACAGGACAAACAATCTAACCTTGAATTTCAGAATCGCTTGTGACCCTCAGAAGTATGTTTTCCTATATTGCTCTATAATAGCACCATGGGGAGGGGTGGGGAAGTTGGGGAGAGGTGGTTAGTTCACAGTGATCTTTGTCACTTCAAGTCTAGCACAAAAGTCTATAGCAGATGTTGGCGTTTTAACCATCATCCTCTTTTAAGTTTTCACAAACAAGCATTTGGCATCTTAATGGATAACGGTCTCCCTCTCTCTCTTCCTGTCTCTGAAAAAAATTCTCAGAAACTCTCAATGGACTGAATTTTATATATGAATTTAAGACTGTAATCAAGTAACTTATTTAAAGTTACATAGCATTTAAGATAAAGAACTCAAACCAAGTCTTTTGACCATCAACCCGTTCCCTTTCCCTACATAAAAAACCTGAAATGAGAGTTAGTTTTGATAAGAGGATGTGTAAAAGGAGTATGTATACTGGGTCCCTAAGGAGTTGCCAGAAGACTAAAGGACAAGAAGACGAAGCCAGTCCACTTTATCCGCATTCCGCTTGAGCAGCTCAGGCTCTGGGCAAATGAGAGTCAAGGTATGCTCTCTGTAGAGCCTGGCAAAGTAGGGGAGTCTCCTAGGGATGAGCAGAATTGCACCCCTGTGTCGCAGTGAGGCTGCAGAAACTACATGGATGACAGCTGCCCTCTGAGTGTTTCCACCTCTGATGATAATAGTACCTGTCTGCCAGGATTGTTATGAGAGTTAGTTGGCCCATATAAAATGCTTAGAACAGGGTCTGGCATAGGAAAAACTTACCAAATTCAGGGTAATACTTTTTAAATTTTATCAAAGAAGGTTTATTCCTTCCCATTATAAGAGTGCACAGTCCATTATTACAGATTTGGAAACACTTATATAGTGCTTAATATGTGCCTCTCACATGTAAACTAATTTCCTAGTAAGCAAATAAGTATTATTACCATCTTCAATTACAGAGAGGTTGTAGAACTTGTCCAAAGTCACACAGTTGGTTTCAGAACCAAGATTCAATTCCAAGAAAAGCCATGAGTCAAACCACTACCTTATGTTCCTTCTCAAATTGAAGGATGAACTAAATATACCTATAATCCCACCACCCAGAGATTAATTTTGTTTCTGTGTTCATTCACCTTCTTTTCCCCCAATGTTAGTTTATTTTAAAGATAGCCTATTTTTACTTTTATTTGATTATTTTTTTACATCATGAGGATCATACTCAATGATTTCAAGGTAGGGGAAGTACAGGAACATCTTCGATTAGTAACCTACTACCTCCTAGCCATCATGTTGAGTGTCCTACATAAATTTTCCAATTTTCTTCCTACTAACCCTGGCAGGTAGGTCTTCCTTTCTCCACTTTTGGAAGAAAAAAAATTTTTTAAGTATTATTCTTATAGGCTTCTCACTCAAAAATAACCATGCAATAGAGATTTATTTTCACAGTAATTTAGAAGCAACAGGCCAGGCGCGGTGGCTCACGCCTGTAATCCCAGCACTTTGGGAGACCAAGAGGGGGTGGATCACGAGGTCAGGAGATCGAGACCATTCTCGCTAACATGGTGAAAGCCCCTCTCTACTAAAAATACAAAAAAATTAGCCAGGCGTGGTGGTGGGCACCTGTAGTCCCAGCTACTCGGGAGGCTGAGGCAGGAGACTGGCATGAACCCAGGAGGCAGAGCTTACAGGGAGCCGAGATTGCGCCACTGCACTCCAGCCTGGGCGACAGAGCGAGACTGTCTCAAAGAAAGAAAAAAGAAGCAACAAGGGCCACATGTCTTGCTTCCCTACTGCCTCCCCCACCCCCACCACCAACCTGCATAGTGTTTTAAACAAGCATTTTTTCTATTGGCTTCTCTTTTCCGTTTATCTCCCTCAAACAGTAGAAGTGACAGAGTCAATGTTTCTGAGCCAATTCGTTCGTTAGTATCCTGCTTTGCAATGCATGCAACTCTCTGTCTGCAAGAGCTTCCCTAACCCTGTTGATCCTTGTGACTGTTTCCATCTCCATGAGTCACCCACATATCAATATTTTTCTCTGGTGGCACCCAATTTGCAGAGGGAAATTAACTCTCGGCTACACAAATTGGATTGAGAGGACATCCCTGATCCATTTTAAGTGAATTGGGACTTAAAATTTTAAAAACACAGTGTGATTGAGCATAGACAATATGAAGGAATGCAGTTAGAATTTTGTGGATATAATATAGAAACTACAAGAGAGAATCACACTGGACATCTGACTGATTAGGTTGAGAGTATAGAAAATGTACTTTTTAAACTAATGTGCATAAGGTTATTGAAAATAGGTGTAAACAGCAATGTAATAATAATGATAATAATAATAAATCGCAGTTATCTCAAGGGCTTACTATATTACCTATTTTTATTTTTATAACCACTCTAGGTATAATTATACCCCAGAGGAGGAAGATGAGACTTTATGTAATTTAAAGCTTAGGTAACTTACAAGCAATTATAGCTTGTAAGTGTCAGAGCTGGGGAACTTTTTTTGTTTTTTAATGAACACATTTAGTGACCTCTAGAATATAAGCTCCATGAGGGTAAAGATGGTTTTTCTGTTTTGTTTTCTGCTGTGTCCTAGAGGCAAATGCCTGTCATGGATTTACAGTTAAGAAGCTTTCAGAGACCAGGCATGGTGGCTCATGCCTATAATTCCAGCACTTTTGGGGAAGCCAAGGTGGGCGGATCACTTGGGGCCAGGAGTTTGAGACCAGTCTGGGCAACACAGTGAAACCCCATCTCTGTAAGAAATGAAAAAACATTAGCCAGGCATGGTGACATGTGCCTGTAGTTCTAGGTACTTCAGAGGCTGAGGTGGGAGTATTGCTTAAACCTGGGAGGCGGAGGCTGCAGTGAGCCATCATCACGCCACTGCACTCCAGCCTGGGTGACAGACAGAGCAGAAACCTCATCTCAAAGAAAAAAAAGAAGAAGAAGAAAAAGAAAAGAAACATTCACAGTCAGATTTCTGTCATTCAATAGACTGGCCAATCCCTGTTATTTTTGTTTGCTCTTCAGAGTCAAGGATGATGTTGTTGCCATGTTTTTGAGCCAAAATTTTCAGCTATTCTCACTGGTAGCAGTAACTCGAGGGCAGAGATAAAACTCTACAATAAATTGTATGGACAGGTCCAAACAACTAGAGAGGCTGTAAGCACCTGAAGGATGTCAGTATGAGCAGAGTTCAGCTGCCGTCACAAAATGGAGGAGCGATAGCAGTAGTTAAATGCATTTGCAATGTGTACTCTTATGAAATGATCATACAGCACAAATGGCCTCTATAGAGATAATGAGAAAAGCATCTTTTTTACTTATTCTATGTTTCTAGAATTTAGGATAATGGTGATTGCATACAAAATGTTTTGAAGGGTTATTTAATGCCATTCTTCCAAATGAGATTCCTCAATTCTTATTCCTGTGGCTCATTGAAAGGAACACAGATAATGGCCTGTTGTGGAAACTGTGATTGAATGCTTCATGAATCATCCCAGGCTCTTGGACCTTGAACTTGTGCAGACAACTGTCTGGAATTTTTCTATTGAAGCTGTAGCTACTGGGAGAGGGAAAGGAATTGGCATGGTTATTAATAGGATTTCGAGTTCACAGAGGAAGAAAGTGTATCCTATATATAATACAGACTAGGAATGATCTTTGGCCAATGATTGGAGAATAGAATTTGGCTCTGAATGTTGAGGTTCCATGACCTTTTCTAATTCGCTATAAAATTTCATGACTCCTATAGTAAAATAAATTTAAAATTTATATATGAATGGCTGTGGTTTACTGTAAGATATATATCATGACTATAAGATCAATGATAGTCATAAGGCCCATTCAAGCAACTCACAGGGTCAACACTATATGTCACTTAGAAGTATGATACAACCTGGCCTAGGGATTTCCAACCCTGGCCCAGGGATTTCCCAGAGACAAGGTCACCTTGGCACAGATGCAACTTTCACAATCCTTAGAACAAAGTTTACCCTTACAAGAATAACTTAATCTCCCTTTATGAAAGAAACATCTGGTAACTGACCTGAATTGCATACAGGTATAAGAGAGGAAGAAGGATCCCCCCAAACTCTGAGAATGGTCTCTGGATGAAGACCCTACTTGTCTGTCAGTCATCTGCCCCCTGACTGTATGAGGCCCATGATACTGGCCTGCATCTGCTATCCTCTGGTTAGAGTGCTGCCAGAATAAACTGCTTGAGATGTGTTGAAGATTCCTCTTCGATGTGAAGTAAATGGAAGGGGATAAGTCGCTTTGGGAAAGCTGCTTAACTAAGACCACCTAAAACCTCTGATCATGACAACGGCTCATTATTTTCTTTTTGCATAAAATTAGAGTAGAAACATAAAAAGTCATTGAGACTTTGAACTTTTTCTTTATTCAAGGGAAGGCTGATAAGGACATGGGTTTTGGAGGCAGAAAGTCCTAGGTTCAAGTCCAGCTCTTCAATTCACTTCCTGAGTAAACCTCAGCAAGTAACATCAATTCATTCAGTTTCCTCATCTGTAATTTGAAAGCTTGAATACTAGTTTCAGGCACACATTGATGGGGTGTGTGTATGTATGTGTGTGTGTGTGTATATATATATATATATATAGCTACACGATCAATATGTATATATGTGTGTATATATGTACATATATATAATGGGTATATATACATGTAATCAATATATAGTCAAATATATATATTTAAATAAATATATTCCTTTGGGGGTTGTTTTGAGTATTAGAGAAAATTTTATATAAATTACTTAACCCATTATAGACACATTGCATTTTCTTTAATAGACGTAATAAATATTAAGGACAAAAATATGTCATTTCCATCACCAATAGTATCAAATTCACGTTTTAAAATGAGAAACTTCGATGGGCTGGCAAGATGGCCGAATAGGAACAACTCCGGTCTGCAGCTCCCAGCAAGATCAACAGAGAAGGCAGGTGATTTCTGCATTTTCATCTGAGGTACACAGGTCATCTCACTGGGACTGGTTAGACAATGGGTGCGGCCCATGGAGGGCAAGCAGAAGCAGGGTGGAGTGTCACCTCACCAGGGAAGTGGAAGGGATCCAGGAACTCCCTCCCCTAGCCAAGGGTAGCCTGGTGGACTGTGCTGTGAGGAACGGCACATTCCAGCCCAGATACTGTGCTTTTTCCACAGTCTTCACAACCCGTAGAACTGGAGATTCCCTCGGGTGCCTACACCACCAGGGCCCTGGGTTTCAAGCCCAAAACTGGGCAGCTGTTGGGGCAGACACCAAGCTAGCTGCAGTTTTTTAAATACCCCAGTGGTGCCTGCAACGCCAGCGAGACAGAACCATTCACTCCCCTGGAAAGGGGGCTGAAACAAGGGAACCAAGTGGTCTAGCTCAGGAGATCCCACCCCCATGGAGCCCAGCAAGCTAAGATCCACTGGCTTGAAATTCTTGCTGCCAGCACAGCAGTCTGAAGTCGACCTGGGACACTGGAGCTTGGTAGGGGGAGGGGCGTCTGCCATTACTGAGGCTTGAGTAGGCCGTTTTCCCCTCACAGTGTAAACAAAGCCACTGGGAAGTTCGAACAGGGTGGAGCCCACTGCAGCTTCACAAAGCCCCTGTAGCCAGACTGCCTTTCTAGATTCTTCCTCTCTTGGCAGGGCATCTCTGAAAGAAAGGCAGACGCCCCAGTCAGGGGCTTATAGATAAAACTCCCATCTCCTGGGACAGAGCACCTGGAGGAAGGGGCGGCTGTGGGCCCAGCTTCAGCAGACTTAAACTTTCCTGCCTGCTGGCTATGAAGAGAGCAGCAGATCTCCCAGGAGAGTGCTCAAGCTCTGCTAAGGGACAGACTGCCTCATCAAGTGGGTTCCTGACCCCCGTGCCTTTTGACTGGGAGACACCTCCAAGCAGGGGTCAACAGACACCACATACAGGAGAGCTCCAGCTGGCATCTGGCAGGTGCCACTCTGGGATGAAGCTTTCAGAGGAAGGAACAGGCAGCAATCTTTGCTCTTTTGCAGCCTTCGCTGATGATACCCAGGCAAACAGGGTCGGGAGTGTACCTCCAGCAAACTCCAGCAGACCTTCAGCAGAGGGCCCTGACAGTTAGGAGGAAAACTAACAAACAGAAAGGAATAGGATCAAGATCAACAAAAAGGACGTCCACACAGAAACCCCATCTGAAGGTCACCAACATCAAAGATCAAAGGTAGATAAATCCATGAAGATGCAGGAAAAAAAAAAAAAAGCAGCACAAAAAGTTTGAAAATTCCAAAAACCAGAACACCTCTTCTCCTCCAAAGGATCACAACTCCTCACCAGCAAGGGAACAAAACTGGATGGAGAATGAGTTTGATAAATTGACAGAAGTAGGCTTCAGAAGGTGGATAATAACAAATGCGTCCGAGCTAAAGGAGCATGTTCTAACCCAATGCAAAGAAGCTAAGAACCTTGAAAAAAGGTTAGAGGAATTGCTAACTAGAATAACCAGTTTAGAGAAGAACATAAATGACCTGATGGAGCTGCAAAACACAGCACGAGAACTTCGTGAAGCATACACAAGTATCAGTAGCCAAATTGATCAAGCAAAAGAAAGGATATCAGAGATTCAAGATCAACTTAATGAAATAAAGCATGAAGACAAGATTAGAGAAAAAAGAATGAAAATAAATGAACATAGCCTCCAGGAAATATGGGACTATGTGAAAAGACCAAACCTATGTTTGATTCATGTACCTGAAAGTGACAGGGAGAATGGAACCAAGTTGGAAAACACTCTTCAGGGTATTATCCAGGAGAACTTCTCCAACCTAGCAAGACAGGCCAGCATTCAAATTCAGGAAATACAGAGAACACCACAAAGATACTCCTTGAGAAGAGCAACCCCAAGACACATAATCATCAGGTTTACCAAGGTTGAAATGAAGGCAAACATGTTAAGGACAGCCAGAGAGAAAGGCCAAGTTACCAACAAAGGGATGCCCATCAGACTAACAGTGGATCTCTTGGCAGAAACCTGCAAGCCAGAGGAGAGTGGGAGCCAATATTCAACATCTGTAAAGAAAAGAATTTTCAACCCAGAATTTCATATCCAGCCAAACTAAGCTTCATAAGCGAAGAAGAAATAAAACCCTTACAGATAAGCAAATGCTGAGAGATTTTGTCACCACCAGGACTGCCTTACAAGAGCTCCTGAAGGAAGCACTAAATATGGAAAAGAAAAACCGGTACCAGCCACTGCAAAAACATACCAAATTGTAAAGACCATCAACACTATGAAGAAACTGCATCAACTAACGGGGAAAGTAACCAGCTAGCATCATAATGACAGGATCCAATTCACACATAACAATATTAACCTTAAATGTAAGTGGACTAAATGCCCCAGTTAAAAGACACAGACTGGCAGATTGGATAAAGAGTCAAGACCCATCAGTGTGCTTTATTCAGGAGATCCATCTCATTTGCAAAGACACACATAGGCTCAAAATAAAGGGATGCAGGAATATTTACCAAGCAAATGGAAAGCAGGAAAAAGCAGGGGTTGCAATCCTAGTCTCTGACAAAACAGACTTTAAACCAACATAGATCAAAAAAGACAATGGCAGTACATAATGGTAAAAGGATCAATGCAACAAGAAAAGCTAACTATCCTAAATATATATGCACCCAATACAGGAGCACCCAGATTAACTAAGCAAGTTCTTAGAGACCTACAAAGAGACTTAGATTCCCAAACAATAATAGTGGGAGACTTTAGCACCCTACTGTCAATATTAGACAGATCAACAAGACAGAAAATTAACAAGTATATTCAGGACTTGAATCCAGCTCTGGACCAAGTGAACCTAATAGACATCTACAGAACTCTCCATCCCAAATCAACAGAATATACATTCTTCTCAGTACCACATCAAACTTATTCTAAAATTGATCACATAATTGGAAGTAAAACATTCCTCAGCAAATGTAAAAGAATGGAAATCATAACAAACAATCTGTCAGACTACAGTGCAATCAAATTAGAACTGAGGATTAAGAAACTCACTCAAAACCATACAACTGTATGGAAACTGAACAACCAGCTCCTGAATGACTACTGGGTAAATAACGAAATTAAGGCAGAAATAAATAAGTTATTTGAAACCAATGAGAACAAAGACTCAACGTACCAGAATCTCTGAGACACAGCTAAAGCAGTGTTTAGAGGGAAATTTATACCACTAAATACCCACAGAAGAAAGTGGGAAAGATCTAAAATTGACACCATAACATTACAATGAAAAGAACTAGAGAAGCAAGAGCAAACAAATTCAAAAGCTAGCAGAAGACAAGAAATAACTAAGATCAGAGCAGAACTGAAGGAGATAGAGACAGAAAACACCCTTCAAAAAATCAATGAATCCAGGCACTGTTTCTTTTTTAAGATTAACAAAATAGACCACTAGCCAGACTAACAAAGTAATAAAGAAGAAAAGACAGAAGAATCAAATAGACACAGTAAACAATGATAAAGGGGATATCACCACTGATGCCACAGAAATACAAACTACCATCAGAGAATACTGTAAACACCTCTATGCAAATAAACTAGAAAATCTAGAAGAAATTGATAAATTCCTGGAGACATGCACTCTCCCAAGACTAAACCAGGAAGAAGTTGAATCCCTGAATAGGCCACTAACAAGTTTTGAAATTGAGGGAGTAATTAGTAGCCTACCAATCAAAAAAAGCTCAGGACCAGATGGATTCACAGCTGAATTCTACCAGAGGTACAAAGAGGAGCTGGTACCATTCCTTTTGAAACTATTCCAAAGCATAGTAAACGAAGGACTCCTTCCTAACTCATTTGATGAGGTCAGCGTCATCCTGATACCAAAACCTTTCAGAGACACAACAAAAATAGAACATTTCAGGCCAATATCCCTGATGAACATCGATGCAAAAATCCTCAATAAAATATTGGCAAACAGAATCCAACAGCACATCGAAAAGCTTATCCAACGCAATCAAGTCAGCTTCATCCCTGTGATGCAAGTCTGGTTCAACATATGCAAATCAATAAATGTAATCCATCTCATAAACAGAACCAATGACAAAAACCACATGATTATCTAAATAGATGCAGAAAAGGCCTTTGATAAAATTCAACACCCCTTCATGCTAAAAACTCTCAATGAACTAGGTATTGATGGAACGTATCTCAAAATAATGAGAACTATTTATGAGAAATCCACAGCCAATATTATACTGAATGATCAAAAGCTGGAAGCATTCCCTTTGAAAACCGGCACAAGACAAGGATGCCCTCTCTCACCACTCCTATTCAACACAGTATTGGAAGTTCTGGCCATGGCAATCAGGAAAGAGAAAGAAATAAAAGGTATTCAAATAGGAAGAGAGGAAGGTAAATTGTCTCTGTTTGAAGATGACATGATTGTATACTTAGAAAACCCATCGTCTCAGCCCTAAATCTCCTTAAGCTAATAAGCAACTTCAGCAAAGTCTCAGGATACAGTCAATGTGCAAAAATCACAAGCATTCCTATACAGCAATAATAGACAAACAGAGAGCCAAATCATAAGCGAACTCCTGTTCACAATTGCTACAAAGAGGATAAAATACCTAGGAATACAGCTTACAAGGATGTGAATGACCTCTTCAAGGAGAACTACAAACCACTGCTCAAAGAAAAAGAGGACACAAACAAATGGAAAAATATTCCTTGCTCATGGACAGGAAGAATCAATATCATGAAAATGGCCATACTGCCCAAAGTAATTTATAGATTCAATGCTATCCCCATCAAGCTACCATTGACTTTCTTCACAGAATTAGAAAAAAAACTACTTTAAATTTCATATGGAACCAAAAAAGAGCTTGTATAGCCAAGACAATTCTAAGCAAAAAGAACAAAGCTGGAGGCATCAAGCTATCTGACCTCAAACTATACTGCAAGGCTACAGTAACCAAAACAGCATGGTACTGGTACCAAAACAGATATATAGACCAATGGAACAGCACAGAGGCCTCAGAAATAATGCCACACATCTACAATCATCTGATCTTTGACAAACCTGAGAAAAAACAGGCAATGGGGAAAGGATTCCCTATTTAATAAATGGTGTTGGGAAAACTGGCTAGCCATATGCTGGAAACAGAAACTGGACCCCTTCCTTACACCTTATACAAAAATTAATTCAAGATGGATTAAAGACTTAAATGTAAGACCTACAGCCATCAAAAACCCTAGAAGAATACCTAGGCAATACCATTTAGGACATAGACATGGGCAAAGACTACATTACTAAAACACCAAAAGCAATGGCAACATAAGCCAAAATTGACAAATGTGATCTAATTAAACTAAAGAGCTTCTGCACAGCAAAAGAAACTATCATCAGAGAGAACAGGCAACCTACAGAATTGGAGAAAACTTTTGCAATCTATCCATCTAACAAAGGGCTAATATCCAGAATCTACAAGGAACTTAATAAAATTTATAAGAAAATAACAACCCCATCAAAAATTGGGCAAAGGATACGAACAGACACTCCTCAAAAGAAGACATTTATGCAGCCAACAAACATATGAAAAAAAAGCTCATCATCACTGGTCATTAGAGAAATGCAAATCAAAACTACAATAAGATACCATCTCACACCAGTTAGAATGGTGATCATTAAAAAGCCAGGAAACAACAGATGCTGGAGAGGCTGTTACACTGTTGGTGCGAGTGTACATTAGTTCAACCATTGTGGAAGACAGTGTGGCAATTCCTCAAGGATCTAGAACCAGAAGTACCATTTGACCTAGCAATCCCATTACTGAGTATATACCTAAAGGATTATAAATCATTCTACTATAAAGACACATGCACAAGTATGTTTATTGCAGCACTGTTCACAATAGCAAAGACTTGGAACCAACCCAAACGTCCATCAGTGATAGACTGGATAAAGAAAATATGGCACATATCCACCATGGAATACAATGTAGCCATAAAAAAGGATGAGTTCATATCCTTTGCAGGGACATGGATGAAGCTGGAAACCATCATTCTCAGCAAAGTAACACAGGAACAGACAATCAAACACTGCATTTTCTCACTCATAAGTGGGAGTTGAACAATGAGAACACATGGACACAGGTAGGGGACTATCACACTCGGGGGCCTGTCAGGGGGTGGGGGGCTAGGGGAGGGATAGCATTAGGAGAAATACCTAATATAGATGATAGGTTGATGGGTGCAGCAAACCACCATGGCACATGTATACCTATGTAACAAGCCTGCATGTCCTGCACATGTATCCCAGAACTTAAAGTATAAAAAATAAATACGTAAATAAATAACATAAAATATAAAATAAAGAGAAAGTTTTTGAAAATTTATATGCTTAAAGTGTTGGGCAAAGAATAGTAGTAAGCAAAGCATAAAAGAAGAAATGTAAATGGACAATATACTTATGAAGAATCCTTTAACCTCGCTTGTTGCCTGGGAGAGGGAAAGTTAAAAAATAAAACACTTTTTTCCTTAAATATATGGGAAAAATAAAATTATTTGATAGCGTCTTACAATAAAGACAATATGAGAATATGCAGTGTAAATTGTTATGTTTTATGGAAAGTAAGGCAATATTTATTAAAGATAAAAAGTAAACATACACTTTGACATAGCAATCTCACTTTGGCGATCAATTCTATAAACTTTAAAAAAACAGCAGAAGATGACATTCTCGACCATAAAACAGCTCTTTTAATACATTTAAAAGGATTGAAATCACATAATACATTCTATGACAACATAAATTCAAAATCAACAAAAGAAAGTATCAAGAATATAACTAAATATTTAAAAATTAACTGACACACTTCTAAATAACTGATCAAAAGTAAAATCACAAGAAAGATTAGAAGACATATATATATATATATATATTTTTTAGATGGAGTCTCGCTCCGTCACTCAAGCTGGAGTGCAGTGGCATAATCTTGGCTCACTGCAACCTCCCTCCCTCAAGCGATTCTCCTGCTTCAGCCTCCTAAGTAGCTGGGATTACAGGTGCATGCCACCACACCCAGCTTATTTTTGTAGTTTTTAGTAGAGACAGGGTTTCACCATGTTGGCCAGGTTGGTCTTGAACTCCTGACCTCAAGTGATCTGCCCGCCTCAGCCTCCCAAGGTGCTAGGATTATAGGTGTGAGCCACCACGTTTGGCTGATATTTTGAAGTGAATAGAGACAAAAACATAATATTAGATTTCACTGATGTAGGTACCAAAATTTTTGTGATGTTTATAACATGAAAACCTACATTAGAGAAAATTTAAAAGATCTCAAAAAATTATCTAAGCTTTCACCAGAAGAAACTTAAAAAAAAAACAACACTAAGTATAATAAAAGAAATAATAAAGATGAGTGAAATCAAGGAAAATTAGACAAACAATAGAGAAGATAAGTGAAACTAAAAGCTGGTTTATTGAAAAAAGTAATACAATTGATGAAACTTTATTTAGACTAATCCAGAAAACAAAAAAACAGAGAAGACACAAATTACTAACATGAAGCATTGAAGGAAGGGATGTCACTACAGATTCTATAAACATTAAAGAACAATAAAAATTATAAAAATCTTCATGTCAATACATTTGACAACTTATATAAGATGGACAAATTCTTTAAAAAAGACAAAGTGCCAAGCCTTACTAAGGTTAAATATAGTTAACCTGAATAACCCTATTGTTATTTATAAAATTATATTTACATTTAAATTCTTTCCACAAAGACGACTCCAGGCCCAGATGGCTTCACTAGTGAATTCTCTCAGCATTTAAAGAAGAAAAAAAAAATAGCAATTTTGTATGCTGTTCCAGAAAACAGAAGAGGTGGGGAAACTTTCCAATTTACTTTATGAGGTGAGTATAACCACGATATCAAAACAGAGCCAAGTCATTATGAGAGAAGAACAGCACTGACCAATATAATAAAATCCAACAATATCTAAAATAAGTTATCATGATCAACTAAGGTTTATTCTAAAAATTCTAGGTTGGTATAACATTTGGGAACAAATTAGTAAAATTCACCAAATTAATGAATTAAAATTAAAAGTGCTAATTTCAATAGAAGAAAATGGTATTGACAAAATTCAACACTCATTCAAAATTCTTTAAAAACTGCAGCAAATTAGAAATTTTAAGAAACTTTCTCAACCTAATGAAAGATATCTATGAAAAAACAGCAAATAGCATCATACTTATTAGTGAAGGACTTAATGTTTTCCCTCTAAGATCAGGTACAAGGCAAGGATATCACACTCACTAATTCTGTTCAACATGGTGCTAGGGGTCCTAGTCAGTACAATAAAGCAAGAAAAAAATGCATATGGATTGGAGAGGAAAAAGTAATGCTATTTTTTTCTCTTATGTAACAATAAGTTTGAAAATGAAAAATTTTAAAGAATCTACAAAAAGATTAACTGAGGTCACATGGTTACAGTATACAGGGTCAGTATACAGAAGTCAATTGTGTTTATCTAAGCAACACGTAATTAAAAACTGAAATTTGAACATACTTTTAATAGCATAAAAACAAAATTATCAGATAAATTTAATAATATCAGTGTTCCTGGCCTGTACACTGAAAACTGCAAAACCTTCCTAAAAAGAATTTAAAAAGATGATCTAAATAAATTGAGAGAGATGCTGCCGATGGCAAAATTCCAATCAACAGAGTCTTCCAGTCAACAAAATGAAATCAACAATATGGAAGTATATTAGGATGTAATTTCTCCTCAAATATCTATGGATTTGATGCTATCCCAATCAATTCCCAGGGGGTGCTTCTATAAAATTAATTTCAAAATTATATGGAAGTGCAAAGGACTTAGAATCGCAGAGACAACCTTGGAATAGAACAAAGTAGGACACAAAAGGCACAAGCCCTAAAAGAAAAGTTGCTAAGTTGTATTTCTTCAAAAGTGTAAACTTCTGCTCTTCAAAAGCCACCTGTTAAGAGAATGAAAAGGCAAGCCACAGATTAATAGAATATTTCTAGTAGACAACTGGTTTGTGATTTGTAAAAGTTAAGTGTAATAAGCTATACACAAAAGCTATGAACTATATGCTTTTATTTATTTGGAATTTTAGAAATGGCACAAACTATAGTCAAAAAAACAGATCAGTGGTTGCTGAGGGCTAGGGTGCAAAGAGACACAAGGAACCCTTTTGGGGGTGGTGGATGTGGTCTGTATTTTTATTGGGGTGGTATTTATATGACCGTATATATTTTGTACATGTTATTGTTAAAACATATCAAACTGTGCACTTAAAATGGGTGGATTTCATTGACTATAAACTATGCCTCAATAAAACTTATTAAAACAAAAAGCACTTTTATCTAAGGAGAGATATATGGTGATTTTTAAAGGTAAAAAAAACAAAAATAAGCATAAAATTAAGTCTATAATCTGATTGTTCCTCTGTAATAGATCATTGAATACATTACAGTACATTAAATACATGTAACATTATGTAGCTTTTAAAAAAGTGTTACATCCATATTAATGGTCTTGAGATAAATTCATGATATTTTGCGGAAATCCAAAGTGATATGTGATGTATATACCCCTTTTATTATTAGGAAGAAATCAACTCGATATAGAAACATAGTTAATGTTTATTACTTTAGAATGCTGAGACTAAAGGTAGAGAACAGGGGAGGTTATTACGTTTTTTATTCATGCATTTGTGCATTTTTTTTTATAAAATCATATAATACTTTTACAATTCAAGATGTTTTAATAAAATTAAGAAAAGTAAAAAACTTGCCTCTTTCTGAAGGACTTCTATTTTTAATATTACTACAAGTAGTCATTTATAGTGCTTATGTATCTACATTGTTCTGCAAATCCATTGCATCTTATTTTAGTTGGTTTTCATGACTGACTCTTACTAGACCGTGATCCCCGGGAAGGCAGGGCAACTCATATTTATCTTTTCCGCTCTGGGACCATTCATTTGTCAACACTTTGTTGAGTACCTACAAAGTGCTAGTCACTGGTCACACAGTGGGCATATTTTCCAGCATGTAATAGATCCTCAACGCCTCTGAATTGCTGAATGAATTCAGATATGTTATTTGATAGGAGCAAAACAAATAGACCACTTGAATGAATATTGAATGAGTATTGAATGAATATACCACTTGCCCCTTTAACAACAGTTTTAAATAATGAAAGACTATACTGTAATATCTGTCCACTCATCATCTGGTTTAAAGTAGAATTTGGCTCTGCAATTTGAGTGTGAAAAGGGAATTTGAGAAATGAAAAATTACATAAAAGTCCAATTTAAATTGTTTTAAAAAGAAGCCATATGTTCTATATTTGATGCTCACTGTTCCCTCCCACCTCCTTAAGACTGTAATAATTCCCACATCCTTAAGATTTATAATCATAAATCACAAACCTAGTAGAATTTACCTTTGGCAAAGTTTAGGTATATAAACCTATCAGTATCCAGGTAGGGGAAGTCTAATCCTTATAAGCCAGTGTGCAAAAATCAAGTTTAACCCTTGAGATGGAACATGAACTCTTTCCAATTCTACAGGCCAGATGGCCCTAAAGATGCCCAACTCACATTCATAGTCACTGTCTGTACCTATAACCTCTGTTTCATAAATGACATTGTATTAGTCTATTCTCATGGTGCTAATAAAGACATACCCAAGACTGGGTAATTTTTAAAGGAAAGAGGTTTGATTGACTCACAGGTCCACATGGATGGGGAGGCCTCACAATCATGGCTGAAGGTGAAAGACGAGCAAAGTCATGTCCTCCATGGTGGCAGGCAAGAGGCCTGTGCAGGGGAACTGCCCTTTTATAAAACCATAAGTTACTGTGAGACTTATTCACTATCATAACAACAGCATGGAAAAACCTGCCCCCATGATTCAATCACCTCCATGGGGATTATTGGAGCTACAATTTAAGATGAGATTTGGGTTGGAACAGCGAAACCATATCAGACATGCTGCAACGAAGTGAAAAACCAGCACTCCCGACACCCCACAAATAAACATAGCGTCGTGGTTAAAGTATGAATTCCAGAGCCTGCCTGGTTTTGGAGTGCAAGCTCCATCATTTACTATCTCTGTGCCCTTGGGTAAATTAATCTCTTTGTGCCTTAGTTTTTACCTCTGAAAACTGAGAATAATGAAAGTATCCACGTCATAAGGTTGTATAAGAGTTAATGAATTAGGCTGGGCGCGGTGGCTCATGCCTGTTATCCCAGCACTTTGGGAGACTGAGGCAGGCAGATCACCTAAGGTCAGGAGTTCAAGATCAGCCTGACCAACATCGAGAAACCCTGTCTCTAATAAAAATACAAAATCAGCCAGGTGTGGTGGTGCATGCCTTTAATCCCAGCTACTCGGGAGGCTGAGGCAGGAGAATTGCTTGAACCCAGGAGGCAGAAGCTGCAGTGAGCCAAGATCATGCCATGGCATGCCAGCCTGGGCAACAAGAGCAAAACTCCATCTCAAAAAAAAAAAAAAGTTAATGAATTAATAGTTGTGAATTTCTGTAAACAATTCTTGACTCATGAGAAGTATGTGATAAAGAAAGAAAAATATCACTGTGCCTGGTCAGCCTGCTGGGCCTGATTTATACCTCTGTTAATGAACATCTTAGGAAAGCCAGCCCATGCAGGGGGTTGGGGAATATAATCTTGGACCTAACTTGACTTCTGTCCCACTTAGCCTTGATATTTTTACCTCCCTGCTCGTAACCAAGGGTGTCTACTCCAGAAACGCCAATTAAAGAAACTTCTAAATGAAAATGTTCTGAAGAAGAAAATGTAAACGAGGCTGCCCCTTGCCAAATTTCTTCATTCTAGGATTCTGGGGCTGGGACTTTGTCACAAATTTGAGCAGTGGTGTTATAAAACAGACTGACAAGGCTGTGAATTGCAACACTACATCAAGCTGGAGTCCTAAGCTGTTATACTTTTTTTTTTTTTGCTTTGGGTTTTTACCCCATATGCTTACCATTTCTGCAGATGTACTTTCATGCATTGAGATTCCTATTTCCCAAGGAAAAAAATTACCGAGGTTTAAGTCAGTCAGGATTTTGCTGTCTTAGGGCAAGTGTGTTATGGCATTTGGGAATTAATAGGGTGAGAGCCGCAGGAAGAAAATCTATGTGTCTCTTTGCTCCATTCCATTTCTGAAATCTGCTTGTAGCAGCATTATTTTAGCCTATTTTTAGTTTCATTTAATTTAATTTAATTTAATTTTTTTGAGACAGAGTCTTGCTCTGTCACCCAGGCAGGAGTGCAGTGGTGGGATCTGGGCTCACTGCAACCTCTGCCACCAGGGTTCAAGCAATTCTCCTGCCTTAGCCTCCTGAGTAGCTGGGATTACAGGAGTACATCACCACACCTGGCTAATTTTTGTTTTTTTTTTAGTAGAGTCAAGGTTTCAACATGCTGGTTTTGAACTTCTGACCTCAAGTGATCCGCCTGCCTCGGCCTCCCAAAGTGCTGGGATTACAGGCGTGAATCACTACGCCTGGCCCCTACTTTAGATTTTCATTATCCTGTGAGTCTTCTGAGGGAACTATGCTTTGTTTATCCTTTAATAATAAATGGTAACCATAATAATGACAACAGGTAATATTTACTACATGTCAGATATTGTGCTGAGTTCCTTCTGTGCATTATCTTATTTAACATGTGCAATAATACTAACTGTTACTTTTACTTCAGTTTAACAGATGGGAAAGCTGAGGCTGAAAAAAAAAAGGCTCAAGATCAGTCACATGACTAATTGGCAGAGTCAGGTTTGGGACCAAGGTTTGTCCCGCTTTGAAGTGCATGCTGTTGGTTGGTAGGCAACCTGTGGTTCTCACATAGGATACAGCTTTGTGCCAGGTACCTAGTTAAGAGCTCAAAAAAAATGAGTCTCTGCTCAGAGGCAACTGGATAGAAAGACCACAATTAAGAGAAGCATATGACAGCAGCTCATTAGGGTAATTTGTGTTCTCCACTTTTAAAGAATATATGCATATGTATGCACTCCTGTGTATCATTTCAGTTATTGAAATTTACTAGTTTTATGTTGAAAAGCATTTCAGAATAATGGGACAGCAGGAAGTTTGTTGTATCACAATCGCAGAGATTATGAAGAAAACATTTTCAAACCCCATTGGCTGGTCTTGCTGACCACATGAAGTTGTTCTATGGTGGATAACTGCAAAGTCATGGGAGGGCCTAGCCTATTGTTCAAAGGACTTGGATTGATTCTGGATCCGCTACTTAAGTTTCATTGTCCTCAGACAAGGGATTCAACTTCTTTGTTGTTAATTTCCTCATCTGTGAAATGGAGGTAATAGTGAGGGCCACACAAATCAGTTTATATGAAAGCACGGTTAGGACATAAGGCACTTTACTCATGTAAGTCTCAATCTGATTCTTTTTCCCATTAGGTCTAAGGCATTGGGAACAGTGTAGATTCATGTCCTTACTGAGACATAGAAAGTAGATGAGAGATACATAAGACAGGTGTACAAGAAGAATAAAAAGGAGGCATATTTCCCTTGAACAACACAAAATGCAGCTCAGTCACTCTTCTGACACCACACACTGCCCCTTTTCTAATTTCCTGGGTGAGAACTGGCAGTTTGTTGAGAGGAGAAAGGAGGGGCAGAGAACTGGAGCCACTCAGATTAATGCAGGTGTGGCTGAGAGGAGCCAGGGGAGGTTCAACTCCAGGGATGAAGGTGGTGGATTTTTGAAGGATGTTTAAAAGAGTCTGAAGGTACAAAAGGAAGATTTGCCTAGGTAGAGTTTGTATTGTGATGCATACTTTAATTAAACTTTGATTTTACTGTCTGTTATGAACTGAATGTTGTATGAAGTCCTAACCTTCAGTGTAATGGTATTTGGAGATAGGGCCTTTGGGAGGTGATTAGGGTTGGATAAAGTCATGAGGGTGGAGCCTTCATGATGAGTTTCATGCCCATATAGGAAGATATACTGGGGTCCTCCCTCTCTCTCTTTCTCTTTTTCTTTCTGTCTCTGGTATGTAAGGACGCAGCAAAAAGGTGATGGTCTACCAGCCAAGAAGGGAGATTTCACCTGAAGCTAGCCATGCTGGTACCATGTCTTGGACTTCCAGCCTCCAGAACCATGAGGAAATACATTTGTGTTTAAGCCACTCAGTCTCGGGTATTTCGTTATGGTAGCCTGAGTGGGCTAAGATACTATCACAAAAGTCAGGTAAATTTTGCAGAATATAATCAAGTCGACCACTGTATTTGTCCCCAAATATGGCAGATACGCAGTGGAAGACAACCACTTTTATGAAAATTCGACAAATATGAACTTATCTCTCTTGCACTTAGGATCATCTCTTAAATGGAATCTCCCCTGCTGTTCAATCCCTTTCTCTGTCCTCTTTTTCACTGCAAATATAATTCACTCTACATAGTTCAGATTTGCTAATTTTGGATTTTCAGTAAGGAAGAATATTTTTAAACATGAGACCTGCTAAGTCTAAATACCTAATAACCTCCCTACCCCTACACAGGAGGCTTTCCTGACTACCTATAAGGAATTAGGTGTTGAAAAGGTGACTTTAATTTTAAAATCAAAATGACAACAAAAATAGATCTAATGTTTATTTTACCTTTGAAATCAATAATGAAATAATCTTCTACTTTGAATGTGAAGTTTATCTCTCAACAAAAAATGTGATTGGTGATTTACATGTATTCCAATGACCCTCACTCATTAGCCTCAGAACAATTGTAAGTTTTCAAAAGGGCATGAGAAAATGCCAGTAGGTCTGATGTATAAGAAATCAACAGTGATGGTATTAAAAAAGGTATTTCGTTGTCTGCAGATTATAAATTATCTTTCAGTGCATCTTTCTTCCTATGATTTTTTTTTAAATACAGTGACTGAATGTCAGTTTCTCAGGAGTGAGAAAGAAAAAGAAGGCTTCAACTAAAATGTCCAGTGCCTCTACCATGTTAAGTTACTTCTGACAGGTTGACATCACTGATTGAGCATGGCTTCAGAACCACCTACTTTCTTGCCTGGAAACTTAACCTTCAGATTTTGGTAGCAATGAAGATTGACTTTGTGCTTTTCATAGCACAGCTGGAGTAACTCAAAGAGGAGAATTGCAGATCTTACCTTATTGTGCTAGTACAGAAACTGATTTAGAGACCTGTTTGCAGAATGCTATTTTAACCATATTATGGTCCAAAATTGGATGCTCTTTTTGAGACAGGATGAAATTTGATCCCTTTGTCAATGACAATGTGTGTTCATTGGTCGCACAATAGAAGCTTGTGTGTGGTAGGTGATTCCTCAAAATTCCTCAGCAGCTTTAAAGCAAACAAAATCAACTCTAAGGTAATGTGATTATGAGGAGACTCAAGACCATCTGCTCTGCACTCCTCTGCCTTCAGTAAAGAGCCTGACTTGACCATCACAGACATACACCTCTCCTCCAATGCCTCTAATAAGATGACTTTCCACGTTGTGCAGGTCAAGCTCATTCCTTATAGCAGAGCTACAGAAAGCTTCCAGAGGCCATCTAATTGACCACACAGACTCTCAGTGGGGCCACCCATTTATCTTGTTGCAATTTAAGCCCAATTTCTCTTTCTTTAGTGTGGAAGACAAGTAACTTTTTCTGTATTATAAATCCCCTTGACCAGAAGGCAATTCTGAAAATAGCTTTCATTGTTTTTTCTTCTTTTTCTGGCTGAGTGATTCTAAATTCTGTAAGCATTCTTCTCATGGACCCTGCTTTCTACCTTGAATGCAAACAGCCTAATACCCCACTTAAAAGGCACAGAGTGGCAAGTTGAATAAAAACAAGACCTAACCTTCTGCGGTCTTCAAGAGACCCGTCTCATATTTAATGACACCCATAGGCTCAAAGTAAAGGGATGGAGAAAGACCTATAACACACAAGGAAAACAAAAAAGAGCAAGGGTCACTATTTTTATAATAGATAAAACAGACTTTAAACCAACAACAGTAAAAAAGGGAAAATAAGGTCATTACATAATAATAAAGGATGCAATTTAACAAGAAGAATTAACTGTCTTAAATTATGCATCTGACATTGGAGCACCCAGGTTCATGAAACAAGTTCTTCTAGACCTATGAAAAAGACTTAGATAGCCACATCATAATAGTGGGAGACTTCAACACTTCACTGACAGTATTAGACAGACCATCAAGGCAGAAAACCAGCTCTACAAAGAAGACCTGGTACCAATCTTAGGAAAATGTTTCCAAAAAATTGACAACACATTCTATGAAACCAACATCAGTCAGATACCAAAATCAAGCAAAGACACAATGAAAAAGGAAAACTATAGGCCAATATCTCTGAAGAACATAGACACAAAAATCCTCAACAAAATACTTTCAAACTGAATTCAGCAGCACATTAAAAGGTTAATTCACCACAATCAAGTAAGCTTTATTCTTGGGATGCAAGGTTGGTTCAACACAGACAAATCAATAATGTGATTCACTACACAAACACCCTCAACAAATTAGGTATTGTAGGAACATACCTCAAAATAATAAGAAGCATCTATGACAGACCCACAGCCAACATCATACAAAATGGGCAAAAGCTGGAAGCATCCTAAGAACTGGAACAAGACAAGGATGCTCACTCTCACCACTCTTATTCAACATAGTACTGGGAATCCTAGCCAGAGCAATCAGGGAAGAGAAAGAAATAAGTCATCTAATAAAAAAGAAGAAGTCAAATGATCTCTGCTGATGATATGATTCTATACATAGAAAACCCTAAAGACTCCACCAAAAGGCTCCTAGATCATATGATTCATTCTATGAATTGTCTGTGGCTTTTCAAGACCTTTCTAGAGTTGAGGTTGGACTTAAACAAAGACAGCTATGATGAATGTGTCTCAACAAGGAATGCAAGTATAGCTTGCCCAGGAGGCCCTCTTTCTAACTGGACTGCTTAGGCCTGGAGCCCCTTAAATCACTAAAGTTACTCAGTGCTCCTGTTTCTAAAAGCATTCCCTGCTGAAATGCATATGGTAACTGGAAAGGAAGGGAGAGTGTTGTTCATGAGGGCCAATGTGGCACATGAACTTTTTACATTAACTGGCTAACAGTATGATTTAGGAGGAAAAAGGCATGGTGAAGTGCAAAGAACACTGGACTGGGAGTCAGCAAGACAGGCTGTGGCATCTTCCACTCTTACCACTCATCAATTGGGTAATCTAGGACATGCATGCATTTAAGCTTTGGGTCTCTTGTTGGCATCAGGAGATAATAGATAATATTTATGACAGATGATATTTATGATCCTACTCAGCTCTGAAATTTGGAATTCCACAACTATTAATATGAAGCAGAACTCTAAGAGGATGTAGTATAAATTATATTTCCAAGGCAAAAATGGTTGACTAAGACTACAATAGGAGTCACTTGTGTTTATGGGGCTGCCATGGAGGAGAGCTGTGAATATCTGGGCATAAAATGAAGATACTGAATACCTGAAAACTGAGGAGGTGGAGTGAGAATGGGTTCTCATTTTGTCTACAGAATCAGCCAGTGTTGAAGATAATGTCTGAACCTTCCTCTGCTCCCTTACATAAGCACAGCTGTGCTGAAATAGATATCAGTGATACCGAGGACATTTAGTGTTTACCTAATATATGCCTTTGAGGAAAATATTTGTCCAAGGCAAAATCATCTCCTCCTCTAGAGTTACGAAGATGATAAATATCCTGGCAGAAAGGTTGATGACTCTCTATCAAGTTCTGTAGTGAACCCAAGAGACAACTAGGATTTATCTTTCCTTTAATTTCAAACACGTAACTCCAAAGAGTTTAGCAACCACAGAGGTTTTGACTTTATTGCTTTTGTCAGTGGTATCAAGAAGTGATAGAGGAGACTCAAATGAAACAAAAATAATGTCCTTGAACCTTCAACTGAATGACTTTGTATTCCTTTAACAGTTAAAATCAGTATAGCATAGCGATTAGGAGTATGCTTTCTGGACTCAGCCAAGTCTGTATTGGAGTACTGACTTTCCCCATTTATAGGAGTCTGATTTCGGGCAAGGCGTAGGCTTTCCAGATTCTATTTATCCTCATCTTTCTTTTTTTTTTTAATATTATACTTTAAGTTTTAGGGTACATGTGCACAATGTGCAGGTTAGTTACATATGTATACATGTGCCATGCTGGTGCGCTACACCCACTAACTCGTCATCTAGCATTAGGGATATCTCCCAGTGCTATCCCTCCCCACTCCCCCCACCCCACAACAGTCCCCAGAGTGTGATATTCCCCTTCCTGTGTCCATGTGTTCTCATTGTTCAATTCCCACCTGTTTGAGAATATGCGGTGTTTGTTTTTTTGTTCTTGTGATAGTTTACTGAGAATGATGATTTCCAATTTCATCCATGTCCCTACAAAGGACATGAACTCATCATTTTTTATGGCTGCATAGTATTCCATGGTGTATATGTGCCACATTTTCTTAATCCAATCTATCATTGTTGGACATTTGGGTTGGTTCCAAGTCTTTGCTATTGTGAATAACGCCACAATAAACATACGTGTGCACGTGTCTTTATAGCAGCATGATTTATAGTCCTTTGGGTATATACCCAGTAATGGGATGGCTGGGTCAAACGGTATTTCTAGTTCTAGATCCCTGAGGAATCACCACACTGACTTCCACAATGGTTGAACTAGTTTACAGTCCCATCAACAGTGTAAAAGTGTTCCTATTTCTCCACATCCTCTCCAGCACCTGTTGTTTCCTGACTTTTTAATGATTGCCATTCTAACTGGTGTGAGATGGTATCTCATTGTGGTTTTGATTTGCATTTCTCTGATGGCCAGTGATGGTGAGCATTTTTTCATGTGTTTTTTGGCTGCATAAATGTCTTCTTTTGAGAAGTGTCTGTTCATGTCCTTTGCCCACTTTTTGAGGGGGTTGTTTGTTTTTTTTCTTGTAAATTTGTTTGAGTTCATTGTAGATTCTGGATATTAGCCCTTTGTCAGATGAGTAGGTTGCAAAAATGTTCTCCCATTTTGTAGGTTGCCTGTTCACTCTGATGGTAGTTTCTTTTGCTGTGCAGAAGCTCTTGAGTTTAATTAGATCCCATTTGTCAATTTTGGCTTTTGTTGCCATTGCTTTTGGTGTTTTAGACATGAAGTCCTTGCCCATGCCTATGTCCTGAATGGTAATGCCTAGGTTTTCTTCTAGGGTTTTTATGGTTTTACATCTAACATTTAAGTCTTTAATGCATCTTGAATTGATTTTTGTATAAGGTGTAAGGAAGGGATCCAGTTTCAGCTTTCTACATATGGCTAGCCAGTTTTCCCATCACCATTTATTAAAGAGGGAATCCTTTCCCCATTGCTTGTTTTTCTCAGGTTTGTCAAAGATCAGATAGTTGTAGATATGCGGTGTTATTTCTGAGGGCTCTGTTCTGTTGCATTGATCTATATCTCTGTTTTGGTACCAGTACCATGCTGTTTTGATTACTGTAGCCTTGTAGTATAGTTTGAAGTCAGGTAGCATGATGCCTCCAGCTTTGTTCTTTTGGCTTAGGATTGACTTGGTGATGCGGGCTCTTTTTTGGTTCCATATGAACTTTAAAGTAGTTTTTTCCAATTCTGTGAAGAAAGTCATTGGTAGCTCGATGGGGATGGCATTGAATCTATAAATTACCTTGGGCAATATGGCCATTTTCACGATATTGATTCTTCCTACCCATGAGCATGGAATGTTCTTCCATTTGTTTGTATCCTCTTTTATTTCATTGAGCAGTGGTTTGTAGTTCTCCTTAAAGAGGTCCTTCACATCCCTTGTAAGTTGGATTCCTAGGTATTTTATTCTCTTTGAAGCAATTGTGAATGGGAGTTCACTCATGATTTGGCTCTCTGTTTGTCTGTTGTTTATCCTCATCTTTCAAATAAAGATAATAATAGTATCTATCACATAGGGTTGTCATATTGGTTAAATAGTGAAACATTTTTAATCTAATGACTGGCTCAATAAATGATAATCAGTGCTCAATAAATAATCATCACCACCACCACCATCATCATCATGATAAACTTTACACTCCAGGAGGATAAAATGATAACAATGTGGTCCTAAAGTGTGCAAACGTGCCTCTGAGAAAAGAAGTGCAGTCTTAGAATATGCTTCCCATTTCTGGCTGCTGGACAAGGCTCTTGAAAATAAGCTGAAATGTGGCAAATATAAATCTTGCAGAAATAGGTAGAGAACTGCTTCGAGCTAGATTCCCAAGCCAGGCCAATGTCTGATATTAAAGTTTCCCTGCAGCCATATAGAAGTATTATTACTTTGTATTGCTTTGGAAACAAAAGCTGAGACCCATGTCCTCAAAATACGTTTTAGGTTATGTTGATTGGTCCAGCTAATCTTCTCATTTTCTGATGGAACCATTGTTTTAATCATTGTGAGGCAAAAGGCTGAGAATAGAGAGATGACCAATTGGCCTGTGTACCAATACCCTAGCTTGTTTCCATTTTTATAAAAACCAATAGAAAAAACAAATTTCACCGTGGTTATGAATCCAGTCCTCTGTAGAAAAAGTTACTGTAATTATAAGGGTCTATAGGACATGCAAATAATTACATCAGATGTCAACATATCAAAAAAGTAAAGTACTTTATTTAGTGGAGGTTGTGATAAGTTGAAATATTGTATTGTTGAGTGAAAGATGAATGTATAAGAGTTGGGCTTAGGCTTTTCATTCTTACTACAATATTTCTCTCTGTCAATTCAAAATTCATATTTTTTTAAATTTTGTATACTTAAGTTCTAGCTGCAAAAATGACATCTGTGTTTGTACAAGACAACAGACATCATTTGAATTTATTAATATAGAGCATTTTACACCTAGAAGAGACTCAAATAACCAATCTAGTAAGCAGCTGGGAAAATATAATAAATAATCTGTCTTTCAATGACATTTATAGCTGTTTTTCATTCAGCAATGGCAGACTAAATAGGCAAATGGACTTTTTTATAGTTATAGTCTAGAAGCTGCTTTGAAACTGCTTTTATTGGAAGCTCTTTTTAAATACACTGGATTGAATATCATCTAATCAAGTGATCTACATTTTATGATGGAAAAGTTTTAAGCCATTTTAGAAAAAAAAAATCCCCAGTTTACAAGGGCATTTAAATGTAAATAAAAGCCAAAAGTGTTTTTCAAAATGGAGAACATTTTAGTAAAACTATTTCAGCCTAAAGCATTTAAATCTATATTTTGCTTCCAGATCTACATGTTCTAATACACAAAGCAAAAGAAATATAAGAGCAAAAAATTAAAGAGGCTAGAAGTTTTCAGCTTGAAGGGAGGAAAATTAAGGAAAAATGTAATTGAAATTATTGCATTTTAAAAAGTTTTGACCAAGAGAACGGAGACACATCATTTTCTTTCTTCATTTACTTCAATAATACTTTAGAACTTTAAGAATGTAAAGAATCTATGAAATTACAACATGGAGGTCTTCAGTCGAATAGAAGGCACCATTTGCTGTTGGTGAGAGTTTTTAACATGGGTTAGAGAGTTGACAGAAATTTTAAATCCTCTAGTGAAGTCTTTCGAAATATGACAGATTCATTTTTTCCAATTGGCTAGAGTTACTCAGTTGTAATATCTCCAAATCCGTTCCCATCCTCTTCAAATTCTTCTAGCTCAATTTGCTGTTTGGCAAAGTTTGTTAATTTCTCCAAAAGTGAGTTTTCAGCTTAAGGGAGGATTAGTTGGAGAATAATTCTTCCTATTTCTTATGTTTTGTGGTCAGAGGAAAAGTTGGCTATCCTTCAAATCCATTGAAATCCATCACAATCAAAAGAAACATTGGCAAGTGGTTGTGTTTCTCAATACTTCTTGTACATTTTTGGGGGGATGTATCTCATAAAAACAATTCTTTCATTGCTCATGGTCTTAATTTTTTTCCCCAGTCCATAGATAAACTGAGATAAAAAATCAGCCAGGGATTAGGGAACATCATGCAACTGGTGACACTGTGCAGAAGATCCAGACTCAACCAAAATAAAAGATAACCTGGATCCACACAGTGTTTTCCTTTCATTCAGCTACCAATATAAAATGATTTGCACATTTTTTCAAAATGATGCTTAATTCAAAGTAGGAGTTCATGTAAGTTCAAATGTAGGCTTCCTTTTTGTGAAGGACAGATGCAATCATTCAATGTCCAACTCGGATCCCTATCTTTCATCTTATCTGATTCTGTTGTTCTTAGGGATAGCTGTCCTTATGTGCAGTCATGATGAATCTTTCTCTGGGGGATACTTGTTCAAATGGCAGGGGGAAAAATGCAAAATGGACGGGAGAGCAGAAACTGAAGTTTTTTTTTAACAGAAAGTTATGAGCAGGTAAAACAGGCCTTTAGAACTATTATCCAGGACTCACTGATTACTTGATGACAATAAAATATCTGATAGCCTATGTTCATCAGGTATCATTTAAATTGAAATCTGGAAACGTTAAGGGTGGTCTTTGTTGTAGGCAGCTTGATGGATACTTATGGGATAGATTAAACATGTCTTTCAATTTTAATAAATTTCTTCAAACCAGAAAAAAAAAAAAAGCTATTACCCAGTACAATGGGAGAAACTGAAAGTGACAGAAGTGGGATTCAGAGTCTAGTGAAAACCACTCTAAAAGTCATAAAATCACAAATCGAGTGGTCATTGAAAAGAGACAGAAGGTGCTTTATTATGCATGCATCAAACTTATAGTTATTTTCTAAAACTAAGAGGGAAAGAGAGCTTTGGAGTTTGAGGTAAGACTTTGCCATTTACTTAGCAAGTTATTTAACCTCTTTATGTTGAATTTCTTTATGGGTAAAATGAAGATGATAATAGTATCTATTCATAGGGTCGATGAAAGGATTAAATGCAGTAATGTATATAAACACTTAATGTGTTGCTCTGAGCATAGTAAGAGCTTAATAGATATTAGCCATTATTACACTTAAAAAGTATTTAGCGAAGAAGCAACTGTAGATGTAAACGAAATGCAAAATACCTGTAATGACCCATCTAACATGTATAAAATGTCTAAATAGTCTCTTTATAAAGTGTGCTGCCTTTATAGTTTCCTTTTAAAGAAGGTGAAAGTATTCAAAGGGTAAATATTTGTAAGATATTTATATAATAATGACAGAGACAGGAGGCAGCCGAATGCCACCCAGGTCACACAGGGAGCTTGCCTAAACATGCCTGCAGTGAAAAATTCCATCCCTTAACACATGTGCAGTAAAGAAAATAAGTCAAGGTGGAGTTGCTCAGACTATGGGCCCGCATGCGCACTGGAAGAATGGGGGGTGGGGCCACCAGGAATTCATGCCTTATGCAGTGGGAGGAGCCAGGCCTCTTGAGCTTATGTGTGGAGCTCATGTGCGGTGGCCTGGTATTCAATCTGCGAGGTGGGATCCTGTTGGCAAGACCCCCTCTATTTTGCCGAGAGCTTTCTTTTAATAAATTCTGCTCTCCTCACCTCTCAATGTGCCTGCATGCCTAAATTTCCTGGTAGTGACACAAGAACCTGGATTTTAGCTGAGCTGAGGAGCAGAAATTCCTGCATCAGTAAGTTTACGTAAGATCTCCTGACATTTCCTCTTAGTACTATATTTATAGAAATATAAAGTTGACCCTTGAACAATGTGAGGATTAGGAGTGCCAATCCCTGTGTGGTCAGAAATCCATGTGTGACTCTTGACTCCCTGCAAACTTCACTTCTAATAGTTTACTGTTGACTGGAAGCCTTACCAATAACATAAAGCTGATTAACACATATTCTGTATGTTTTGTATATTATGTACTGTATTCTTATAATAAAGGAGCTAGAGAAGAAAATCATAAAGAAAATATGTTTTCTATTCATTAAGTGGAAGCAGATCACCATAAAGGTCTTCATTGTCATTGTCTTTACATTGAGTAGGCTGAGGAGGAGAAAGAGGAAGGGTTGGTCTTGCTGTCTCAGGAGTGGCAGAGGCAGAAGAAAATTCACACATAAGCGAACCCATGCAGTCTGAACCTGTGTTGTTCAAAGGTCAACTGCATATCATCATAATTTATGTATGTGTGGAAATATAAATGTTTAGGTATACAGCTATCATTTTGCTTACCACTTAGAATTTCAGGATGATAACTCTGATAGCTGGAGTGGAAACTCACACACTTGAAGGACCTAACAGCATTTTTCAAACACCACCTTTTGAAATGGATCTCTAGTGCCCTAGAAGATGTAAGGCAAGACATTACAGATCTCCAATAATGAGTGCGTGTGTGTGTGTGTGTGTGTTTGAGTGGTTAGGAAAAGTTAGAGTAGAATTGAGGAAGGGGAAGCAAATCTGGAGCAAATATATTAAATAGGTTACCACTAGTTCATCACAATAAATTTTTGATGAAATCTAATTAAAATCTCTTTCAGTCAGGAGCAGTGGCTTACTCCTATGATCTCAACACTTTAGGAGGCTGAGGTGGAGGATCCCCTGTGCTTCAAGACCAGCCTGGGCAACATAGTAAGACCTTGTCTCTACAAAAATTAAAAAGAAAAAAAATTGGCTAGGTATGGTGGTACACACCTGTGGTCCCAGTTACTGGAGAGACTGAGAATAGTTATCTCTTGAGCCTGGAGATTAAGGCTGCAGTGAGCTATGATTGCGCCACTGCATTCAGCCTGGGTGATAGAGCGAGACACTGTCTCAAAAAAAAAAAAGAAAGAAAGAAAAAAGAAAACTCTTCCACAAACTTAATTGATAGAGGATTTTATTTTGAGTTTGGCCTCAACATCAACTAAAAATATATCAAGTTGCAAATCAAGTCCAAATTCCAATTAAGCTTCTTTAAGAATATGAATCATTTCTTAATTTCTATGACAACCAACTTTCACTTCTATTTCCTGTGAAGCTTGAAATGACACTGACCCAAGCCAGTGCCACTTTAACAACAATAACTTAAGTTGTTCACACTCCCTCTTGTAGTTTAAGTGTTAATCTGTGTCTTAAAAAGTTAAAAAAATATCGAAGCGTGGTGGCTTACATCTGTAATCCCAGCACTTTGGGAGGCTGAGGCTGGTAGATCACCTAAAGTCAGGAATTCAAGACCAGCCTGACCAACAAGATGAAACCCCATCTCTACTAAAAACACAAAAATTAGCTGGGAATGGTGGCAGGCGCCTGTAGTCCCAGCCGAGATCACGCAACTGTACTCCAGCCTGGGCAATGGAGCGAGACTCCATCTCAAAATAAATAAATAAATAAAAATAAAAAGTTAAAAAAATAGTTTATAACCTGAGGTCACCTGATTATGAAGACCAAAATTGCAGTGGGATGATATATACATTTTACTGGGTTTTTATTCAATGAGTTTTCTCTATGCTAATTTATTTCTTCTTTAATTTTGACCCTTTCTATGCCTCTACATTTCAACCCTCATAAATTCCCTTTAAGCTATGTAAGCTGAATTGATTCAATTTGATAATAGTTATTGAGTATCTATTATGCACTAGACTCTATAGAGGTTTTGGAGATGTCTGTGTGAAAAGACAGAAACCATTTCTGCCATCACAGGGCACATAGTAGGTAGGTGAGGACTAATAAAAGAGGAATTACAGGTAACAGGGTGATGTGATTCCACCAAATCTCTTGTTGAATTGTAATCCCTAATGTTAGAGGTGTGACCTGGTGGGAGGTGATTGGATCATGGGGGTGGATTTCTCATGGCTGGTTTAGCACCATCCTTTTGGTGTAGTCCTCAGATCATGAGTGAGTTCTCACGATATCTGGTTGTTTAAAAATGTGTAGTATCTCCCCTCTCCTTCTGTCTTGCACCTGCTTCCACCATGTGAAACACCTCGCTCATCCTTTGCCTTCTGCCATGATTGGGAGCTTCCTGGGACCTCCCCAGAAGCAGAAGCTTCTATGCTTCATGCAAAACGATAAGCCAATTAAACCTCTTTATTTTTTTAAATAAATTATCCAGTCTCAGGTTTCTCTTTATAGCAATGTGAGAGCGAACTAATACACAGGGTCAGGGCTCTGGCAGGGAAAACACAGTGCTACGTTAGGGCAGTACCACACAAGTCCTGCTTCTCTGAGGAGATGGGATCAGATGACTGTGTTGGAAAGAACTTCCTCCCTTCTTACTTTAAAACCACAGCATGAAGACATGAGCAGTTTTGGACCCTGTTCTTACTTATTAATTGGCTTCAGGACCTTAAGCAAGTTGATGATCTTGTGTGTTTGTATGCAGGGGATGGTAAAGTGGGGTAGAGAGAATGGGCTGTTGCAGGAAGCCATCTTGCTCTCTAAAATGATCATCGTCCCACATGTCAAATAGCTTGCCAAAAAAGTATTATTCCTGCATGACAGCACTTCTTTTAACTCAACATCTGAAGAGGAGAAAACTGAGTTTGGCTTAGTCTCATACATCACCAACAAAATTATCAACGTCCTGTAACACTCGTCCTGTAACACTCCCCTATGAGGGAAGTTGGAGAAAATGGAAAGTTAATTCCTTTTAAAAAAATACTTTAATCTATTTTGAGCAATGTAGAGGGCAATCTGCTAACACAATTTCACCTGAAAATTTACCTTTGAATCCAATAAAATGGGTTACATGTATATGCACATATGCAATTTGCTTACTGATAAGCAAATAATATAGCACATAAGTTATTGGATTAGCACGAAGATGTCTGTCTAGAACTAGTAGGACTCCAACAGTTGTTAATGGAGTATTTTAGAAGTCCTTTGGCCAAAAACACCTCAGTTTACAAGCACAGAATGCCCTAGCCTCTCATTACTTCTGAGCTGTCTCTACTTCTTACTCTATAACCCTGTGTGAACGACATGGATGTTCTGACCATGCGTACACTTATTTTCCCTCCCCACACATGACGTCTATGGAAAATCAACAACACAACAGTATGAGAAAATGTTTCATGGCATACCTGGTAGAACACAAAACCAAAAGTTTTGGCCTTCATTTTGACACTTAAATAACTCCCACATGCGTAGTGTTCTGATAATGGAAAACTCATTTATGCCTAGTGTTCCATTATTGGAACGCTAAGCATGTGAGAGTTATTTATATCCTACAGCTCGAGGTCATCACCAAGGTTTGATTGCAAAAATTCAAAAAATTGCAACCTCAGGCATAAAAGGGTTAATGGGTTTTGTGCCCTAGAGCAAGTGTCACTTTCTTGAGCATTAGTTTGCTGATATGCATAGCACAATGTCATTTTATATCTATATATAGTATAGATATAAATTATATATGTTATAATCGATACTTTGTGTATATAAATTATATATTTACATATAAATTATATGTAAATATATTGTACATATTATATACGAAATATATAAATATATATTGTATATTTATAATTTTTTCCCTGCCCAGCTTTCTGTAACTAAAACTCCTAAGTCACATATTATCCATTGTGTTTTTCGGAAGACACGGTGCATGCTGTCTTTATAGTTTTATGCTGTCTTTATAGTTTTATCTTAGCGAGAGTAAACATGTGTATAAGGTTTACATGAGCTCAATTAGTGAGTGCTTTCTATAGTGGAGACTGTCAATTGTCTCACAATATCTATACGTCACTCCTTCCAAGTTCTAGTCTGGTGTATGCAACATTTCCCAGCTTCCCAGGTAGATCTTACCATGTGTATAAATGTTGACAAATGAGATTCCTTCTTTCATTCAACAGATAGGTACTTAATAATCTGAGTCTGAGCACAGTGGCCCACACCCGTAATCCCAGCACTTTGGGAGGCCAAGGTAGGAGGATCTCTTCAGGCCAGAGCTCAAGACAAGCCTGGGCAACATAGCAAGACCTTGTCCCTACAACAAATAAAAAATAAAAATTAAATAAAATTTAGAAAACAATCTGGTCTTTAGGGATATAGCAGTAAATACAATTAAAAAAATTTAATAGTCTCTGCCCACTCTCAACCCCATGGAATTTATAATCTACTGGGAGGAAACAGACAAGTTGAAAATACATTATTTCAGGTGATGACAAGTGCTAAGGAGAAAAATGAAGTTTCAGCTTTCTACATATGACTAACCAGTTTTCCCAGCACCATTTATTGAATAGGGAATCCTTTCCCCATTTCTTGTTTTTGTCAGGTTTGTCAAAGCTCAGATGGTTGTAGATGTGTGGTATTATTTCCGAGGGCTCTATTCTATTCCATTGGTCTAGCTCTGTTTTGGTACCAGTATCATGCTGTTTTGGTTACTGTAGCCTTGTAGTATAGTTTGAAGTCTGGTAGCGTGATGCCTCCAGCTTTGTTCTTTTGGCTTAGGATTGTCTTGGCAATGTGGGCTCTTTTTTGGTTCCATATGAACTTTAAAGTAGTTTTTTCCAATTCTGTGAAGAAAGTCATTGGTAGCTTGATGGGGATGACATTGAATCTATAAATTACCTTGGGCAGTATGGCCGTTTTCACAATATTGTTTCTTCCTATCCATGAGCATGGAATATTCTTCCATTTGTTCATCTCCTCTTTTATTTCGTCGAGCAATGGTTTGTAGTTCTTGAAGAAGTTCTTCACATCCCTTGTAAGTTGGGTTCCTAGGTATTTTATTCTCTTTGTAGCAATTGTGAATGGGAGTTCACTCATGATTTGGCTCTCTGTTTGTCTGTTATTGGTGTATAAGAATGCTTGTGATTTTTGCACATTGATTTTGTATCCTGAGACTTTGCTGAAGTTGCTTATCAGCTTAAGGAGATTTTGGGCTGAGATGATGGGGTTTTCTAGATATACAATCATGTCATCTGCAGACAGGGACAATTTGACTTCCTCTTTGCTAATTAAATACTCATTATTTCTTTCTTTTGCCTGATTGCCCTGGCTAGAACTTCCAACACTATGTTGAAAAGGAGTGGTGAGAGAGGGCATCCCTGTCTTGTGCCAGTTTTCAACGGGAATGCTTCCAATTTTTGCCCATTCAGTATGATATTGGCTGTGGGCTTTTTATAAATAGCTCTTATTATTTTGAGATACTTTCCATCAGTACCTAGTTTATTGAGAGATTTTAGCAGGAAGGGCTGTTGAATTTTGTCGAAGGCTTTTTCTGCATCTATTGAGATAATAATGTGGATTTTGTCTTTGGTTCCGTGTATATGATAGATTACGTTTATTGATTTTTGTATATTGAACCAGCCTTGCATCCCAGGGATGAAGCCAACTTGATCGTGGTGGATAATATTTTTGATGTGCTGCTGGAGTCGGTTTGCTAGTATTTTATTAAGGATTTTTGCATCAATGTTCATCAGGGATATTGGTCTAAAATTCTCTTTTTTGTTGTTGTATCTCTGCCAGGCTTTGGTATCAGGATGATGTTGGCCTCATAAAATGAATGAGGGAGGATTCCCTCTTTTTCTATTGATGGGAACAGTTTCAGAAGGAATGGTACCAGCTCCTATTTGTATCTCTGGTAGAATTCGGCTGTGAATCTGTCTGGTCCTGGTCTTTTTTTGCTTGGTAGGCTATTAATTATGCCTCAATTTCAGAACCTCTTATTGGTCTATTCGGGGATTCAACTTCTTCCTGGTTTAGCCTTGGGAGGGTGTATGTGTCCAGGAATTTATCCATTTCTTCTAGATTTTCTAGTTTATTTGCATAGAGGTGTTTATAGTATTCCCTAATGGTAGTTTGTATTTCTGTGGGATCAGTGGCGATATCCCCTTTATCATTTTTTTATTGCATCTATTTGATTCTTCTCTCTTTTCTTCTTTATTGGTCTTGCTAGTGGTCTATCAATTTTGTTGATCTTTTCAAAAAACCAGCTCCTGTATTCATTGATTTTTTGAAGGGTTTTTTGTGTCTCTATTTCCTTCAGTTCTGCTCTGATCTTAGTTATTTCTTGCCTTCTGCTAACTTTTGAATGTGTTTGCTCTTGCTTCTCTAGTTCTTTTAATTGTGATGTTAGGGTGTCAATTTTAGATCTTTCCTGCTTTCTCTTGTGGGCATTTAGTACTATAAATTTCCCTCTACACACTGCTTTAAATGTGTCCCAGAGATTCTGGTATGTTGTGTCTTTGTTCTCATTGGTTTCAAAGAACATCTTTATCTCTACCTTCATTTCGTTATGTACCCAGTAGTCATTCAGGAGCAGGTCGTTCAGTTTCCATGTAGTTGAGCAGTTTTGAGTGAGTTTCTTATTCTTCAGTTCTTGTTTGATTGCACTGTGGTCTGAGAGACAGTTTGTGATATTTTCTGTTGTTTTACATTTGCTGAGGAGTGCTTTACTTCCAAGTATGTGGTCAATTTTAGAATAAGTGTGATGTGGTGCTGAGAAGAATGTATATTCTGTTGATTTGGGGTGGAGAGTTCTGTAGATGTCTGTTAGGTCTGCTTGGTGCAGAGCTGAGTTCAATTCCTGGATATCCTTTTTAACTTTCTGTCTCATTGATCTGTCTAATGTTGACAGTGGGGTGTTAAAGTCTCCCATTATTGTTGTGTGGGAGTCTAAGTCTTTTTGTAGGTCTCTAAGAACTTGCTTTATGAATCTGGGTGCTCCTGTATTGGGCGCATATATATTTAGGATAGTTAGCTCTTTTTGTTGAATTGATCCCTTTACCATTATGTAATGGCCTCTTGGTATCTTTTGATCTTTGTTGGTTTAAAGTCAGTTTTGTCAGAGACCAGGATTGTAACCCCTTCTTTTTTTGGTTTTCCATTTGCTTGGTAGATCTTCCTCCATCCCTTTATTTTGAGCCTATGTGTGTCTTTGCACATGAGATGGGTCTCCTGAATACAGCACACTGATGGGTCTCGACTCTTTATCCACTTTGCCAGTCTGTGTCTTTTAATTGGAGCATTTAGCCCATTTACATTTAAGGTTAATATTGTTACGTGTGAATTTGATCCTGTCATTATGATGTTAGCTGGTCATTTTGCTCGTTAGTTGATGCAGTTTCTTCCTAGCATCAATGGTCTTTACAATTTGGCATGTTTTTGCAGTGTCTGGTACCGGTTGTTCCTTTCCATGTTTAGTGCTTCCTTCAGGAGCTCTTGTAAGGCAGGCCCAGTGTTGACAAAATCTCTCAGCATTTGCTTGTCTGTAAAGGATTTTATTTCTCCTTCATTTATGAAGCTTAGTTTGGCTGGATATGAAATTCTGGGTTGAAAATTCTTTTCTTTAAGAATATTGAATCTTGGCCCCCACTCTCTTCTGGCTTGTAGAGTTTCTGTGGAGAGATCAGCTCTTAGTCTGATGGGCTTCCCTTTGTGGGTAACCTGATCTTTCTCTCTGGCTGCCCTTAACATTTTTTCCTTCATTTCAACTTTGGTAAATCTGACAATTATGTGTCTTGGAGTTGCTCTTCTCAAGGAGTATCTTTGTGGCATTCTCTGTATTTCCTGAATTTGAATATTGGCCTGCCTTGCTAGGTTGGGGGGGTTCTCCTGGACAATATCCTGTAGAGTGTTTTCCATCTTGGTTCCATTCTCCGCATCATGTTCAGGTACACCAATCAGACATAGATTTGGTCTTTTCACATAGTCCCATATTTCTTGGAGGCTTTGTTCGTTTCTTTATACTCTTTTTTCTCTAAACTTCTCTTCTCGCTTCATTTCATTCATTTGATCTTCAATCACTGATACCCTTTCTTCCACTCCATCAAACCAGCTACTGAAGCTTGTGCATGCGTCACGTAGTTATCATGCCATGGTTTTCAGCTCCATCGGGTCATTTAAGGACTTCTGTACACTGGTTATTCTAGTTAGCCATTCATCTAATCTTTTTTCAAGGTTTTTAGCTTCTTTGTGATGGGTTCAAACATCCTCCTTTAGCTCAGAGAAGTTCGTTATTACCAATTGTCTGAAGCCTTCTTCTCTCAACTCATCAAAGTCATTCTTCATCCAGCTTTGTTCCATTTCTGGCGAGGAGCTGTGTTCCTTTGGAGGAGAAGAGGCTCTCTGATTTTTAGAATTTTCAACTTTTCTGCTCTGGTTTCTCCCCATCTTTGTGGTTTTTATCTCCCTTTGGTCTTTGGTGATGGTGATATACAGGTGGGGTTTTGGTGTGGATGTCCTTTCTGTTTGTTAGTTTTACATCTAACAGTCAGGACCCTCAGCTACAGGTCTGTTGGAGATTGCTGGAGGTCCACTCCAGACCCTGTTTGCCTGGGTATCACCAGCAGAGGCTACAGAACAGCAAATATTGCAGAACAGCAGATGTTGCTGCCTGATCCTTCCTCTAGAAGCTTCGTCTCAGAGGGGCACCTGGCTGTATAAGTTGGCAGTCAGCCCCTACTGGGAGGTGTCTCCCAGTTAGGCTACTTGGGGGTCAGGGACCCACTTAAGGAGGCAGTCTGTCCATTCTCAGATCTCAAACTCTGTTCTTGGAGAACCACTACTCTCTTCAAAGCTCAGTTGGAAATGCAGAAATCACCTGTCTTCTGTGTCACTCATGCTGGGAGCTGCAAACTGGAGCTGTTCCTATTTGGCCATCTTGGAACCTCCCTATCCCTGGAACGTTTTATCTGAGGCCAATAGTATAGTATGTTTGGACAAATTAGTGATTTTGGAAGCAAAATATCTGGGCTGTGTCCTGAGGTGCATTCTGAACCTCATTTTCCTGTTTATAATATGAGAATAATAATACTCAACATTCCTGGTAGGAAAAAGAATAAGTAGCAAGACCTAGAGGTGCATTTGAGCATGCCCAGTTTGAAGAGGCAAAAGTAATTCAGCACACCTGGGGGGATAGATTGAGGAGGGGTGAACATTCCCATGGGCTTGGGGAGACAACCACTTATTGAGTTTTTGCCTGAATTAGAGTTCCTTTCTTTTGTTTATCTTAACTTAATTTATATCAACTCTTAAACCACACTGATTTTACTTCACCAGTTATTTCTCACATCTGTCCCCCTCTTTATATCTTAACTCCTATTATACTGGTTGAGTGCATATCACTTTCAATGTCAATGCAAAGTGTTCCTGACTGATCCCCTTGCCTCTGCGCTTGCTATCTTCCCCTCTCCATCACAAGTATAAAAATAACCAAAGGAATTTTTTTTAAATAAGGAAAGAAAGAAAGAAAGAGGAAGGAAGGAAGGAAAAAATAAAAAATAAAATTTGGTTCTGACACTTAAACATGATCTAATTTTGAGTACTAGATGTCTGGGAAGCATGCTTGACAGGATCAGGTAACTCCAAGCATAATTAAATAAATCAACAATAACAACAAAATACTCACTACTCAACTACACAATGTCTTACAGTATCTACAAAAACCCCACAGGTTTTCTTCTCAGCACCATGTTGCTCTCCAAGTAGAAGTATTCACTGCCCTCACCATATCCTCCTAATACTCATAGGTCTTGGTAAACATACCATCATGCTGGTGGCCAACATGACATCATGGCACAACATTATGTTACCCCTCTTAGAAAGATTGTTTGACTTCACTCTGCATCATGTCACACCCTCCATGTAGTTCAACCTTTTATGGAACGTATGCCCTTAACACCCTCAACGTTGACAAGTACAAGTTTTGCACTTGACCTACAAGGTCTATATTTTGACCTATACACTGTTAGTTCACCAAAACGCCATGGCAAACTAGCTAAGAACTGTTGACAAGCAGGATCGAAGGCTACTCTGTGGCATGGCACTTAAGCCCCCTGCAGGTTGGCCACCTCCTTGGTTTTCAGCTTCTTCTTTCACACTCCTCTCTGCTCACACTGCTCTCCAGGCACACTGAGATGTTGATGTTGTTTTATATTCAATTATTGTCTTTATGCTTTAGCTCATGCTACCCTTCTGCCTAGAATGAAGACCCACTGTCCCAATGTTGCCTCTAAAACGCCTCTATTTTCTACATATCATTTCAAATGAAACTCAAAATTTCACCCCTCCAAGTAGGCTCTCTGATTGCAACTTTACTATTTTACTATTCATCCATTTTACCTGTATTGGATTGAATGGAGGCCTCTAACATATACTGTCAACATATACTGTCATCATGTTGACAGGTACTAGGATGTAGTACCTGTCAACATGATTTTATTCAGACAAAGAGTCTTTGCAGTATGATCTCATGTCAAGATCTATAACTTATTTACAAGTTATAACTTATTTACAAGTTATAGATCTTGACATGAGATCATTCTGGATTATCTGGTGCCCACCAGATAATCCAATGACAAAGTGTTCTTATAAGAGACTCACAGAAGAGAAACAGACAGGAAGAGGAGAAGGCCATGTAAAGAGGGAGGCAGAGATTGGAGTGATGCTGCCACAAGCCAAGAAACACCTAGAGCCACCAAAAGCTGGAAAAGTGGAAGATTTTTCTCCTAGGGGCTTTGGAAAAAGCACATCTCTGCTGGCACCTTGATTTCAGGCTTCTAAGCTTCAGAATTGTGAGGGAATAAGTGTATTTTGTTTTAAGACGCAAATTTTTTGTAATTTGTTACAGCAGCCCTAGGAAACTAGGATTTTAGAGTTATATAGGAGACATTGCCATACTATCCAATTACTTGTTTATGGCTATCTGTCTTAGTCCATTCAGGCTTCTATAACAAAGTGTCATAAACTGGGTGGCTTCTAAACAACAGAAGTTTACTTTTCACAGTTCTAGAGGCTGGGAAATCCAAGACCAATGTGCTTACAGTTTCTGTGCCTAGTAAGGGCTTTCAGGTTTATAGATGGTGCCTTCTTGCTGTGATATCACACAGTGAAAGGGCAAGGCAGTTTTCTAAGGTTTCTTTTATAAGGGCATGTATTTCATTCATGAGGGTTCCATCCTCATGACCTAATCACCTCCCCAAAACTTCCATCTGTTAATACAAATTGAGCATCCCTAATCTAAAAATCCAAAATCCAAAATGCGTCAAAACCCAAAACTTTTTGAAAGTCAGCATGATGCTCAAAGGAAGGAAGTGCTCACTGGAGAATTTTGGGTTTTGAATTTTTGAATTTGGGATGCTCAAATGGCAAGCATAATGCAAATATCTCAAAATTAAAAAAAAAGTCTCAAATCTAGAACACTCTGGTCTCAAGCATTTTGGATAAGGGATACTCAATGTGTACTAATACCCTGGGCATTCAGATTTCAACACATGAATTTGGGGGACAAAAACATTCAAACCATCACAGTGTCTCTCTTGTGTAATAGGGTGAAGCTCCTTGAGGAGACATGTCTTTGTCACCTTTTACATCTTGTACCTAGGCCAGCATATGGTAGTTTTTATTTGTTAAATAAAGGATGAATACATAAAGAACTAAACATTTCAGTGTCTTGACTACAAAGTGTTAAAAAAAAGATTGGATTTTTCCGAAATATGCTTGTTCATAAACAACGGATCACTCCTTCCCCCTCTGCGTCAGTGTCATCCTGAGAACACTGGCTCTTGCTGCGTTTTATTTAGCATCATACCAAATCAAAGGAAATCAGATGTGCATGCCTTTCCTTGCTTCCTGGGGTTTAACCTTCCTTTTCCAATAAGTCCTTCCTGGCTCTCACAGCAAGGCAGTGCCTACATGCACCCTAAAAGTGCTGTATTCTGCACCACAGGAGACCAAGGTCCAGACAGCTATGCTGGGCTTCTCCCCGCTTTCCCTTCTACTTTACCTTCTTTTGCTTTAAAGCTGAATGCAAATGTTCAGTTCTGGCACTGACTCAGTGTAGAGATGGATACATGCTCACTCTAATGTGTTTTTCCAGTTGTGTGACATTATCACTGCATGATGAGTAAAGGGACCTTGAACCCACACCCTGAGAGCCCAGCCATGAGGTTTTATAATTAGGTTCCTCACCTGTTGACTCAAATTAGCTCAGACTAACTCACCAACTGTGGTATTTGCTTAGAATTGATGCTTTCTGCTGGGCGCGGTGGCTCAAGCCTGTAATCCCAGCACTTTGGGAGGCCGAGGCGGGCGGATCACGGGGTCAGGAGTTCGAGACCATCCTGGCTAACACGGTGAAACCTCGTCTCTACTAAAAATACAAAAAGTTAGCCGGGTGTGATGGCAGGCGCCTGTAGTCCCAGCTACTCGGGAGGCTGAGGCAGGAGAATGGCGTGAACCCGGGAGGCGGAGCTTGTAGTGAGCCGAGATCACGCCACTGCACTCCAGCCTGGGTGACAGAGCCAGACTCCATCTCAAAAAAAAAAAAAAAAAGAATTGATGCTTTCTGGAACCTCATTTTTAGCCATTTGAAAAGCCAGACACCGAGATGAGGAGACAACTGAACATACCCTATGGGTAAAGAAGCATGTCAATTGTTCATCAGGAGGAGGTGAAGAGGCACAGCATCCTCTTTCAGTTCTGCCTGTGGTTTGCCAATTTCACTGCGGGCTGTGCTTAGGCTGCCACTTGGTTTTCTAGATCATCTACAAAACTCATTCAGTATTCATTGAGCACCTACTAGATGACCAGACACTAGATTAAGTGCTGAGGTCACAGAAGTGAGCAGAGAAAAAAAGTCCCTTCTCTTAAAGAGTTTACTTCTAGTGAAAGCAGCTGGCAAAGGAATATGATTGCCATAGTGGAGATGAGGGTTTACACTCTTTCTCCCAGTGTAGCTGTTTGTCTAAGGTAAGACAATGTATGTGCATGTGCTTTGTACAGTGTAAAAAGTATTTTAAAAAGTACGGACTATTTTCCATCCCCTCTTCAGGTATCAGTAGCCCACTAGGCTTCTTTCCAAATGGAGTCATCAGTGATTTATAAGGGGCCATAAGGACAGAAGGAGAGAAGCTCAACCGAAGTATCTGCTTTTCTTCCTTAACAATTTTACCGGGGCTTTCTGGAATTCTGTTTCTAATAGCAGGACGTATTTGGCATCTGTAGTTTCTTGAGTCCCTGTAATAAGGACTATTATCATTCATTTCTATTTTAATACCTGCTTACCTTAGTCAGAGTATGACACAATTTGAAACATAGAATTAGAAGAGTCACCAAGAGGTTTCTGTTTTGCATTGCCTATGAGGACTGAAGTGTAGCTAAAAATTTATAGGCATTAATTTATGGGTGGTTCCATTTTCTTGATGATAAGACAATGGGGATAAAATGCATAGGCTACATTCTCCCATATACAACATTAAAGGGAAATAATCTTGGCTGAAGATTAACTTGGGGATTAGTATTTGAGGGGGCACTGGCTGTACATGTGAAATAACCAGGAAGGTCAAGAAAAATCAGAGTAATAAATACAATAAGTAAAACAAAACAGCAATAACAAAAAAGTCAGACACTGAATTGGAAAACATGCATATGTATTCATGCCAATTTATATCATAAGTACCCTGAAATTGGAGTCAGCATGATGGAATGGAAATTGTTTGCCTATGGAATCAGACAAAAAGCATTGCAATTTCTTTATCTGAAAACTAATAGTAATTAACATGCACTAGACACTATGCTTAGCACTTCACATTCATCCACTTGGTTCAAACTCACAGCCCCTCTGTGAGGTAGGTAAAATTTGCAAGCATAAAATTAACTTTTATGATTAAATGAGAAAAGATACAAAAAATCTTCTATAAAAGCACATTGTAAGCTTCTATGTAGTTATGAAGTACGTGTGATTTTTTGACACGTGCAGATAATGTGTAATGATCAAATCAGGGTAATTGGGATATACATCACCTCAAACATTTATCATTTCTTTATGTTGAGAACAATCCAAATCTTCTGTTTTAGCTATTTTGAAACAGTGAATAAATTATTGTAACAATAGTCACCATACTATGCTATAAAACAGTAGAACTTATTTCTTCTATGTAATAATATTTTTGTACCCATTTGCCAGCCTTTCTTGATCCTCCCCTTTTCTCCATTTCCAGCCTCTGGTAACAGTCATTCTAGTCTCTAAGTCCATGAGACTGACTTTTTTTTTTTAGCTCCCATATATGAGTGAGAACACACAATATTTGCCTTTCTATATCTGGCTTAGTTCACCTAACATAATATCCTCTAGTTCATCCACGTTGCTGCAAATGATAACATTCCATTCTTTTTTATGACTGAATATATATATATATATACACACACACACACATATATATATAATGGAATATTATTATATTATTATATTCCATTATATATACATATATATATATATACCACATTTTCTTTATCATCTATTGATAGATCCTTAAGTTGATTCATGTCTTGGCTATTGTGAATAGTGCTGCAATAGAGTTCTGATATCTCTTTCATATACTGACTTCCTTTCTTTTGGATAAATACCCAGCAGTGGGATTGCTGTATCAGATGGTAGATATATTTTTAGTTTTTGAGAAACTGCCATATTGTTTTCCATATTGGCTGTACTAATTTACATTACTAGCACCAGTGTACCAACATTCTCCTTTTTCCATATTCTTGCTGGCATTTGTTATTTTTTGTGTTTTTTATAATAGCCATTTTAACTGACATGATATATCATTGAGGTTTTAATTTGCATTTCCTGATGATTAGCAATGTTGAGTAATTTTTCATATACCTGTTGACCATTTGTTGGTCTTTTGAGAAATGTCTACTTGGAGACTTTGCCCACTTTTTAATGAGATTATTATTATTATTTTGCTGTTGAGTTGTTTGAGTTCCTTATGTATCTCAGTTATCAATCCCCTATCAGATAGATAGTTTGCAAATATTTTCTTCCACCCTATAAGTTGTTTCTTCACTCTGTTGATTGTTTCTTTTGCTGTGCAAAAGATTGTTTCTTTTTAGCTTGTTATAATCCCATTTGTCTAGTTTTGCTTTTGTTTCCTGTGCTTTTGAGGTCTTACTGCAAAAATCTATTTTCACATATCAATGTCCTGAAGTATTTCCTCAATGTTTTCTTCTAGTAGTTTCATAGTTGCAGGTCTGCATTTAAGTCTTAATCCATTTGAGTTGATTTTTATATATGGTGAGAAATAGGGTTTTAGTTTCATTCTTCTGAATATGGATATCCAATTTCCTGGCACCATTTATTGAAGAGACTGTCCTTTTCCCAATGTATATCCTTTGCACCTTTATCAGAAATGAATTGACTGTAACTGTGGATTTATTTCTGGGTTCTCTATCCTGTTCCATTGGTTTATGTGTCTGTTTTTATGCCAGTACCATGCTTCTTTGGTTTATATAGCTTTGTGTATATTTTAAAGTCAGATAGTTCGATGCCTCCAGCTTTGTTCTTATTGTTTAGGATTTCTTTGACTATTCAGCGTCTCTTGTGGTTCCATATGAATTCTAGTACTATTTGTTCTATTTCTGAGAAGAATGTCATTGGAATTTCAGTAGGAATTGCATTAAATCTGTAGATTGCTTTCGACAGAATAGGCATTTTAACAATATTAACTCTTCTAATCAATGAGCATGGGATTTCTTTCTATTTGTGTGTTCTCTTCAATTTCTCTCATAAGTGTTTTATAGTTTTCATTATAGAGATCTCTCTTTTTTGGTTACTTATTCATAGATATTTTATTTTTTGTAGCTATTATAAATGCAATTGCTTTATTGGTTTCTTTTTCAGATTGTTTATTGTTGTCATATATAAATCCTACTGATTTTTATATGTTGATTTTGTGTCCTGTAACTTTACTGAAGTTGTGTATGAGTTCTAACAGTTTTTTAGTGGAATTTTTAGGTTTTTCTAAATATAGAATCATGTTACCTCTGAACAAGGGTAATTTGACTTTTTCCTTTCCAGTTGGGATGCGCTTTACTTCTTTCTCTTGCCTAATTGAGCTGGCTAGGATTTCTATTACTATATTGGATACAAGTGGTGAAAGTGAGCACCCTTGTCCTGTCCCAGATCTCAGAAGAAAGGCTCTCAAGTTTTCCCCATTCAGTGTAATGTTAGCTGTGGGCTTGTCATATACGGCCTTTAATGTTTTGAGGTATGTTCCTTCTATACCCAGTTTGTTAAGAATTTTTGTCCTGAAATGATGTTGAATTGTATTGAATGCTTTTTCAACATCAATTGGAATGATCATATAGTTTTTAATTCTTGATTCTGTTCATGTGATGTATCACATTGATTGATTTGGATATGTTGAACTATCCTTGCATCCCTGTGATGAATTTCACTTGATCATGATGAATGATCTTTTTATTGTGTTGTTGAATTCAGTTTGCTAGCATTTTGTTGAGGATTTTTTGTATCTATCATCAAGGGATATTGATCTGTAGTTCATTAGGGATATTGGTCTATAGTTTTCCTTTTTTTGTGTCCTTTTCTTGTTTTGGTATCAGGATAATACTGGCCTTGTTGAATGAGTTTGAAAATACCCCTCTTCTTCAATATTTTTGAAGAGTTTGAGTAGAATTGTTATTTGTTCTTCTTCAAATGTTTGGCAGAATTCAGCAGTGAAGCTGTCAGGTCCTGGGCTTTTCTTTTATGAGAGTCTTTTTTTTGAGACGCAGTCTCTGTTGCCCAGGCTGGAATGCAGTGGTGCGATCTCGGCTCACTGCAACCTCCACCTCCTAGGTTCAAGCGATTCTCCTGTCTCAGCCTCTCGAGTAGCTGAGACTATAGGTGCCCACCACCACGCCTGGCTAATTTTTGTATTTTTAGTAGAGATGGGGTTTCACCATATTGGCCAGGCTGGTCTCAAACTGCTAACCTTGTGATCTGCCTGCCTTGGCCTCCCAAAGTGCTGGGATCACAGGCGTGAGCCACTGCACCCGGCAGTGAGGCTCTTCAATCTTGTTACATATTACTGCTCTATTCAGGTTTGCTATTTCTTCCTGATTCCATATTGGCAGGTTGTATGTGTCCAGGAATTTACCCATTTCTTCTAGGTTTTCAAGTGTGCTGATGTATAGTTGTTCTTAATAGTCTCTATTTATCCTTTGTATTTCTGTGGTATCAGTTGTAATGTGGGTTTTAAAATTTTATTTATTTGTATCTTCTTTCTTTTTATAGTTAGTGTAGCTACAGGTTTGCCAATTTTGCTTATCTTTAAAAAACAGCTTTCATTTTGTTGTCTCTACTTTTAGTTGCAATTTAATTTAATTTTGCTCTGATTTTTATTATTTCTTTTCTTCTACTTATTTTAGGTTTTTATTGTTCTTGCTTTACTAGTTACTTAAGATGCATTGTTAGGTTGTTTATTTGAAATCTTTCTGCTTTTTTGATGTAGGCATTTATTCCTATGAACTTCTCTCAGTAATGCATTTGCTCTATTTGATAGCTTTTAGTATATTATGTTTCCATTTTCATTTGTTTCAAGGAATTTTTAAATTTCCTTTTAAGTTTTTTATTGAACCCTTTATTGTTCAGGAGTATGTTGTTGAATTTCTATTAATTTGTACAGTTTCCAATGTTCCTTCTGTTATTGATTTTAGCTTTATTCCATTGTGGTCAGAAAAAATACTTGATATAATTTTGATTTTTAAAAAATTTGTTCATACTTGCTTTGTGAACTAACATGATCTATGCTGGATAATGTGCTATGGCTCTTGGAAAAAAAAAAGATTGTTCCGTAGCTGTTGGATGGAATGTTCTGTGTCTGTTATGTTTATTTTTATCTTGAGTGCATTTTAACGCCAGTGCTTCTTTGTTGATTTTCTTTCTTGATAATATGTTCATTGCTGAATGTAGGGTGTTGACGTCCCCTACTACAGATATATTTGGCAAATATTAATATTAAAGATTAGCAAATATTAAATATTAGCAACTATTAATAGACCTAAAGGGAGAGGTTGAATTGCACTCTGTCCTGGCCTGCAGGGTTTCTGTTGAGAAATCTGCTGGAAGCCGTATTGGGAATCTGTTGAATGTGATATGTTTATTTTCTCTTGCTGCTTTGAGCATTTGTTGTTTGTCTTTGATTTTTGCTAATTTGACTGTGATGTGCCTTGAGGATTTTCTCTTTGGGTTGAATTTGATTGGTAATCTCTTGAGCTTCCTGTACCTGGATGGTATTGCCTTCTTCCAGATTCGGGAAAACTTCAGCTGTTATTTTCTTAAATATGCTTTCAAAGTCTTTTTCTGTCTCATATTTTTTCAGGAATTCCTATTATGCAGAGGTTAGTTTGCTTTATGCTGTTCCATAGTTCTAATAGGCCTTCTTTACTCTTTGTTATTCTTCTCTATCATGAGAAGGCTTCACAGAAATACTGGGCTTTGTGAAAAACTGGACCAAGGATTTGGGGTCTTCGCACGGATTGTGCCCCCTGCAGCACTGTGGCACCAGCCAGCCTCTTCAACATGGCATCCCTGCTGATCAAAGTGCAGAGTAGTGGCCAAGATCTGCATGCCAGACAATATGATTAGTGCCCTGCTCTTTGTTTTCAACTCACCTCTTGTGGCTCAGCCCTCTTGGCATTCCCAGTTTCCACAGAATGGTACAGGAGTGGGCTTCTCATGAAGGTTCTTAGACCAATGTGGAAATCAAGCATCTACCTCCAATTTTCTCCTCTCATCTCAGAAACTGTGGATCTAGGGAAGTTCTCTGTGAGTGGCATTATGCCAGCTTAGGGTGGGGGCCGTGCAGTCTGAAATGACTCTTTCTTTTATGAATCATGGCTTCTCTTGATTCTGTGGGTCCAGTGAGTTTCTCCGTTTTCCCTCTGAGCTCTAGTGAATTCAGAGTGAAATCTTGTCTTTGAATAGTTTCTAGTTGTATATTTGTGGAGGAAGTGATGCTGAGAGATAGTCTATTCTGCCATCTTGCTGACATCTCTCCTACCATAGATCTGTTTTTTAAAAATATTATTATTACCATTTGTTCAAGATAGAACTGTGCTTAAACCTAGGCAGGCCATTTCTTAGCTGTGTAATTTTGAGAGCCAGATGCCTAATTTTTGTAAGTCTCAGTTATAGTTCCATCACAAAGTTCTTATGACTACTAAACAAATTGACAGAAGTAAAAAACCTAGAATACTTCCTGGAGTATGGAAGGTGCTTAACAGAAGTCAGATTCCCCAGCATTAATATGAACGTGATGGACTAGAGAAGAATTTATTTTATTTTCCACATTCTCAAGCTTGATCGAGAGCAATGCTGTCTGACAGAAATATAATTTGAGCCACATATATAATTTAAAATTTTTAGTGGCCACATGTAAAAAGCAAAAATAAGCAAGTACAATTAATTTGAGTAGTATATTTTAATTTATACAAAATAATATTTCTTTTCTTTTTTTTTTTTTTTTTTTTTTTTTGAGACGGAGTCTTGCTCTGTCGCCCAGGCTGGAGTGCAGTGGCGTGATCTTGGCTCACTGCAAGCTCCGCCTCCCGGGTTCACGCCATTCTCCTGCCTCAGCCTCCCGGGTAGCTGGGACTACAGGTGCCCACCACCACGCCTGGCTAACTTTTTGTATTTTTAGTAGAGACCGGGTTTCACCCTGTTAGCCAGGCCGCTCTCCATCTCCTGACCTCGTGATCCGCCTGCCTCGGTCTCCCAAAGTGCTGGCATTACAGGAGTGAGCCACTGCGCCCAGCACAAAATAATATTTCAATATTAAATAAATTTAAAATCATTGATGAAATATTTTATATTTTTGTTGCTAAATTTTTGAAATCTGGGACGTATTCTACACTTACAGCACATCTCAATTTAGACACTAAATTTCCATCTGGAGTACTTGATCTGTGTTTAGATTTCATAAAATTAACAGTTGACCATGAAAAGTCACATACACAAGTTGTTCCTTTAAAGTTTTTCAATAACCAAATTGAGTGTCAGTTCTTAAATTTAACTTTTTTTCCTAATAAAAGTGAAAATTCTAGCTCCCCAGTTACAGTAACCATATTTCAAGTGCATGATAACTATGTGTCACTAGTGGCAACCCTATTAGATGGGGTAGATCTGTACCTCCATGTGTAATTAGCCAGGAAAAGGAGTACAATAGGAACTTTCTGCTCCCTCTGATTCCAAGGAACCTCTGGATTAGCTTTCTTAGTTCAGGTTGAGAGCTGTAGATGTCGCTGTAACTATTAAAGGTGGAACATGGAATAAAAATGCCTATTTTTATGAGAATCTTGAGACTAGAGCTAATGTTGGAAGTAGTCCCTGATCTCACTGGATTAGTGCTAACAAGAAGAAAGCTTTAGGCTGGATGAGGCCTAACCAAAATTCAAGAGATTCAGAACCAGATGCAGTCTGTCATTCAGCCAAGTGGACTGCTGTATAGAAAGCTGAAGTTCATTTGTTGGACTGTTTACCAAATATTTGGTTGGTAAGAAATACAGGAATGGCCATAGTCCTGAAACACAAAATAAAAATTGGGAATAAACTACAAGTTTTTTAAATCTTATTTTTAGATAGAAAAAAAATTGAGAGGCCGGGCGCGGTGGCTCACGCCTGTAATCCCAGCACTTTGGGAGGCCGAGGCGGGCGGATCACGAGGTCAGGAGATCGAGACCATCCTGGCTAACACGGTGAAACCCCGTCTCTACTAAAAATACAAAAAATTAGCCGGGCGTGGTGGTGGGCGCCTGTAATCCCAGCTACTCGGGAGGCTGAGGCAGGAGAATGGCATGAACCCAAGAGGCGGAGCTTGCAGTGAGCCGGGATAGCGCCACTGCAGTCCAGCTTGGGCGAAAGAGTGAGACTCCGTCTCCAAAAAAAAAAAAAAAAGAAAAAAGAAAAAAAATTGAGAGAGCTTTGGAGACATATGGAAAAACAGCTAATTCAGGGAAGGCAGCAGAAGTTGTTCTCTGGGACAGTGGTGAGATGTTACTTGAAATCCTAATCAGTCTTTATCCCTTCTTATACTAACTGGTGGGTGGAATCCAAAGAGAAAGATACTTAGAAAGTGTCTGGCTGGGATAAATGAAAAGATCTGCAACTTGGAGCCTAAAGAGGTCATACTAATCCTGCACAAATACAAGATAGGTTTAATTATGGGGCAGAAATGTAAATACTTGACATAAAAGAGAAATGTAGTTTGGAGTAATAATAGTCAATGTTTTTGTCTGACCTCCAAAAGGCCTAATGCTAATAAACTTTTATTCACATAATGAGGTTTCATGGACAAAAGGAAAGAATGGTAGTCCCACCCATTGTTCCCCTAAAATTAAAAGAGAAAGACATATACCAGCTCTATGCATAGACGAGTACACAGAATATAGTCCACTTCATATAAGCAACATCAGAGATCGAATTAGAATTCTCCCCTTTGGCATTTTTATGATAACTTGAGAAAACAGGTAGTTAAATATGTAAATAATTTGTTTCTGCATTGAATATGTAAGTTTATATAAGCTTTCACAGACTTCTATCATTTTAGGTAGACCTTTTTCTTAAATGCTAAAGTCAGTCTTGGCTCAGTGCCTATCTGAGATACAGACAGGGTACAATGATTTGCCCAAGACCAAACATATACCTAATGGCAGAGCTGGAACTAGAATTCAGGTCTTCTGTGTCTCTTATTTGTCCCATGCTTTTCCCAATAGAGAAAATCTGTGCTTTCTACAATTAAATGTGGTAATGTATACATTTAAAGGTAGATCAAAAGCCAAGATTACTACCACAACAAATTTGAAATTTGTGTTTATGGAAAATTTCCTACGAATATATACTCCCAAGTTATTCTGAATATGTAGTCTAGAAATCTGATTGCTATTTAAAAGCCCTCATATATTACCTTAATACATAATGACTTTATAATCTGTTTTAATTAGGGCAGCAGAGTGTAGTGAAAAGAGATTATATTCTATCAGTTTCTAATTGGGTGATCTCTCTGAAACTCTTTTCTTACATTTTACATTTATTTTTCAAAAATGTTCCTTTCAAATTTTTTCTATAGTACACTCTACTTTCTAGTGTGGTATATAATTTACATATTTATTATGTTTCTTGTTTTTTTTTATCTATTCCTCAATTAAAATGTAAACTCTACAGAACAGTTATTTTTTTGAAGGACTCTCAAATAACTTTATTTCACACATTCTAATACTCAGTTTGTGAAGTGAAACATCTCTTTGACTAGAAGAAAAAACAGAAAAGGCTGAAAAAGTGTGGCAGAACACACTACGATGGTAGCCTTGTATTGTGTATGTCAAAATAAAATATCTCAGTTAAGACAGTGCATATACCAACCCTCCCTACTGCCTGAGCGGAGGTTTCCTTTCTCCTTTCCTTTTTTATTTTTTTAAATTTTACTTTAAGTCATGGATACATGTGCAGAATGTGTAGGTTTGTTAAATAGGTATACTTGTGCCATGGTGGTTTGCTGTACCTATCAACACATCATCTAGGTTTTAAGCCTTCCATGCATTAGCTATTTGTCCTAATGCTCTCCCTCCCCTTGCTCCCCACCCCCCACATCCCGACTGGCCTTGGTGTGTGTTGTTCCTCTCCCTGTGTCCATGTGTTCTTATTGGAACAGTTATTTTCTGAGAGCTTCTACTAAGCACTGTTCATGTGAAATACTTGATTTGTGTTTAGATTTCATGAAACTAACAGTTGAAAAGTAGATTAATGTACACACATTTTTCCAAACATACTCAGAAAATTTTTGTCCAATTTAATAAAAGAATGAGTTTTCTTTTCAGCAGAATAGTTAGAACTAGAAAACAAATTCACATTTTAGAAATTCCCTGGCACTGTGTAAAGGAGTTGGGGAACAGTGTGGGAAACTGATGGTGTAGACAACCTCCTGTTTCTGTCTTTCCTAGAGAATCACTGACTACATGGCAGGATAGCAGAGGGCCAGTTATCTTCCTTTGCCTGGAGATGAAAGGGCTTAAGGAAGAAGTAGGGAAGAAATCATCACAAGAGGGTGGAAGCCAGGAGATGGGAAGCAGTTGGAGGAGAGAGGTCGGGAGTGAGGAGTCTGGAGAGAGGAGTCTGGAGAGAGGGAGACTTCAAGCTGTTATGGTGTATGAAAGATGTAAGAGAGGAGAGAAAATAAAAAAGGAGGTATTTTAACATCTAGGATTCTAGATTACAATTAGAATATTTTACATTCTCTTTGAGAGAGAGCAATGATTGGAATTCCTATTTAATTACTTTGGGTAGGTTTTTTCTATATGCAAACTGGAGATAATTTCTGCAAGAAGGTGGTGATGAGGATTAAATTATTCTTCTCTACTTTTTCTCCACTACTTCACTTCACCAAAGCCCTGCCCTGTAACTATTGTCTCCAAAGTATCCTACTGGCTATTGTCCAGGTACTTATAACAGTGAATAACAATTATTTGTTTGCCTTTGCGATTGTGAGCTCCTTACAGTCAGTGTTGTGTCTTCTTTGTCTTCAGTTTTCAGGCCAGGCAAGGGTCTGATACATTCTACATCCGCAATACATGTCTGATAAATGAAGGAATAAGTAAATGAATGAATGGGAATGGCCAACATTAACATAATAAATGAGGACTCCCTTCTGTTTTCTTCAAACCAATTAAAGCCAAATCCTAATATATTGAATTGCTTCCAACTATTTCTTACAGTTCTGGTTTACTTAATTTAATAAATTCGCCTACCAGCCACAGATATTTACTGAATTCCCACTCTGCCCTGTCATTGTGATAGATGTAAGGCATACAAAGTTAAAGACAGAGCTTCTCTCCTTAGACAGCTCACATTCCTCAGAGAACCCAGACATGCAAACCAACATCTTCAGGAGAGTACTGCAATTGCTATGATGGAAAATATACTAAAGGTGGTGAGAGCAAAGGAAGAAGGCTTGAGGATTCTGGGGGGGATTGGGAAAGGCACCTCCAAGGAGATAGTCTCTATGGTGAGATGTGAAGGTGGCATAAGAGTTTGACATATAAGCAGGAGGGACCATTTATACACAGAGAACAACGAGCATAAAACATAGAGCCTTAGACAGCAAGGAGTATTGTGCATCTACAAGATGTCATGTTTGGGAGCTTGATATAAGCTCCTCGTGATCTTACCTGCACCAGCTCAAGCCTTACCTCCTGCCACTTTTCATATATAATATTTTCAATATATAAATATATAAAAATATTTATATAAATATAATAATGTATAAGTAATTATATATTTTTAATATATAAAAATATTTATATTGAGAATTTTGTATTTTATCCTCAGGGCAATAAGCAGGCACTGCTGGATTCTGAGCAGAGGAGATCAGATTTGTGTGCTTGAAAAGGTTACTCTGACAGTGATGAGGAGGTTGGGTTGGAAGGGGTCAATAAGATTAGGAGACCTGTGAGTCAGGAGATAACTTTGATAGTCCATCTATGACTGAAATAAAGACTTATGAGTGATATTCTGAAAACAAAATAAAAAAAGAATTAATGATTAAATATAGCCTGGAAAGCATAAGAGAGGAAAAGATAGCTTGTTTGATTTCCAGCTTTCTTACTTTGGAAATTTGGGTGGTATTTTAGTTTCTTTGGTTGCCTGAACAAAGTGCCACACTGGGTGACTTCAAACAACACAAATTTGTTTTCTCACATTTCTGGAGGCTACATATCTAAAATCAGAGCATCAGGAGGCGAATGATCCCTCCAAAATCTATAGAGGAGAATCCTTCCTTGCCTCTTCCTAGTTTCTCATGGTAGGTGTTGATCTTTGGAATTCTTGGGCTTGCATCTGGATTACTCAAGTTCCTGCCTCTGTTGTCACAAGGCACTTTCCAAATGTGTCTCTCTCTTCACATGGCCGTCTCCTCTCTGGGTCTTTCTCCTCTTCTTATAAGGAGACTAGTCTTATTGGATTAAAGGGTCCATTCTATTCTAGTATAACCTTATCTTAACTAATTATATCTGCAATGACCCTCTTTCCAAATAAGGTCACGTTCTGAGGTGTTGGAGGGCAACATAACTTTTGGTGGAACACAATTCAGACTGTAACAGGTGGTTACCAAGATAAGGAACTCAGAAGAAGGAGTTGATTGGTTCAGAGTAGTGCTGGGAGAAAGAGAATGTGTTTGCCTTTGGACACATTAAATGTAAATTACCTGTGGGATATCTAAGAGGCATTGTTAGAACATAGTTGATTAAATGGAAATGGAGTTCAAGAGTGGGTATAGGTTGTAGACCTACATGTGAGCTTCATGATAATTGACAATGTGCACAGGGGTTAGATAGAAAATGTAGATGAGATGGTGTGAGGGACAAGAAAGAAAAAGGGAGATCCTAATGCTTAAAGCAGAGCAGAAAAATGAAAGGACAAAAAAGTCCTGAGGAGGAAAGGCTGGAAAGGCAAGAGGAACATGATGGAAACAATGTCAGGTGGAACTCTCTCTTGAAAGTGATCATAAGGATGCTCAAGTCAGGTTTAAGCAAATGGAAGGAATACGTTGGCTTGCATAATCAAAAAACCCAGAGATAGAATTGAGGCAAGGCTAAATATAGAGATAAAATGATTGCAACAGTCTTTTTCCTCTCATTTCGACTTTCCTCCACGTTGGCTTCATTGGTAGACTCTAGTCAGTGTTAAACAGTTGCCAGCTTCTATAATTCTGCTGAAAAAGAGTGTGTCTTAGTTGTCCCAATGAAAATCCTGGGATTGCCATTCACTGGCTTTGGTTGGGTCATTTGCTCATCCCTGAACCAATCACTGTGGCCAAGGACAGGGGATACTCTAATTGGTGAGGCCTGAGTCATGTGCCCAGTCTAGCCCCTGGGTGGTAAATTCAGCATGGCTGAAAGTGAGGAAGGTGTAGCTCCCTAAAGCAAAGCCAGGTACTCTTACTAGAAAAAGGGAGAATACAGTTCTGGGTGACATAATGGCAAATGTTCACCACAAAATCCAAGGAAAGAGGGAGTTTCAAGAATAAAAGGCTAATCAATGGTAAGGAATGCTACCAATAAGTTAAAGAAAGATAGGATTTTGACAATGGGGATGTCATGCCTGACTTTTGCCAAACTATGATGGAGTGATGGTGGGGGCAGATATCAGGCAGCAGCAGGTTAAGATTTTAAGATTGGAAAAAAGAAAGATGTCTTGGAGACAGTCAATATGGTTCTTGTGTCTAGTCACTGGACACTGAATGGGCAGAGCAATAAAGAACAGTACTTAGAGGGAGAGTCAACACCAATAGGGCTTTTATTTATTTATTTAAACCATGGATGAGACTCAAATTTGTTTATATGCTGATATATAAAGTCAACATAGGCACTTGCACATAAGGTGCAGAAAATAATTGTTGCGATGAGAGCCATTATGGTGGCTGAATAATTCCCTCCTCCCATAAGAATATCCCTGTTCTAATTTCTGGAGCCTGTGAGTATGCTGACTTATGTAGAAAAGAGACTTTGTAGATGCAGTTGAGCTATGGATCCTATGGCGGGGATATTATCTTGAATAGTCTGGGAAAGTCCCATGTAATCACAGTGATTATTATAAGAGGGAAATGGAGATGGAAAAGAGAGAAGATGCTGCATTCTGGCTTTGAAGATGAAGCCATGAGCCAAAGAATGCAGATGGCCTCTAGAAGCTGGAAGAGGCGATGGAAGAGATTTTCCTTGAGAATCCTCAGAAGAGTCTTCAAGTAGACCTATTTTTAGAGTTCTGGCCTCCAGAACTATAAGATAATAAAAATGTGTTGCTTTAAGCCAATAAGTTTATGATAATTTAGTATGGCAACCATAACATATCAATATAGCCATAGTAATAAATTCCTGAAATCTACAAATATAACTTGGCATACACATTTTAAATATGCAAATGGCCTCTTCTCTTGCAGAGCAACCAGTCAGGTTTAGATACGTTTCTAGAGACAATATAGGGCAAACATATACACTGCATGGTCAAATGTAAATATATTATGTAACAGTATACTCAAACATATAGCAGGCCCTGTGATTCACTAAGAGATTTGCAAGTTCTTTTCAATCTTCTAAATTTAAATAAAATTCTAGTACTCAGCTAGAACATTATAGAACTAAGCAGACTACTGTATTTTTATACATGGATCCTCTGAGAATAGTTAGATATTTCTGAAGTAAAAAATAAAATCAGCCTGATGGTGTAAGTAGGGCTCCTAGCTTTAAAATTATGTATAAGATCACTAAAGTTCAGGGAAAGCTGATTGATTTAATCTTATTTCTGGTAACCACACAGGTATTTCTATTGCAAGAACATCCTTTTGTAGAGCTGTAACGAGATTGTCTTGCTGTCTCTTTTAATCTCAGAGCTTAGATTGTCCTGTATCATTTTCTTGTTTTGAGGGTCACTTTTTTAACACGGGAGCATAACTTCGTGAGAGCCCTCCTTCTTTGGAAATACAAAAATAGCACAACTTCCCATTATATCTCAATTTCATTATAGGACAATTTTAGGCTGACCCAGGCTGTGTGATTCACTAATGTCCAATCATCATATGCAGTGGTGATAGCAGTACTAAGAGCCAGCCTCGGCTTCAACTGGAAAATCTGCAGACAAATGTTTATTTTATGAGGATGCTTCTTCTTCCCCCATTGAGTCTATAGCATGTAACTAATGCTGGCTGAATTGAGCACTAAAGGCAATATCCAGAAACCATTCACATTTCCTGGTTTTTATTATTTACTGTGGGTACATGCACCACATTATTTCTTGCATCCACATTTCATAGATAATCGCACCATTGTAAGTTCCTAAGCCACCAAATGTATGGCCATCAAGGCTGCACACTTAAATTATGTAGTCCTTTCCCCCAAAAATATGTACAAGAGTCCACCTCTAAAGCCAGCAAACTCACGCATAGCCTGGAAATACTCTCTGAGAAGTGTCTCTGCCCCAAATGCTACAGCAGCACCATTATTACTCCTATAACCCACCTAATCTGTCCTGCTAGTGGGGCTCTAAGTTCTTCCTGCCTGTTTTTGCAATTTTTGTTTAGGACTTGTTCTCCATTTCAACTCATAATCTTGCAGAGGTCAGAGATTATGTCTGAAGATTTTTCCCTCACCTCCCAATAATAATGACTGGTATTATCACCAGTGTATACTAATAGTGGCTTCCATGTTTTAAATGCTTGCTATGTGCCATGCTCTATACACACCTTATCTCTTTGTCATTCTCACTTCAGTACTTTGAGTTGGATATTATCACACCCATTTTACAGATGATGAAATGGAGGCTCGTGGAAAGGTGGTATCTTGCCCAAGGCCATAAAGCTAATATGTTTAGGGACTGGGATTGAAAATCAATTAATCAGAACACTTTGCATTGCCTTTCACAGTATTAGTAGCACTGAATTAATCATGAATGGGTGGTTAACTTTTTCAAATTCACCTATACAACTTTTAAAAAAGGAATAAATGTTGGGTGTGAAAAATAGTAGAATAATTCAATGTTGGAGGATCGAGCCCAGTAGTATTTCCTTAATATGCAATAATATAGACGATCCAGAGCTAAGGGTTGTCTTGTTGGAGACCAATTCAATCCTTGCTTAATTTTTACAGCAGTTTAGGGCCATGTCTTTTTTGGTGAAAAAGGTGAAAAATGCTGGACAAGAGCAGGCAGAAGGGCTCTGGGCTTCTGACCAAGAGTTTGACCCTTTAGGAAGCATCTTAAAGTGGGGACTTCTAGGCCTTTTCCCTCCAGCAAGTGATCAAGCTTTCAGGGATGGCAGGGCCAGCTTCATGGAGAGTGTGTGACCAGTGCAGTCACACAAGTCCCATACTCAGAGGGGGTCCCCAGTCTTGGGGCTTAATGTTCTGTGATCACCATCTCAAAATTCTTAAGAATTGTATTTTGGAATTAGTGCGTAGTAAGTGAAGACTGATAACAGCGGTGTGTGTGCTGAAGCTTGGGACCTTGGCTCACAAATAGGTTCCCCAGATGGGGGCTTGGCCAGTGACCCTCTACCCTGGGGATGGAGTTGGGGGAGCTTCTGCGCAGATTCAAGGAGAGTCAGGGTCCAGAACATGCCCCATGTGTCTCATGTGCTGAATTATGGGTGGGACCCCCTGATGACTGTGAATGTATGTACTTGTCTTGTGAGTGTCCCCATGACCAAGACAATGTGAGGCTGAATAGCAAATTAAGAAAATACCATGACAAGTCAAGGAAGTTTATAAAAAGAAGGCAAAACCATTTTACCTGATTTTTGTCCAAGGGGCCTCACACTTTCATTTTGTATTAGAGCCAACAAATTGTGTAGGTCTGCCTGAAGAAGCATTCATAGCTTTTGGAGGGAAAATATGGCTGCCAAAGTTGGCTGAATGGGTCATTTTTTTACTTGTCAGTCAATGTTTTGATAGACATTGTATAGATGTCCATCAATCCTCATTTCTTCACTGGGGACTTTTGCAGGAAGTTATTGTATTTCCCAGCTTCTCCTGTAGTTAGGTTTTGGCCAATAAAATGTGAGTTTAAGTGTGGCCAGGTCATGAAAAGTCTCACATGGTCCTTATTCTCACTTTTCGTTCAAGTAGTGGTTGGACCCCAAGGAGCCCCAGAAGATGGAACTGACACAAGATGAAAGAAGACAGCTGCCCCAAACAACAAGTAGAAGGCTGCCTACCAACTGTGAGTAAGAAATACAAATTGATTCTGTTAAGTCACTGAGAATTTGTGGTTGTTACAGATGTAGGGTAACTAACCCAGTTAATTTTCAACAATAGGGCATTTTTCGCATGTAGGGTCTTCAAACTACACCTCTCAAACCAAATATGACAAACATCTGCTTTTGTTAATAAAGCTTTATTTGGAAAACAGCCATGTAGATTTTAAAAAAATGAATTGTCCTTTGCTGTTCTCACACTTCAATGGCATAGTTGAGTAGTTGGGACAGAGACATATGTCTCACAAATCTTAAAACTATTTACTATCTGGTTTTTTATAAAACAGTTCATAAATTGCTGATCTTATACATGACTGAAGAGGTGGTTGCATTGACTTCCATTAAATGGTCCTTGCAGATTCGAATGCTTTTTAAGATAAACAATAATATATTCTGGACAGTTTGCTTTTGATTCTTACTCTTTCCTCATTTCTACAGTTAGAGCAAGTTGTTCTGCAAAGAGACGTAAGTTTAAATTAAATAAGATTCTTGCTATTGTGCAGTTGATCATGATAATGACAACAACAATAATATGAGTAATTATAACTGCTACAGCATTTATTGAGCTATATGCAATGTGTTAAATGTTCTATAAGTGCATTGTTTGACTTAATACTCACAATGTTCTATGAGATAGGAATTATTCCATTTTATTGATAAGAAAACTGAAGCTCATAGAGGTTAGTGACTTGCCCAGTATCACTTGGGCAAGAGGAGAGGCTGGATTGATACAATGCCTATGAGTCCTGGATGGCCTGTGTAGCACCATTATCTCAGTGGCTGGAGAGGACACAGTGCCTAAGACGATTTCTTTATAATCATGAGTATCTCTTTTTGAGCCACTAGAAACTGCTTTTTCAGATCTGTAAGTGAATAAAAAAAGTTAAACCTCCCAGAGACAATAAGCAAGACCATAGCATTTGACAATATAAACAGTTCTTTAAAACAGAAAGCAAATGGACAAGTGGGAATTACTTTAGTAACGTGAGAAAACAGAAACCTAACTACTCTCAGGGGAGAAAAGAAGAAATCTATTATTGTCACCAATCCCCAAGAAGGCTTAGGAATTAGAGATATCATGTACCTGTAAATGTGGAGTTAAAGATGGGACTGAAAAATACCAGGAGTGGTTTTAAAAAGATGAGTTAGATCCCTCAGATTCATTTTCTCACCCCAACCAGCCAAGTGACTACCCCTGTTCTACCCAGCCAGGAGACATTTAACAGGAGATGCTGAGTCCTCAGTGATGTAGACACAATGGAGTTAGTAAAGGAAGAAGTTGAAATCAGAAAGATCAGGTGAACACATACTCAGTGGTGAGAACAGCAACAGGCTGCTTCCCAAGCTCTGCTTCCAGAATCCTGGTATCAAGGCTTTTACCTTCCAGGCAAGATAATTAGAGTTCCTTTTTGGGGAAACATAATCTCCCAAGAATAAAAACCTATAGACATGGACATTAGAGAGTCATCCAACAACTCCCAGTAACCTTACAGTGAAACTCACTAGTCATCAAACTGGCCTATAGAAATATAGCTTTTTACTGCTTCACTCATTTATTTACTTATTTATTATTAAAATTATTAATTTTTTTTAAAGACAGGGTCTCACCCTGTCACCCAGGCTGGGGTGCAGTGGAGTGATGATAGCTCACTGCTGCTTCAAACTCCTGAGTTCAATGATCCTCCTCCTCCAGTCTCCTGAGCAGCTAGGACTACAGGTGTGTGCCATCATGCCTAGCTACTTTTTTGTTTCTTGTAGAGAGGAAGTCTTGCTATGTTGCCCAGGCTGGTCTTGAACCTCTGGCCTGAAGAGACTCTTCTTCCTCAGCCTCCCAAAGCTCTGGAATTACAGGCATGAGTCACCACTCCCTGCCTTGCTTCACCCTTGGGTATAAAAAATAGACTATGATTACCATATTTTTAAGAGAGTTCTCTAAATTATAGAGATCAAAACAAACAGATTAAAAGAAGATTTGAAGGAAAAAAAGACAATGAAGGGAGCAACATAAAAAACAAATTAAAAACTATAAATGATTTCCTTAAATAATAAAAGAACAGGATGCTATTTTGAAAATTAGAAAGCCAGAAGGAGCCTTGCACATTAGAAATAACACAACACTTTTAAAAATAAATAGAAAAATAAAGATAAATTTAAGAAAATCTCCCCAGAAGAAAAACAATCACAAATCAAGGTTGGAGACAAAGTTCAGGAAGTTTTTCAAGATGTAAAACAGAACACAAACTAATATGTTCAACTTTTTGTCAATAGGAGTACTAGAATGAGAGAACAGAAACGCAAGGGAAGAAATTATAGAGGAAAAAATAATGATGAAAATTTCGAGGAATTTGTGTGTATATAGAAGGACATGGACATGGGTATACCTATTGAAAGAGCCAAATGAATGCTGAGCTCACAGAATGGAAACAAAACAAAACATGAATTTCAGAACACTGGGAATTACGAAGATCAGGAACAAGAATAGAATTGAACTTCAGCATAGCAATATTTTAGGCTAGAAAGAGCAGAGCAGCACCTTTATGATTCAGAGAAAATGATTTCCAACCTGTAAGATCTCAAAAAATATACTACCTATACTTCCTTTTTCAAGAAGCTACTGGAGATATTAATATGTCCACAATAATAAGAGAGTAAATCAAGAAGGAGAAAGCTATGGGATCTAGTTAAGTGGGAATCCAACCCAGGAGAGGGACAAATGAGATTTCCAGGATAATACTTGTGCGGTAGACCCAGAGTCCAATTGGTCCAGAAAAAGAAGGTGGAGGAAATTTTGGGAAGAATTTCTCCAGGTTATATACTTATATATTACAGATGGTTTACCTCATATGTTTGATTAAACTTTCTGCTATGTCAGAGTGTTTGAGGGAAGAATTTTTGATAAATCCATAGAAAACTAGCCAAAAAATAAATAAAAATAATTAACTCCAGGTGGAAAATTGGGTTAAAAAGAAAAATATATAGACTGCCACATGTCTTATCTATAAACAATTTTCATGTAGAAAACAATGTAAAAAGTATTGACTTCTTAGAAATTGCTATATAACTATTGAAAATATGGGTGAAGAAAGTATGTGTTTGTTTTGGTAATGGTATAATAGAAATAAACCTTCCTCTTTCTAATTAGAAAGTCACTAAACAATGTCTAAAATAAAAAATCATGAAAGTTCCATATAAAATTACAATTTAAATAAGGATTTAGTGACACAAAAGATAATAATAACTTAAAAATAGTAAACTTTAAAAGGTCAACCTATTGTCTCTGGAAAACCATGCTAAAGGGTAGAGACAGATGAGGCAGGAAAATGATAGTTTCTATGATAGATACTGTAGAATCACTTGACGTTTTAAGTTGTGTATATGTGTTATTTAGAAAAACTAAAATTAAATTTAAAAAAACAGCTAGTGGCCAGTAAACGAATAAAATATTTTCTTTATTAATAGACAAAAAGATTTAAACTATAGCCAAAATGAGAGACTTGTTTCAAGCTGTAATAGAATGGCATGTATCAGATCAACTCTTTACTGATAGAATTCAAAATAAAGCTGTGTAAAAACATTAGAAAGTGCTGAAGGCAGTCAAGAGTCCACAGAAGAGATAAACACATTTGGGTAGGCCTGGAATTCTCTGCTGTTTTTCCCTCCAGATATTTGTTGATCCACAAGCTACACATAGTAAGGCCAAGAAGTCAGACACAAAGTGGGAAGTAAGAAGCTAAAGTATGATGCCAAGCTGTTGACTTTTTTACAATTCTGAAAAGGTTAAAAAGTTAAACCCTGGCGTCCAGGGCCTGCCAAGAAAAAAAAAAAAGCTCTTGTTGAAAACTTGGGCTTTCTCTTGAAACATCTGAAAGGTTAAGCCCTTGGATTAAAGACAGCCAGAATAATAGGCCAGCCGTCACAAAGACTGATATCTGGCCTGAAATCATCTCAATCTATGACTGCATCAAGACGTCTAACTCCTATAAATACCTACCAGAAAAATCATACATTTTCTCTAAAGAAATATATTATTCATAGCCTCTATAATATTTCTTATATGATATCTGACATTCATGTAAAAATTTACCAGCAATGCCAAAGGTAGGACCAAAAATGATCAAAACCCAACACAAAATACCAACAATGGAAATTGACCAATATACAGTTGATCTAGATATTGGAGTTTAACACAACACAGAGTTCACAGAGTTTAAAATAAATGTAACAACATTTATTTTAGTATGTTTTTTTAAAAAATGGATGACAATGTAAACATTTTACCAGAAAGCTGACATCTATAAAGAATCATATTGAAATTATAGACTAAGATAATAAAATTAAGAACTCAATATTTAGATTTAAATACAGTTTAAATACGTAAGAAGAGAGAATCATTCAACTGAGATATAAATCAATGGCAAATTTTCAAACTGAGGGATTGAAGGAGAAAAAGAAAAATCAATGGAAAATATATAAACAAGCATAGAAGATAAATAAGGTATACTGAGATATTCTAATGTATGACTGAAGCTAATACACATGTAATTGAAGTTCCACCAGAAAAAGAGAAACAACAAGTTGTAGAAGTTAACATTTAACAAGATAAAGGCTAGAAATTTCCCACAGTTAATCATACTAACAAATTTTCCAAACGTAATGATGGCTTATGAGGTTCAAGATGCACTATGAATCTCAAGAAGAAAAAAATGCAAAGGAAATCACAGATGATAGCACACATTAACATTTCTGAAAAAAATGCATTACCTTCAAAAGAGCAATAAAATAATGATAGCAGACTGATTAAAGGAAATGATGGATACCAAAAGACAGTAGAATAACATTTTTGAAATGAAAACAAAAACAAAAACCTACCAACCAAGTATTCTCTATTTGGCTAAAAAAAAAAAGCTTTATTTACAAGACAAAAGGAAGATGTTTTAAGTCCATTAAACTGATAGAATTTGTTGCAAGCAGTTCCAGCCTAAAACAAACACAGACAGAAGGGAAATTATTTTTATGGAAAGAAGAAAACAGGAGGGAAGGAAGAGCAATAAGCAATAAAAAGAGTGAATATGTGGGGGGCAAATCTAAATAAACACTGAATATGTAAAATGATAAGTCATGGAGGATTCACAGATTCAAATCTGTGCATCATACATAGATTGCAAATACATGTTAACACAAAAAGTGGAAGGGGAGTAAATGACGTTAGCGTCCAAAGGTTTTTGAGGAAAAAGACTCAAAACGGCTTATATAAACAATATATCCAAATGGTCAATAAATTGATGAAAAGATGATCAACATCATCAGAGAAATGCAAATTAAAACTTCAATGATATATAAATACATACATTTGAATGTCAAAGGCAAAACAAATTCAAAAATTGAGAATTCCAAGTGTTGGTGAGATTGGAGCACCTAAGTACTCTCACTGCTCATGGAAATATAAATGGGTGCAACCACATTGTCAGTTTCTCCTGAAGCTGAAAATATGTGTATTTAGCGATCCCACTGAAAGGCACATGCCAATATAGAAGCATAGCTGTGTGCACCAAAATAATAATAAAAAGTGTTACTTTATCATTATTAGTAATAACTCAAATCGAAAACAACCCAAATGTTCATCACAAGTAGAAAAGAGCATTTATCTTTAAATGGTATAATCGTGCAACAACTGACAAAAATTTTTTTTGCTTGACCAGGAGTCAGGCTCCTGAACCTTCTCCTGGGCCCATCTGTGTACTTCCTTGTAAAATTCAGTTTTTGCATGAACCCTGCTAAGTCAGTTTAGCAAGATCGCCCCCACCCTTGATACCTGATCAGGTTTCTCATCCTCCACCACCCTCCAGGTGATGTCTGATCACCCTAGGCTGTTTTTAGCAAGAATCCAGTTAAATCAGTTTAGTCAGAATGTCCCCTATCCCTGATGTTTCCTTTTAGTAATTTTCCACCCACTGATCCCTACCCTGCTCCTTGGCTATAAATTCCCACTTGCCCAGACCATGATCAGAGTCGAGGCCAATCTCTCTCCCCCAACTGCAAAATCTCATTGCAGTGTTGCTTATACCTATTGCTAAGAACTGCATAAAGCCTTCCTTACTGTGGTTTAACAACAATCACTGAATCACTTTTTTTCTTTAACACAATATAGCAATATAATAATGAAAATGAACAGAGCACTGCTGCATGCAACAATAGGAATGATTCTGTTGAGTGAAGAAAGCAGATACAAAAGAACACTTACTGTATGATTTCATATATGTAAATTTCAAAACCAGGCAATATTAATCTATGGTAATATAAGTGATTATAATGGGTATTTTGATGGGAGAATTTGGTGACTGACAGGGCGATCAAGGGGCATTTCTGGCAGAGTAGTGGAAGTGGGGGCAGCTGGTAATGTTCTGTTTTTTCACCTGGATAGTAGTTACATAGGTGTGTTTAAAAATTCATTGATCATGATTTATAAATTTTGTCTGGATATGTAAGCTCTACAATTAAGAAGTTTACTTGGAAAAAGAAATAACATAAAAACATGTTTACAGTATGATCCCAATTTTATTAAAAAATATTATAGACTAAGGGAAATGATGTGAAGATATATAGAAGAAAATTGACAGTTGTAGAATTATTGAGTTCTATTTTTGTGAATTTACATATTTTTCTTAACTCTATAATGTATATTTTAATCATGAAAAATTAAAACTTAAAAATTACAACACTGAAATTTGTAAATTTGTAAAAGTTAAAAGTTGTAAATTGAGACATCTGATTATTAAAATATGTCTACCTTTATATTCAAGCAAGCCCACTGCTGAGAATTTATCCCAAGGCAACAAATGGACAAATATATAAATATCTTTATGCAGGGATGTTAATTTTAGCTTTGCTTTTAACTATCAAAATGGAAACTATTGAAATGTCCATTAAAAGAAGGTTGACTCAATGAAATATAATACATACTCAGAATGGAATGCTACACAATCTTTCAAAATGATCACTTGGATCTATATTTATTAATATGGAATGCACTTGCATTATAGAATAGTATGTATAGTATCATATTTCATAATTATGATAAATACATGTGTATTATATATATGTATTGAGATAGAATAATATTGGTTGTCTGGGTAGTGAGACAGTGACTGGATAGTGACAATTACTTTTTTTTCATTCTTTTCAGTATGTTTGATTTTTATTTTACAATAGTATGAATAACTTTTATAATGAAAAGAAATGACAAAGCTACTTTCATTTTGGGGGGAACAAAACTAAGAGAGAGTGGGGCATTATATGTGACAGAGAATGGTCATGTTTTGTATTAACTTTCTTTTCCATTTAAGTCCTGTATTTGTTGTGGTAATCTTAGGACAGATTTGTCTTATAATAAGCATGGAGGAAAAAAGAACTGTCCTAAAGAAAATCTTTTATTTCTTGCCTATTTTTATTGCCATCCAATAGCTTGATGTTGGAGTAAAGACACAGTAGGTGTGAGTCATAGCTTGGCCACTCATCAGCTATGTGGTGATGTTAGGTAACCACATAACTTTTCTGAGACTGAGTTCCTTCTCTCTATAAAATTTGGATAACAGTATCTTTTCTACTTCTATTCCTAAGTAGTTGAGCAAATACAAGCTGTGTGTAATCAGGCCCTGTCAACCTTATTCACTGTTAAATCCACCTCCTACTCTCCTAATCTAGAACAGCTCCTGACACAGAATAGAAATTCCATAGATATTTGCTGATTGAATGAATGACTGGTCAACTGCAATTGCTTTGTAAACTCCAAAGTGTCAAAAATTTAGGTGCAGATTACATAGTCATAGTTTAATCATCATGTAGGTGTTGATTATGTTGTCCTAAAATGATCACTTGAATAATGTGAAACCAGTCTGGGTTATAGAATGGCGTGTGTAATATGATCACTGACATTTACTTTAGTTTGTATATATTATTATAATATTCAAAATTACACTTGAATGCTGGGGAAAAGTCCAGGGTTCTATGGGATGTTTATTAGTAAAGCCATGGTCCTACAAAAATTGAAGATTTGTATGTATTTAAAATGAAGTTTTCTACCTGGTTCTGTTACTGTATAAATGGGGGTGAAAAAAAGCCACTTTCTTCCAGAAATGACCCATCCACCAAAAAAAGTGCTATGGTAGGATATAAAATAATTTTATGGATAGCAGTAAATCTTTGTGGAATAAGTTCTTAATCTTTTTATGAAAACATAGGACATGCTTCTAGTTGCTGATTAGCTCCATGCAGAAACTACAGAGAGTGGTAAGTATTCTAGTCATCTATTCTAATTAAAATTAAAATTGAAATCTGGGTTCTAATGAAGAGAAGCTTAGTGCTGGTCCTGTGGGATCTCTTCAGAAGGTAAGACAAAAAATGCACAAAAGCAAAAAGTGATTTCATAGTCATTTTCTTCTCCCGTGTTTTATTTGAACATCAAATTCATATTTTTTATAGGAGTACATCTTTCCCTGATGGAAGGCAGTCACTGTCCTTTTGACATGAACACTCTTAAAAATGTACCATATCCCAATAGAGCAGACCCAACTATGTCATTGTGGACATGTTGGTATTATCCCTCTGACACCATGTCCTGGGGAAATGAGGTGACAGCTCAGCTGTACCTGAGAATAGATTCATTACTACCAATCTTGGGCATGCGATCTGGCTCAGACAGGGTTCCATGTCAAAGTTTACTTCTGTGTTGAAAAGAGAAAATGTTGGGTTGCTAAAGGATAATAAAGAAAGAATAGAACTGAAAACTGTCTATACGAATCTTATTGAGCAACTTTAAAAATTAACAATGAATTTCAAATTATTTTACAATATCCCTTTAGGAGTTATTTGTTAAATATGACACATGTACACACTCAGAGAATACATTTAAAGAGATAACTTATTCAAGGCATTGACAAAAATATTAAATGTATGAAATAAAGACATTTCAAAGTGATGTTGTCAAAATGGTGATTCCTTACTAAATGCATTATTGCCACAAACATAACGTAAATATAGGAACTGAAAAATTTGAAAAATCCCTTATAACATCTTAAAATACTTATATTCACACCACTTCAAAAAGACCTGATTTCAACAACACATTTGAATCAAATTCAACTATTTTTCCTAAACTACGAACTGCATTTATTGTTGACACATGATGCTATAAACATGTCATCTCGCTGTCTTGTAGAATATTCCCTGCTATATTCTCCATATTTAGTTTTTTGGGTTAATTGGGGAAGTAAAATTAATTCTTTATTTAGAATTCCCTCTAAGTCAAGAATAAAGGCATTTCATCTGCAGGAAAATAATCTGAAGGCAGAAGCGGTTCTAGAAACGTAATAAACACTGCGATAGGGTACCTTTCCTGGTTGCAAGCATTCCATAGATGAAAGTTAGGAACTGTCTGTTGGATATGATGAGTGGCAGGTTGCATACGAGAGAGAGAGAGAGAGCTCACAGCTAATCTGTTGTGAACAATATGCAGCAGCAACTCCTGAACCTCCTTCCATTACTATGCAGAGAGGGGGCAGGGGAGAAACATCTCCCCAGCAACACTTGAAGGAGGAGCAAGCTGAAAAAACAGCACACAAAATAACAAGGGCAGGCCAGGCACGGTGGCTCATGCCTGTAATCCCAGCACTTTGGGAGGCCAAGGCAGATGGATCACAAGGTCAGGAGTTCAAGACCAGCCTTGCCAAGATGGTGAAACCCCTTCTCTACTAAAAATACAAAAATTAGCCAGGTGTGGTGGCAGGTGCCTGTAATCCCAGCTACTCAGGAGGCTGAGGCAGAGAAATGCTTGAACCCAGGAGGCGGAGGTTGCAGTAAGGTGAGATCGCTCCAGTGCACTCCAGCCTGGGCAATGGAGCAAGACTCTGTCTCAAACAACAACAACAACAACAACAACAACAAAACACAAGGGCAGATCTGACACAGACTACCAGTAGAGTTTGATTAAAATGTTCCAAAAGTATAATTTTTCCTTCCCTATTTAACTATGAGACAGTCAACATTGCTTAATGTCAATGCTGTTTTTTTTTATTATTATACTTTAAGTTTTAGGGTACATGTGCACAATGAGCAGGTTTGTTACATATGTATACATGTGCCATGTTGGTGTGCTGCACCGATTAACTCGTCATTTAACATTACATATATCTCCTAATGCTATTCCTCCCCCCTCCCCCCACCCCACAACAGGCCCTGGTGTGTGATGTTCCCCTTCCTGTGTCCATGTGTTCTCATTGTTCAATTCCCACCTATGAGTGAGAACATGTGGTGTTTGGTTTTTTGTCCTTGCAATAGTTTGCTGAGAATGATGGTTTCCAGCTTCATCCATGTCCCTACAAAGGACATGAACTCATCTTTTTTATGGCTGCATAGTATTCCATGGTATATATGTGCCACTTAATCCAGTCTATCATTGATGGACATTTGGCTTGGTTCCAAGTCTTTGCTATTGTGAATAGTGCCACAGTAAACATATGTGTGCATGTGTCTTTATAGCAGCATGATTTATAATCCTTAGAGTATATACCCAGTAAGGGGATGGCTGGGTCAAATGGCATTTCTAGTTCTAGATCCCTGAGGAATCACCACACTGACTTCCACAATGGTTGAACTCATATACAGTCCCACCAACAGTGTAAAAGTGTTCCTGTTTCTCCGCATCCTCTCCAGCACCTGTTGTTTCCTGACTTTTTAATGATCGCCATTCTAACTGGTTTGAGATGGTATCTCATTGTGGTTTTGATTTGCATTTCTCTGATGGCCAGTGATGATGAGCATTTTTTCATGTGTCTTTTGGCTGCATAAATATCTTCTTTTGAGAAGTGTCTGTTCATATCCTTCACCCACTTTTTGATGGGGTTGTTTGTTTTTTTCTTGTAAATTTGTTTGAGTTCATTGTAGATTCTGGATATTAGCCCTTTGTCAGATGAGTAGATTGCAAAATTTTTCTCCCATTCTGTAGGTTACCTGTTCACTCTGATGGTAGTTTCTTTTGCTGTGCAGGAGCTCTTTAGTTTAATTAGATCCCATTTGTCAATTTTGGCTTTTGTTGCCATTGCTTTTGGTGTTTTAGACATGAAGTCCTTGCCCATGCCTATGTCCTGAATGGTATTGCCTAGGTTTTCTTCTAGGGTTTTTATGGTTTTAGGTCTTACATGTAAGTCTTTAATCTATCTTGAATTAATTTTTGTATAAGGTGTAAGGAAGGGATCCAGTTTCAGCTTTCTACATATGGCCAGCCAGTTTTCCCATCACCATTTATTAAACAGGGAATCCTTTCCCCATTTCTTGTTTTTGTCAGGTTTGTCAAAGATCAGATGGTTGTAGATATGTGGCATTATTTCTGAGTCCTCTGTTCTGTTCCATTGGTCTGTATCTCTGTTTTGGTATCAGAACCATGCTGTTTTGGTTACTGTAGCCTTGTAGTATAATTTGAAGTCAGGTAGCATGATGCCTCCAGCTTTGTTCTTTTGGCTTAGGATTGACTTGGCAACGCGGGCTCTTTTTTGGTTCCATATGAACTTTAAAGTAGTTTTTTCCAATTCTGTGAAGAAAGTCATTGGTAGCTTGATGGGGATGGCATTGAATCTATAAATTACCTTGGGCAGTATGGATATTTTCACGATATTGATTCTTCCTACCCATGAGCATGGAATGTTCTTCCATTTGTTTGTATCCTCTTTTATTTCATTGAGCAGTGGTTTGTAGTTCTCCTTGAAGAGTTCCTTCACATCCCTTGTAAGTTGGATTCCTAGGTATTTTATTCTCTTTGAAGCAATTGTGAATGGGAGTTCACTCATGATTTGGCTCTCTGTTTGTCTGTTATTGGTGTATAAGAATGCTTGTGATTTTTGTACATTGATTTTGTATCCCGAGACCTTACTGAAGTTGCCTATCAGCTTAAGGAGATTTTGGGCTGAGACGATGGGGTTTTCTAGATATACAGTCATGTCATCTGCAAACAGGGACAATTTGACTTCCTCTTTTCCTAATTGAATACCCTTTATTTCCTTCTCCTGCCTGATTGCCCTGGCCAGAACTTCCAACACTATGTTGAATAGGAGTGGTGAGAGAGGGCATCCCTGTCTTGTGCCAGTTTTCAAAGGGAATGCTTCCAGTTTTTGCCCATTCAGTATGATATTTGCTGTGGGTTTGTCATAGATAACTCTTATTGTTTTGAGATATGTCCCATCAATACCTAATTTATTGAGAGTTTTTAGCATGAAGGGTTGTTGAATTTTGTCAAAGGCCTTTTCTGCATCTATTGAGATAATCATGTGGTTTTTGTCTTTGGTTCTGTTTATATGCTGGATTACATTTATTGATTTGCGTATACTGAACCAGCCTTGCATCCCAGGGATGAAGCCCACTTGAACATGGTGGATAAGCTTTTTGATGTGCTGCTGGATTCGTTTTGCCAGTATTTTATTGAGGATTTTCGCATCAAAGTTCATCGGGGATATTGGTCTAAAATTCTCTTTTTTTGTTGTGTCTCTGCCAGGCTTTCATATCAGGATGATGCTGGCCTCATAAAATGAGTTAGGGAGGATTCCCTCTTTTTCTATTGATGGAAATAGTTTCAGAAGGAACGGTACCAGCTCCTCCTTGTACCTCTGACAGGATTTGGCTGTGAATCCATCTGGTCCTGGACTTTTTTTAGTTGGTAAGCTATTAATTATTGCCTCAATTTCAGAGCCTGTTATTCATCTATTCAGAGATTCAACTTCTTCCTGGTTTAGTCTTGGGAGGGTGTATGTGTTGAGGAATTTATCCATTTCTTCTAGATTTTCTAGTTTATTTGCATAGAGGTGTTTATAGTATTCTCTCATGGTAGTTTGTATTTCTGTGGGATGGTGGCAATATCCCCTTTATCATTTTTTATTGTGTCTATTTGATTCTTCTCTCCTTTCTTCTTTGTTAGTCTTGCTAGCGGTCTATCAATTTTGTTGATCTTTTCAAAAAACCAGCTCCTGGATTCATTGATTTTTTGAAGGGTTTTTTTGTGTCTCTATTTCCTTCAGTTCTGCTCTGATCTTAGTTATTTCTTGCCTTCTGCTAGCTTTTGAATGTGTTTGCTCTTGCTTTTCTAGTTCTTTTAATTGTGATGTTAGGGTGTCAATTTTAGATCTTTCCTGCTTTCTCTTGTGGGCATTTAGTGCTATAAATTTCCCTCTACACAATGCTTTGAATGTGTCCCAGAGATTCTGGTATGTTGTGTCTTTGTTCTCATTGTTTTCAAAGAACATCTTTATTTCTGCCTTCATTTCGTTATGTACCCAGTAGTCATTCAGGAGCAGGTTGTTCAGTTTCCATGTAGTTGAGCGGTTTTGAGTGAGTTTCTTAATCCTGAGTTCTAGTTTGACTGCACTGTGGTCTGAAAGACAGTTTGTTACAATGTCTCTTCTTTTACATTTGCTGAGGAGTGCTTTACTTCCAACTATGTGGTCAATTTTGGAATAAGTGCAGTGTGGTACTGAGAAGAATGTATATTCTGTTAATTTGGGCTGGAGAGTTCTGTAGATTTCTATTAGGTCCGCTTGGTGCAGAGCTGAGTTCAATTCCTGGATATCCTTGTTAACTTTCTGTCTCATTGATCTGTCTAATGTTGACAGTGGGGTGTTAAAGTCTCCCATTATTATTTTGTGGGAGTCTAAGTCTCTTTCTATGTCTCTAAGGACTTGCTTTATGAATCTGGGTGCTCCGTCAATGCTGTTAATGAAGTTGTCAGGCTTGTCACTTTCATTGAATACCAGCTTTACTAAGAAACTGATACTACAGTTACCTCCAGCTCTGTACGATTAAATTCATCGAAGCACGCCCAGGCTTCAGACTGTGCTAGATCTTTGAAGAATGTCCCTGTGGTTTCAGAGTCTGCCCCATCATAGCAACTTAACATGCCTGGTGAAAGATGGAAGCTTAAAACAACCATTGGAAAGATTTTATTTAGTACTTTCTCCTCCAATGAGGGCCAACTGGAAATTTAAGAATTCCGATTCTCCATAAGAGAACCAGCATCAGCCTTAGGCTTTTAGGAACTTTTTGAGGCACTCCATAATTCCTTTTCCCCAATATCTGTCTTCCCCATTCAGCTACCAGTGAAATCAAATTCTATCATGTTTTCTTTGTTCATTAATTCACTCCTTTGTTTTCTCACTTAAGAAATATTTGAGTGTCTATGTCAATATTGGGCTAAGCATTGTAGGTGGTAAAAGGATAGATCTTCAAGACTGGAAATTCTAACAGGGTTGAAAAGTGTGCATACATAGCTAACATCCAAGACAGAAAGTGGTAACACTGCAAGGACAATAAAACATTATGGGCTGGAATTAAGCTAGAAGGATAAAAGAAGGTTTGAAGCTGAGGTTGCATCTGAACTAGGCCTTTGAGAGCGGATAGTATTTGAATATCAGGGGTACTTGCTCAGCTTTCTCCCTGGAACTTTCTGATCCTTACATGGCTGAATCTGTCTTGATTTTTAGTTTGAGATCAAAATTATCCACTCAGAAATCTCTTCCCTGGACACTCAATGAAATGACAGCTCCCCAACTCACTCTCCACCCCATCACCCTGTTTTATTGTATTCATAGCACTTACTGCTCACTGAAATTCCTGTTTATTTATTTATCTAATCTTTTTACTCATTAGAATAAAAGTTCTGTAAAAGTAGATACTTTGTCCTGTAGATTAGTGCTGCATTCCCAGGACCTAGACTGTTGACTGGCCTACAGCAAATACTCAAAAAATGTAGGAGAATGAATTGAATGAAAGGAGGGAAAGGAGATTCCAGGTATAGGGAGGAATATACAAAATGGTGAGGAGGTGGGATCACATGGACATGCTTAGGATACAGTAAAACATGTGTAAGCTCATGGAGGGAAATGCATTCCAAAAGATCGATAGAGGCAAATTTTGAGGGTGTCAAATGCCCGTTTACGAAATTTGGACTTTTTTCGTTGTTAAGTATGCAGCCACATATTTCGGAATAGAAGACTCACTCAAAAGCAGCATTAGAAAAGCTTACCCTTTCAGCTGTGTCCAAGGAAAAGGGAGAAGAAGCTGCAGTTTGGAAGGTTAGGTAGAGAACTACTTCAATAGTGTAGGTGGTAGTTGGTCTGAGTGTTGTGGGTTATTGTTGAGCTGATTAATAGTTTAGGTGGGAAGAAATGAGATTCATCCCTTTGATGAAAGACCATGGTGCCATGAATAATCCTCCACACCTGTGTGAATTAGTTGTTTAGATAAAAACTATTCAAGGAATAGTATTCATTAATTAAAAAACTTGTGATGGGAATAAGGATAAAGGGAGGAAGGAAGGAAGATTCTAAGACCTTTAAGTCCAAAGAGGCCAGAGATGGTTGGAAAGGCCTTGCTTGGGCTGAAAAACATTCAGGTCCTGGGGCCTTAGGAGAGGAAGAGGTGATCTTGAAAACAGCTTCACATTGTTTTTAGATCTGGCCCTGACATTAAGCTGAGAAAATCTAATTTTGAGTTCTGGGATACTTTTCCATGTCTTGTTCATTCATTAGGACAAAGAAAATACCATTCTACACATAGTAGCACCCTTGTATCTACTATTAAACCACATCTTCTAAAACCTGGTTCTCATATTCTCGTGGTTCTTTGAGAATATTGTAATATGTCGCAGACTGTGGGTCTTGGAGCCGGACCAGCTGGGTTAAAGAATCTGGCTCCACTCAGCTGCTGTCCTTGGACAAGTTCTCTCAATGCTCTATGCTTCAGTCTCCTCCTTTGTAAAATTATGATGACAATAGTTTTACCAGCCACATGGAACTTTTCTGAGAATGAAGGAGCTAAAAAACAAAGTGCTCTAAGAAATACCTGGCAGAAAGAAAATGCTCCAGAAATCTTAGCTATTACTATTCATGTTAGTTATAATTGCTGATCCTCATGGTGTTCCTAGCATCTAGCATTATACTCAGCACATGCTCACTATTGCTCAATAATATTAATGAATAAATTATGGCTTTTATTCATGTGCTGGGGTTATAAAGAAATATCCTAGTAAGCCATGTATTTGTCTATCTCCGTGATGTCAGGAGTCTACTTTGGATAGCGGAATAGCTGAAACCATTTTCCTATGAGCTTTGTTTCCCACAGGTGACAAAAGCTCACCAGCCATGTGTATGGCATCATCATCATCATCACCACCACCATACTACTTACTCTGTATTGTACACTCATTTTGTACTAGACATTTCTGTTTGACACAAATAGTTAATAAACAGCTAATATGTTCCAGGCACTGTTGTAGAGCCTAGGGATAGAAAAGTGGAAAAAAACTAGATTATTTACCCTTAATGAGATAGAATTTTATAAATATGATTCCGTTTAATCTTCACATAAGCGAGAAGCATTATCACTCCTGATTTATTGATGCAAAGTCTGAGGTGCAGTCTGGCTAGTAACTGGTGAAAATTTGTGTAACTCTTAGGTGGTTGATGTGTGATATTACTGCAGGACTAGCTTCTAGTGTGTATTCTTTATAATAAACCACACTGTTTCCTCAACATTTTGAAGCTATAATGGACCAAGTATTTTCCTTTTCCTTGTAAATGGCTATAGCTTATATTGAGTAAAAGCTCCAATATTTAAAGTTCTGTCAAATTGACACTTCTGAAAAAGATATGATATAAACATGACCAAAGGGCTGATCTAGATAGAATTCCAATAAGACATTTCTAAATACCTCTGGAAAAATATTTTATCAATGCACAAGCATTTCGGTATTATAGAATACAAAAATCGTGTCATAGTGTCAGGTTGCTTTTGGTTATGATTGAAAGCCTGTGCAAAGATGCTTAAGCAAAAGAAAATCAACCATATTGGTTCATATAACCCAACCGTTGGAGGGCTTGGTGGATTCAGGAATGCCTGGATCGGGTGCTCAAAGAATATAAATAGGACTTTGCCTTATCTTCTCTATTTCTCTACTCTGCTTTCCTTGGTCAGAAAACTCTTCTTGTGGTTGACTTGTTATTTCATCTCATAATGTCATAGAAATGAAAGCCTCTTTTCTTACGGCTCTGGGAAAGCTCTTGAAAAAGATTCTGCTTGAACCAGCATGGGTCATGTGTCTACCAAGTCTAGAGTGGATGGAGCACTCTGATTCCAAATCATGAACGTACTTGAACCTTATGGGCCATGTTGCATTTTTATGGAAAGCTAGATTTCTAGATATCCTCAAAAGGAATGCTGGAAAAACATGAATCCAATATAGCTAGGAAAGCTCAAAACACATGACAGAGAGCAAGAAATGGGTGACAAAAAGTCCAATGAAGTTCACCAAACAAAAGTCACAGTTAATCACTGGAATCAAAGATCAATGTGGTCACTATGGTAAATTTCACTACGCTGCCATTTTGCCACATGGTTTAAATTAGTCATCCGAAACTTAAAACTAAAAAATTTATGTGGGATTCACATTTCATTGGAGTGATAAATAAGTTCTGGAAATAATCCTTCAAATGTAAACATATGCTCTATCTAGGTTAGGCCATAAAACAGTTCTACTAGAGAACCTTTTATTTTTTTCTTGCAAGTTGCTAGAAACTTGTTCCCTTGTAAATTTCAGTCTTCCCCAAAGAAAATCCTCTTCTTGTATAAATTTATGATCAAATTGAAGGAAGCATCTCAGTGATAAATTTTACGCATCCTCTATGCTTATGGATTTTTCTTTTATTTCTCTATTTTTCCGTATCCCCCTGTCTTTGCTTCAGTTTCTTCCACTCTCCTCTCCCACCTAATGTCAATGTATCTGTCAATAGCACTTGATCTGCATAAGGCCCTGCCATTATGCTGGTATATATTGTGTGGAATAGAGCTAAAGAGTTTCCTGAAAGACTTCCAATAAAAGGTCATAACAAAGTATGATTTCTCTGGAGAATTGGTACCAGTCCTGATGATAAAGTTTGCTCACACATGAAGGAGAGAAGAAAGGAAAAGGACTAATAATTTCTGAGCATCTTCTATGTACTAAACACTGTGTGAAGTAGATTTGCCTACATTCACTTATTAAAGTGTACCCTTTCCCCAGCTGTGTTAGTCTGTCAGGCTGTCTGTCAACAAACTCTAATAGACAGATGGCTTATAAACAGCAGAAATTTTTTAATTTCTTATAGTTCTGAAGACTAGGAAGACCAAGCTCAAGGTGCTGGCAGATTCAGTGTCTGGTGAGTGCCCACTTCTTGGTTCATAGGCAGCCATTTCTTTTTTCTATAACCTCATGTGGCAGAAGGAGAGAGGGATATCTCTGGGGCCTCTTTATAAGGATCTAATCCCATTCATGAAGTCTACCCCCTTATAACCTAATCATTTCTCAAAGACCCTCACCTCCTAGTGCCATTACCTTCAGGGTTATGATTTCAACATATGAATTTTGGAACTAAAACACAAACATTCAGACCATAGTACCAGCTTCTGAGATCCAGCAAAAATCACCATTTTATAGATAAGGAAACTGGCCTAGAAAGGAGTAAATAACTTTGCCAAACTGACCAGCAAGCAAGAGTAAAAACTTGAAGCAAGTCTGCCTGGTTCCAGAACCCTTGTGTTTTCCAAGTCCAGTTACTGCCTATGTGGTGTTTGTGTCCTGACACCATGTTCTCTCCATTCTTTCTCCTAAAATGTTCTTTAATTTCCACTTCAATTTCATCCACAGTAATCCACTTTAGACCATCATCATCTTCCTCCTGGACTATAGCAAAAGCCTCCTAACTAATCTGCTTGACTCTTGTCTTCCTCTCTTCTATTCTGTTCTCCACTTCGCTTAAGCAAACATTCTAAATACAGATCCACTTGCTTTAAGCCTCTCAAAAGGCTCTTCACTAAGTAGCCTTTGGGTCAAGTCCAAAGTCTTTAACATGATCTGACACTTACCTGTTTAATTCATCTTCCCAGATTCATCTTTCATTCTCCTAATTTTATGTTCCAGGCATATTAAACTTTTCCTGGGTCCTCAATTATGATATGCTCATCGTGCCCACAAGTCTTTGTGCTTGCTGTTCCCTCTGCCACCTGCCATTTTCCCTTTACTTTGCTGACTCCTATTAGCCCTTAGGACTTATTTTAAAGGTCACTGCCTCTGGGAAACCTTTCCTGATTGTCTAGGCTACGTTAGATTCTGTTTGTCATGGTGTATTGCTTTAGCATAACATGTTTCTTAGAAAGAGTATCTATTACATCACAGTGTGTATGCCCAAGGAGGTCAGACACCACGGCAGTCCTATCCAACAGAGACTACTCAATGCTTAGTGCAATGCCTGACACTCCACAGAAGGCACTCATTTTATATTTCTTAAATGTTAAATGAATTCAAGGCATGTTCCTTGCCAGTGAGTCTCCCTGAGTCTCTCTTAGTAGATGGGTATATAACTGATTAGTAGATATATAATAATTATGCAAACATTATCAAGTGTTATGCACCATGAATCAGTTACAGAATGCTAAATGAATAATGAAGAGCTATGTAAAGCATAGTTAAATAGTTCCTATAATTACTTATTCACTCTTCCAGTAAAAGAAGTTAATAAATATAATATGTCTAGATTATATGACATATGTAATGTTATGCTATGTACTGGAGATATAAAAAAATCATTTCTCCAGGTTCCAACAATCTACTTAGGGGTTTAGGATATACACACAGAATAGTTAAGCAAAATGGGAAGCATTATGGTCATTATGGCCTTAGAAGCTGGGAGAGAGGAAGATCAAGATTGGCTGGTATGTCAAGGGGGTCTGGATGAAAAAGATGGGTCCTGATGAAAAGTTACGATTGGAGAATCAGAAGGGAGTGGGAAAGAACATGATCAATAATAGAGTCAGAGATGGGAGATGAGTTAGCTGGAGTGAAGGGTTTCTGTATAAAAGTTAGAAACAGGATTAAGTTGATTTTATACACCCATGAAGCCAAACTGAGAGTTTTGTACTTTATGCTATAGAAACAAGTTAGAAATTTTCCTGATATAAATGTGACATAGAAATATTGTTATTTTAGATAGATGGAAACTTTCCTGAGTCTTTCGTAAAGATCTAGGTGTTTCCTGTTCTGTGTTCCTATTGTAATTGTATATACCTCCACTGTAGCAAATAGTGATCATTTTATAATTGTTGGATCTGTATTCTTACCACTAGACTGTAACTTCCTTGGGTAAGGAAGGATGCAATTTTGTTTCATATCCCCAGTGCATGGCCCATAGTGGGCATGCAATACATTTGTTGAATGACCAACTGAAGAAACTGGACAAAATCAGGATTACAGTTAATCATTCGAATAGGTGCTTTGCAAACAGAATGAAAAATATTTTATAATGACTTTTATTTGGACCCTTATCAAAATTTTGCAGCAAAATAAAGCAATATTATGGAATCATTATGTTATAGAAGAGAATATATTTAAAAATCTTCATGTTGTAATGTTAAATGAAATCTACCAGGCCGGCATGCTGGCTCATGTCTGCAATCCTAACACTTGGGAGGCCAAGGTGGGTGGATCTCCTTATCTCAGGAGTTTGAGAGCAGCTTGGGCAACATGGTGAAACTCCTTCTCTATAAAAAATACCAAAATTAGCTGGCTGTGGTGGCATGCACCTGTGCTCCCACTATTTGGGAGGCTGAGGTGAGAGGATGCTTGAGCCTGCAGGGTGGCGGTTGCGGTTAGTCTGGATCACACCATTGCATTCCAGCCTGAGTGATGGAGCAGGACCCTGTCTCAAAAAAAAAAAAAGGAAAAACAAGAAAAAAAAAATCTACTGAGAGGTCAGATCCAAAAAACTGAGATTTTTTAATGACTATTGGGGTTGTAGAAGATTTTGGCTTTGGTTTTACTTATCTGAAGTTTTTACGTTCTCTAAAAAATTATGAACATCTCTCAAGTAATAATAATGAATCCTGATGCTATTATAAAATTGTTAAAGGGATAATTTAGTACGTGGTCTACATTTTCTGAAATTGCCTTATCTATTAGGGCAAAATTCCAATTTTGGAATTACACATGAGAACAAAACCATCTATTTGTGAAATGTAAAGACGAGAAACATGCTGAACTATCCATCCTTTATGACCATCAAGCTCCTTTACTTTACAATATGATTTTCAATTACACTCTCAAGTGGCACTTTTATTTTATAATTTAAAATAACATGCTCAATAATATATATATACCTGAGAGTAGCTTCACTACATCATAGTCAAAGGAAATAAATCCTGCCCCTTTCCACTCTAGTGTACTTATCTTGCAAATCTCCATTAACTACATTGTATGTATATGAGAAGTGGCATTTTTTTTTTAACCACTTGGTTGGAGCTCACTCAGGTTTTCCCTGCATATTGGTTTCAGCAACACAATGTGTAAAATGGAATTTTTCCAAATCACATCCTATCTCTGCATAAGTGTGGGCTTGCCTGTTGTTCACCCTGCAATTTCTCCTTGGTTTCCAAATACCTGTCCTCTGGCCCCTGGTAGAGCAGCTCCAGGAGAATAGTATCAGTCCCATCAGCCAAGCAAACGGCTGGATTTCCTCGACAGACCTTCTGGTTGGTGGGCAACTGTGTGGACCCCAGTGACTCACATACTCATAATTACGTGCACACAGGGGCTTCACATCCTGTGTTTGTCTTTTCACCTCCTGTAGTGCGTAAGTAATAAAAAGAGGACTTTTCTCCATTTTCTAAACCTAAACAACCTGCCTGGCTTCAGCCTCTGTGAGCCCTACTGCAGGTTTCTGTTTTCCTGTTCCTGCTGATCCCTCTGGCTTTCAACCAAGGTTTAACCATAAGACTCCCATCAGAGTCCTTAAAGAAGAAAGGTTTCCTGCATGACTACACTATATTAATAAATGAAACCCAACCTTTTAAAAATTACACCGTCAGAAAAACCCATTAGGCTATAAAAGAGTTGAAGTAAACATTAGATTTTAATATCTACTGCTGCTTAGATTTTTCTGAACTGAAAAATCCCCAGTGAGCACTTAAAACTTCATTACTCCACTGAAAGGTTGTGAAAGGCTATTTAAAGGTTTTCAATTTTGTTGAAGTCTAGAGGTTATTACAACTGGAAAGGATACAAACCCTAATATTACAAGGAATGAAAGGAATGAAATTTATGTTCTCATCTTCCCTGCAGTTTAATCCAGGTCTATTAGATTCATTGGTAAAAATTAGGGCAGGTTGAAAACTTTTCTACAGGTTTGATGAAAAATAATATTTGGACACTATGAAAAGTATTGCTGTCTGCATCACACTCAAAGAAATTTTTTATCTCGCAGTTCTCTGGTCAGAAGTCATTTCAAGATCAGCCTCTGCTTGAAACCCCTTAAACAGTTTTAAAACTCAAAACAAAACTTAGTGCAATGCTGTGTCCTACCCAAAGAGCCAACATGAGAAATTGGACTTTCAACTCAAACTCACTAGTTCAAAAAACTTGGTGGTTATGTTCTGTTTCCATGATTTTTTAATCCTATATTTTTAATGGGAGAAATTTGTGTTCTTTTTAGTGTGCCAAACTTGGTATTGATATTATTTAATGAAGGAGTGTTAGATACTTTGTATAGCCCTCATTCTTATTTCAAAGACCCCCCTTGACTTTTATTTCACCCAGCATCTGCACTGTAGAGTGGCTTTGTGCTATTTAATATAATGTTATTGTCCATATGTCCTTTCATCTATTATCTACCTATCTATCTATTTATCTATCTATTTATATCTTTCTGTCTATTACCTATCTATCATCTGTCTATCTCTCTATCATCGATCTGTCTATCTTCTATCTACTATCTATCATCTAACTATCTATCTATCTATCTAATCTTTCTATTATCTATCAACTCTCTATCTTTCTATCATCGATCTATCATCTATCTATCTATCTATCATCTGTCATGTCTAGTGCTGTGCTGCATGCTAGAGTCATAAGAAGATTGTAGACTATTGTGAGGTGGATAATTTAACAAATTATAGCATAGGATGGAGCGAAGAGTGTTATTCTGGAGGTGTATTCAAGGAGCAATGAGCTCTCAGAGGAAGAGCCTAGCCTCCTTGTCTTTAAGGAAGGTTTCTTTGAGAAGGAGATATTCAAGCTGGAATTCAAAGGATGAGTCATGGAGAGAATGGGACAAAAGGAACGTCACAAAAGAAATTTTATACTTACAAATGCACAGCGGCATATAAGAGCACAGCATCTAATTCAGGATGGATTGGCGTAGAGGCTTGGCATGAGATGAATCTGAAAAAAGAGTCTAGGATGAATGGTGAAGGACTGCTGTTGAGGGATGTATTCAGTTTGGTTAGGGAGTTTTACAATTTTTTTTTTTCTATTTGTAAAAGTAATAATACATACTTACTGTAAAACATTGAAATTTTAGAAAAATATAAAGGAAAACATTTAAAAATAATCAATAATCCCATAATGTAGTGGAAATCATTGCTAATATGTCAGTGTATTTCTTTCCAGCCTTTCCTGTACACTGTCTTTTTTCTTGGTATAATTGAAATTAAATCATAGGTACAATTCTGCCTATTGCTTTTCTTAAAAAAATTGTTACTAGTACATGATTCTATTATCTCTTCTTCATAATCATGATGATGTTTGCATCATAATCTGTCAATAAATGCAACCATTTTTAGTTGATGAATTTTTATATTGTTTTCAAGTATTTGACATTGCAAACAATGCTATCATGGCCATTGTCTGCCTAAGTATTTTTCCAGTGTTTGGATTATTTCCTGGGTTGTATGTATCAGATAATGTACGTCATGTGCTCAGTAAAGTACTTGACCCACATATTACCAATTGTTATTGTTAGAAGTTGAAACATTGGGTAAAAAGTAAGAATAACTTTAAAGTTCCTGATATAGATTATTAATTTTTTTCTGAATAGTTTTAATGATTTCTACTTCTGCAAGAGATAACATGACAGTCCCTCTTTCATTGTTTTGTCACCCACAGTATATATTAGCACAAAAATAGCTTTGCTAATTACATAGTAAAACATAACATGCCATTGTTATAATTTTTATTTCTTTGAGTTAAGTGATGCCAAATATTAATTTGATGTTTATTGACCTTTTGCTTTTCCTCTTCTGTCTTCATTTTCTTTGACCATTGTAACGGATTCTGAAAACCCTGCTAGAGAACTTGTACTTTAACCAACTGGCAATGGAGAGAGTTACTGAAGTTTTAAGGTTTTTGCAGTTGCATAAAAATGATAATCTCAGTAACGTCATTCATTGCTCTTTGATTGTTAGCTCTATAGTAACACTATTCACATATGGTTTTGAGAAGTATGATCCTAATGATAGTATGATGACAAATAACAATAGTAGCTGCTATTTATTAAATGCCTCCTGTGTACCATTATCCTGGTAGTTCCAATATTATTTTAATTATTCTCACAACACCATTAGGTATTATAATCTCTGCAGCATAGCTTAAAGTTTAGGAGAGTCAAATGCTCATCCTTCCTCTCTCCTGATTCTATCTAGTAGAGAACTAACATAAGGAACACAACTAACTACAATGAAAATTCCAGACATCGTCTAAGGCTACATTTGGGATTTGCTATGTGACTTATTTAACTGCTTAACCCTAATGCATTTAAAATATAAACAATTTGCATTCTGTTCATATCTAACTGCGCTAATTGACTTCAAAAACATTATTATTGTTGAACCTGTTTCATAAAGAGAGATGATTTAATGGATGACCTCTCTGAGAAGTGTCTCTTAGTAAAGTCATTAGGTAATTAGACTATTTAGGTGTAACTAGGCTATTTAGGTCCGCAATTTCCCCCAAGAAATTTCTTCTCAGCTTTAAGAAAGATTTTTATGGCATATTCCAATGGTAAGAAAGAGAATTATTTAAACCAAGAAATGCAAAAAACAAACAAACAAAAATGGATTCACAATGTTGGCTTTGAATTATGGGTCACTCTTCAGCATCTAATTTTTTTTATTCAAAAATATAATTGGTTCTTAGTGTAGTTGAAAATTGAAACTTGCCCTCATAGAGGAGGAGATAAACCCAAACAATCCAACAAATTCCTTTGGAATTTTAAATAGCAATAAATACTTTCAAGAAAAATTACAGGAAGACCTAAACAAGAGGTGGGGAAGACAGCTCTGAGGAAGTGGTGTTTAGCTTGAGATTTGAAGGATAAATTAGAAACAGCCTGGTGCATTATAGGGAGAAGGTATTCTAGGGAAAGATCCTAAAGCAGGAAAGAGTGTGGGTGCTTTGAGGAACCAAAAAGACCAGTGTGGTGGGAACCCAGGTTTGGTTGGGGATGAAACAATGAGTTGGAGAGGAAATTGATGATGCAAGACCCTGAAGGATGTTAACATATTTGGATTTTATTCTAAGTGCGATGAGAAATCATGATTTTTTTTTTTAACAAAAGGGTGACATGATCCTATTTACACTTGAAAAGTTGTGTTTGGCTACTGTAAGCAGAAGGACCAGATGGAGAAAAAAGCAGCTGGAGAGAGGCCAGTTAGGAGATGAGGAAATAATATAGTATGTTATAATGATGTCTTGGATTAGGGTCAGAGAGATGAAAAACAAAACCTGTGTGTATTGATTCAAGATATATACTGGGGCCGGGCGCGGTGGCTCATGCCTGTAATCTCAGCACTTTGGGAGGCGGAGGTGGGCGGATCACGAGGTCAGGAGATCGACACCATCCTGGCTAACATGGTGAAACCCCCGTCTATACTAAAAATACAAAAAGTTAGCCGGGCGTGGTGGCGGGTGCCTGTATTCCCAGCTACTTGGGAGGCTGAGGCAGGAGAATGGCATGAACCTGGGAGGAGGAGCTGGCAGTGAGCCGAGATAGCGCCACTGCACTCCAGCCAGGGTGACAGAGCGAGACTCCGTCTCAAAAAAAAAAAAAAAAGATACATACTGGAAGTAAAAATCAAGATGGCTTGGTATAGGAGTTGAATTGGAAGGTGTTTGCAAAGGAGATATCTACGTCATGAACAACTGAGGTATCTGAGATACCATTTAACAGAGAATATAGATTGAAAGTGCAAGAGTTTGGGGGTAGAATGTATTTATGATGGAAACTGTCTTAGCACACAGGAATAAAAGGGGACTTCCTTATTCTGATAAAGGCTGTTTACGGGAAACCCACAGCAAACATTATTTCTAATGATAACATTTTAGAAGCATCTCTGCAGCAAAACTATTTCTCATTAACTTGTTTAGCATTATACCAGAGTCCTTAGAAGTACATAAGACTAAAAAGAAAGAAAGTGGGAGAGGGAGCGGGAGAGGAGTAAGAGGAAACAAGAAGAAAGCAAGTAATAGAAAAAAAGATCAAATTAATTTTGTTGGCGTATAAAATACTTATCTCTATTGAAAAATCTAAAAACTGTTCAAATTAGTAAGAGGGCTCAGAAAGGGGAAAGGCTATAAGATCTAACTCAATAAGTTCCTCAACACTAGCCATAAACATTAGAAAAAGACACCATTCATAATAGACCAATGGGGTATCTAAAAGTAAATGTAACAAAAATGTTCAAGATTTAAATGAAGAAAATTAGAAACATTAATAAAGACCATAAAATGGAACAAATGGAGATAATATAACAGTCTTATAGATGGGACTTTCTAATTTTATGTAGATATAAATTCTCCACAATTAATATATAAAGTCAAAGCCATTTCAATCAGAATTTTACCAGATTTTTTCCCCTAGCACAGAAATAAATTGGTTCTAAAATACATCTGAAAATAACAGAAAAATTAAAAAGGGTAGATTGGTGTTACTAGACAATGTGGAATTGATGCAGTAATAGACAAATATACCAATGGAACTAAATAGAGAACACAGAAACTGATATATTCTTGCTACAGAAGAGTGGTGGTACTACAAATCAATTGAGAAAAGATGGACTAGTCTTTTAAAATGTTGGAACAATTGCCTTTCCAAAAAAATAACTAACTAACTAACTAACTAAATAAATAAATAAATTGTATCTGTTCCTCACAGACACAGCAATTGTTTCTATAAGTATCAAAGTTTTAAATGTGAAAAGCAAACTTTAAAATTTATTTTAAAAAAATAAGAGACATTCATTAAGTTATGTGGATGACATAATATGTATTTTTTAAAGAAAGAAAAACATAAAGCAAGAGAAAAATCTTGATAACTACATCAAAAAGAAAGGCTTTCACATAACAAAATAACTACAAATAATCTCAATAGACAATCCAAGCAGATGGAGACTGGGTAAAAAGATTTGCAACACATATTGCCAGAAGTCAGCAAGCCATGGGCCATGAGCCAAGTCTACTTTTATAAATAAAGTTTTATGTGAACAGAGCCACACCCTGATGCTTCTGCACTACAACAGCAAAGTTCAGTAACTGTGAGACCCTATTGCCTGCAAAGCCTAAATTATTCACTGTCTGACTGTTCTTTAATCTCTTTATGTCCTTGTTCATTATTATTATTTAATATTAATTTACAAAGGTTTATTGAGTATCTACCATATGTACCTGATTAGGTGTAAAGTTCAGAAAGTAGTTCATAGTTCTACAACTGGACATTTTTCTTTATCTGCCCTTACATTACTTAAATATTGAGCAAGTGCAATTGTGTGCCACTTTAATATATATTAACTCACACAATCATTCTACATATTATAAGCTTAAAGTGTTATTCAAACTGTGCATAAATAGCAGAGCTGTGAATTGAGCCAAAGTCCCCAAGTTCAGTGCTCTGTCATTATATCACAACCACCTTTTCTGTGAGGGAAATTCTTAAGGAACTTATAAGCCAGGACAGAAAACAAATGTGTAAAAACTCAACATGTCATGTGATGAATACTACCAAGGAGGTATCAAATGTCCTGGAAGTATAGCAGGAGAAGAAAAGAATTCTGCCTTTGAGAGGTCTCAAATGGAAGGTAATATTCGAATTGGGCTCTTGAGGATGAGTAGAAGTGTTCCAGATGGGATAAAAGCAAGCCTCATTCCACAGAGAAGGAACATAATCCATAAAGTTATAGAAGCAAAAACTACATGGCTTATCCAAGGAAGAATGAAAGCTTGCTGTAGTTTCACCATTAGGTATATGTGTAGATGAAAGACGTGATGTTTGTCAGGAAATGAGAAAGAAATCAATTATAAAGGCTTTTTAAAAAACCTGTGATAATACTTTCCAAAAATAAAGGGGACCCATGGTTTAACAAAAGATTTACAAAAACATTTTTTTTATTTTTTGCTGCTGCTGCAGGAATGAGAGTCCACTTGGTAGATGTTGACATTTCTGGGAGATTATAAAAAGTTACAGGATAGAAAATAAGAAACGTATGTTTAAATTGGGATTACTGAGAAAATATGACTTCTATGATAGCTTCATGTATCATAAAGATACATAGCAAGATACAGGGTCTGGACTTGATTCTGTTGGTCACTGGGAGACATTGGAGGTTTGTAAGTGGCAAAGTGGCCTGATCTGATGTGATCTAGGAAGGTGACTGGAGGCACAGAGGAAATGGATATCAGAGGAGGAGCCTGTTGTTTGGAGGTTACTTTAGGCACAGAGGCAAGAGATGATCAGATCTGAATCAAGACACTGGGAAAACTTTCATTTACATTTTTGTGAGAGAATGTGTATTCTTCTCACATGTGATCATGATGTCTTTGAAAATCTAACCATTTCTGTATGACTAGGACAGATGATTTACAAAGAATTTAAATACATGGTCTTTTTCCAAAAAGCTGGGTAGCTTTTGCATCACTCTTGTTAGTCAATGTTTATAGTATTTACTAGTTGTGCCTAATACATATTTTAAAAATTGATGTACTAGTCTGTTTTCACACTGCTATAAAGAACTACCTGAGACTGGATAATTTATGAAGAAAAAAGTTTTAATTGACCCCCAGCTCCTCATGGCTGAGGAGGCCTTAGGAAACTTACAATCATGGCAGAAGGTGAGGGGGAAGTAAGGCATGTCTCACATGATGGCAGGAGAGAGAGAGAGAGACAGCGAGGGGAACGGCCAAACACTTTTAAAGCATCAGATCTCGTGAGAACTCCCTCACTATCACGAGAACAGCATGGCAGACACCACTCCCATGATTCAGTCATTTCCCACCAGGTACCTCCCTCAACACATGGGGATTACAATTTGAGATGAGATTTGGGTGGGAACACAGAGCCAAACCATATCAATTGACTAACAAATATAAACCAAGTACAAACTGCCTATACCTGTGGATATTGGAGTCATAATTATTTAACTGAAATAAGAAGCGGAAGAGGTAATCATGCTGTAAACCCCATCTGCAAAAGCAAATTCAAAGTTCTCATAAGCAGTAGCTTCCCTATGACTGCCACATATTCTTTAGTTATTGACAAGGCAGATTTCAAGTGGGGATGAGCAACCACAAGTCTTGAGTGGTAGGAGGGAGGTATCCTGAAAGCAGAGCAACATCTCTGGCAGGCCATGCTCAGTGTATCCTTCATTCCTTTGCTTTAAGCATTGCATTTTCTCTATGGTCCTTTTAGAATCTGGTGGGGGAAATCACTGGTTTGAGTCCCAAGCCCATAAAGTCAATGAATTAATAAGATTTATTTTCTTTGTTGCTTTAGAGACAATGATTATTGTGATTATATTAACATTTGGTAGTGAAAGGGTGAATTGGTACAGAGAGGAAAGGGGATATTGAAATAAGAGAACTATTATGGAGTAAGGAAGATGTAGGGATTTTGAGAAAAAGCTGCCAGCTTATTGTAGTTTTGACTAGGTCTAGTCCTGGTAACTAAGTGAATCACTATTTTGTGCATGTTATAGCTCAGATAATCTCAGATTAAGAAATAATATTAGGCTGGGTGTGGTTGCTCACTCCTGTAATCCCAGCACTTTGGGAGGCTGAGGCAGGCAGATCATGAAGTCAAGAGATCAAGACCATCCTGGCCAACATGGTGAAACCCCATCTCTACTAAAAATACAAAAATTAGCTGGGCATGATGGTGCGTGCGTGTAGTCCCAGCTACTCAGGAGGCTGAGGCAGGAGAATCACTTGAACCCAGGGAGCGGAGTTTGCAGTGAGCCGAGATCATGCCACTGCACTCCAGCCTGACAACAGAGCGAGACTCTGTCTCAAAAAAAATAAAATAAAATAAAATAAATGACATTAAATATCATGTTGCCCCACTGTCATCTATTGAATGAGTATTCCTTATAATACTCATTAACAAGTGATCATGTACCTTTTCCTTGAACCCTTCAAAGGACATGCATCTCTTGACTTCCCAAGGCAACCCCTTTATCATTCAGGCAAATATTGAAATGTTGTTAACTTATTCCTTACATGGAACCCAAATCTGTGTTCTTGAAACATTGTTTTTACTTCCATATCCACACTTTTCTCATTTATTCATTTTCATATTTTCTTCTTTTCTCCCTCCCTTTTTCCCTCTATCCTCTTTTTCCTCTTTCCTTCATTCATATAATAACCAAGCATCAAGCACAAAATAAGTCTAATCTTTCTATACATGCAATTCAAATATTGGAGACCTCCAAGTTCTCTCAAGAGTCAAACTCCCTGTTTTTGTTTGTTGGATTTTTTTTTTTGCTTGATTTTTGTTTTCAGTCACAAATCCCTTTTCATTTCATATTATAAATGCAATATGATTGTTATGTCCACATTTCACACCAGGGGTGGCAGAGTCTAAAAGTATTCAGTGAGGAAATATTCATTTCAACCCAAACAAGATATGATGTAGGTTTTTGTGAGTTTCCTTTGCCTCCGAGTATTTAATTTTGCTCCACAGGTGATATGAAACTCCTTGTTTTGACAACTTCTTACAGAAAATGACTACATCTCAGTTCCCAGCTACTGGAATTCCAATTATAAACTGTTCTTTTAATAACACTACACTTTTGCCTTTGAATACTATTATCTGGTTCTCAGGGATATTACTATAATAAAACAAGTAACTGCGTTGTTGTGGTATGGATTTTCTATTATCAGAATGATAACCTTAAAGGCACTGATTAAATTACGGTTTTATGAGTAGGCTGTTCCCTGCTGTACTGATTATCACATGAAGGGCCCTCCCAAACTTTCTCTCCAGATGCCTATACAAATCAAATGCTTGGGGTGCTTCTACTGTATGAAATTCTTGACTCTGAGGCATGGGTCGGCTTTGTCTAGCATGTGTAGAAATCCTACTACCAGCAAATGTGTTCTTTAAAATTAGATGCCAATTATATATAAAATTAAGTTCCAATTATCTCAATTTCTGGGCTACTAGTCTTCTCAGTTGACTTTTGCTATATATAACTGTTCTTAAATGTATGACTCATTTGCTTAGATTGTGCATTTTCTCACAGCCCGTGTTTTTTCCCTCTAACATCAGAAAGCTTGCCTCTCACTGATAGTTTACTAAAGAACATTCTCTTCCTTGCTTCAAAACTCACTTTATCTTATAACTTTTCTATACTGAATTTGGCCCTATTCAGAAACTGGTAAGTTAAGACTGCTGACAGAGACAAAATACTACTAATAATAATAAAGTAATGGTAATTCAAATACCTTATACATATGTAATAATGTTATGCATGCTATATCATTTGCCAGGGATTGCCTAGGGACAAGTGAGTCCGTCACAGCCAGTGAGTCACAAAGTGAAGTCAGCTAGGAGCTGTCTGAGTGAGCTTATGCTCTTAGTGAAAGGCTGGAGCAATATGGAAAGCCTTTCTTCCCCTCCCTCTTTTTCCCTACTGTGGGGCTACAGTGTAAGTATGTGAAGTTTGGAGCTGCAGTAGCCAACCCTCAACCGTAATGAAGGCCATTGATAACACAGCTGTGGCTGGCAGGAGAGAACCACAGAAAGATCCTAGTTCCTAGTGCCATCACTGAGATGCTGTATCTGCTAACTTTGCTTAGTAACAAACCACCCCAAAACTTAGTTGCTTAAAACAACAACCTTATTTAGCTCATGATTGTATAGCTAGCAATTTGGGCTGAGCTCAGGTGGGTGGGTCTCCCAGACTCAGCTGGTCTAAATCATGCATCTATGATCAGCTGTCAGGTCAACTAACAGCTGGTGGGTCTGCAGGGGTGGGTAGCACACATAGCTGGGATGCCCATTTCTACTCCACATGGTCTCTAATCCTCCAGTAAGTTAGCCCAGGCTTAATCACAAGGTGATTAGGTAGGATTCAAGAATGAAAGTAGAAGTGAACAAAGTCTCTTGAAACTTAAGCTCAAAACTTGTACAACATTGCTTCTGCTGCATTCTATTAGCTCAAGCAAGATGCAAGGCAGTCTAGACGCAAGGCATGGAAAATAGGTTCTGGCCTCTTGATAGAAGGCATTACAAAGAAATTGTGGCTATTTTTTCTACTGTCACAAATACCAAAAATTTCTGAGACCACTTACCTTCAGACCTCTTGCTATATAATCAATAAATATCTTTATGGATTAAACCAGCACGAGGCACATTTACTGTAACTTTCTGTGAACACATTCTAACTGATCCCATCTTCCCTCTAGCATTCCAGCAGCTGACCCACAAGCTGAGGAAGTAGCCTTCACTACAGAAATAATTAGAAGTTAAACTCTTTAATTTTCAGAGCAAAACACCCTATGTGCTACTTGGAGAGCTGGTATGCTGAGAAAATGATTCTCCTTTAAATGAACCCCATAGAAAAATCTGCATTTCTGGTGTTTGTGAGTAGTTTCCACTTTTAATTGTCACGCAACTCCTGTCAAAGAGGAGCTGAGAAAATGGTCATCCCACAGGTATCACCTGTTAAATCTTTTTCCTCTAGATTCTCTAAGCCTCACTTTCTTCTGCCTTGCTTTCCAAGCAGCTGGTTTTCTGTTGGGCTTCCCCATTAGACAGCAGGGTGCAGGATGGCCAGACCTGTGTTGTATCCATTCTTTCTGCCTTGGTCCTCTTCCAGGTGTATGCGTTTCGCATCTCCAGCACTTACCATTTTGCCTTGCATGGAGCAGTACTCAGAATTTTGTTTAACTGAATAAGAAGATAAATGCTGATACAAGACAGCATTAAATACTCCACCAACTAAAGAGTCATATTTGGCCTAAGAAGTATCTGCTCTTAAAATTCAGGTATTCCAAGGAAAGGTAAAGGGACTCTAAGTCATTTATATCTCATTATGAGTTTGTATTAACCATGTTTCTACCTTCTATCAAGTTGATGCTTTAACATCTGCCCTGCAAGCATGTGCTAGACATGCCTCTTTCTGAACTACCTAATAATAGGACTGAGTCGCTTTGCCTTGGCCTCCTGCCTCCCTCCTTCCCTTCCCTCCACTTAGGAGGAGTTCTCTTCCTGCGGTGTCTTTTCAAGTACACACCAACCAATCCAGACTCCGCATCCTAAACCAGCTTCCTACTGGGTTTTCACATTCTGGGTCATTATATACCTGCCGCTAGACCAGGCACAGCCCCTGTGCCCCAGATCCTGCTGAAATTTTTCAAACTACCCATTTCTAAATCTGCACATCTCCCTTGTCTTTTCCTTCCCATGAAAACCACCGTGAAAGCTCTTGCCCACAGTTCCCCTCTCTTCCTCTATTTCCTAACTCACCCAGTGCTTTCCCATGGGGCTTCCCTGGAGCATGACTTGTACTCCTCTTGGGATCTGCAAATATAATAAAATATCTTCTCAATGACAGTCAGCTTCTGATCTGCAGGTCTGACAATACCTATATACTAATACAACCCATATGTGAAGAGTTGATCGCCAGAGCCTGAAGTGAAAAAAGAAAGGTTTTCTTTTTTCTTAGGGAAACTGGAAACAGAAAGGTTTAAGGAAAATAGAATTTATGGATTACTGGAAAAAGTAGAACAACCAATATTTGTCAGCAAAATGAGCTGGATGGAGAATTCTAGTCACTTGGAGTGAGAGTGGAAATACAAGGAGAATATAGCAAAAAGTGGGGAGGAAATACAGAGCCATTCTGGCCACTTTACTACTGTGTCTTAAAATCCTTGTTGAATATATGAATGGGGTTGGGAGGAAGTTTTCTTCATTTCTCCTTTCTGACTTTTAAATAAAACGCCTGCAGGTAACTCTCATGTGCAGTCAAGGTTGAGAACCACTGCACTAGTCAATTCCTATTCAAAGGTCCTTAAAGCAACAGGATTGGACAACACCTAGGAGACTGGTGTCCTGGAGCCAGCTTGAACTGATCTGAAAAAGCTGATTGTGCACATCTTTGTCCAAATCCATGTTTATTGGCATTGTATTGATCACTTGAAATAGGCTGAGGAGAGAGTATTTATAACATTGGAACTGGTTTTCTTTTTTTTTTTTTTTTTTTTTTTTGAGACAGAGTCTTGCTCTGTCGCCCAGGCTGGAGTGCAGCGGCAGGATCTCGGCTCACTGCAAGCTCCGCCTCCCGGGTTCACGCCGTTCTCCTGCCTCAGCTTCCCGAGTAGCTAGGACTACAGGCACCCGCCACTACGCCCAGCTAATTTTTTTGTATTTTTAGTAGAGACGGGGTTTTACCGTATTAGCCAGGATGGTCTCGATCTCCTGACCTCTTGATCCGCCCTTCTTGGCCTCCCAAAGTGCTGGGATTACAGGCTTGAGCCACCACGCCCGGCCACATCGGAACTGTTAAATGCTCTTCTGACCCCTGGTCCAAAGCTCTTGTTAAATAATTGCCAACATACCTCTAATTAGGGGCTTCTTAGAAATGCAGCGTCTCAGGCTCCACCAAAATCTACTGGGTGTATTTTAACAAGGTCAAAATCAAATTTTTTTTAAATTATACTTTAAGTTCTGGAATGCATGTGCAGAATGTGCAGGTTTGTTACATAGGTATACACGTGCCATGGTGGTTTGCTGCACTCATCAACCCTTCATCTACATTAGGTATTTCTCGTAATGCTATCTATCCTTCCCCTAGCCCCCTACCCCCTGACAGGCCCCAGTGTGTGATGTTCTTCTCCCTGTGTCCATGTGTTCTCATTGTTCAACTCCCACTTATGGGTGAGAACATTCAGTGTTTGGTTTTCTGTTCCTCTGTTAGTTTGCTGAGAATGATGGTTTCTAGCTTCATTCATGTCCCTGCAAAGGACATGCACTCATTCTTTTTTATGGCTGCATCGTATTCTATGGTGTATATGTGCCACAATTTCTTTATCCAGTCTGTCATTGATGTACATTTGGGTTGGTTCCAAGTCTTTGCTATTGTGAATAGTGCTGCAATAAACATATGTGTGCATGTGTCTTTATAGTAGAATGATTTATAATCCTTTGGGTATATACGCAGTAATGGGATTGTTGGGTCAAATGGTATTTCTAGTACTAGATCCTTGAGGAATCACAACACTGTCTTTCACAATGATTGAACTAATTTACACTATCACCAACAGTGTAAAAGTGCTATTTCTCCACATCCTCTCCAGCACGTGTTGTTTCCTGACTTTTTAATGACTGGCATTCTTACTGGCGGGAGATGGTATCTCATTGTGGTTTTGATCTGCATTTCTTAATGACCAGTGATAATGAGCTTTTTTTCTTATGTTTGTTGTCCGCATAAATGTCTTCTTTTGAGAATTGTCTGTTCATATCCTTTGCCCACTTTTTGATGGGGTTGTTTGATTTTTTTCTTGTAAATTTGTTTAAGTTCTTTTTAAATTATGGATATTAGCTCTTTGTCAGGTGGATAGATTGCAGCAATTTTCTCCCCTTCTGTAGGTTGCCTGTTCACTCTGATGATTGTTTCTTTTGCTGTGCAGAAGCTCTTTAGTTTAATTAGATCCCATTTGTCAACTTTGGCTTTTGTTGCCATTGCTTTTGGTGTTTTAGTCATGAAGTCTTTGCCCATGCCTATGTCCTGAATGGTATTGCCTAGGTTTTCTTCTAGGGGTTTTCTGGTTTTAGGTTTTACATTTAAGTCTTTAATCCATCTTGAGTTAATTTTTGTATAGGGTGTAAGGAAGGGCTCCAGTTTCAGTTTCCAGCATATGGCTAGCCAGTTTTCCAAACAGCGTTTATTAAATAGGAAATCCTTTCCCCATTGCTTGTTTTTCTCTGGTTTGTCAAAGATCAGATGGTTGTAGGATGTGTGGCATTATTTATGAGGATTCTGTTCTGTTCCATTGGTCTATGTATCTGTTTTGGTACCAGTACCATGCTCTTTTTGTTACTGTAGCCTTGTAGTATAGATTGAAGTGAGGTAGCTTGATGCCTCCAGCTTTATTCTTTTTGCTTAGGATTATCTTGGCTATACGGGCTCTTTTTTGGTTCTATATAAAATTTAAAGTAGTTTTTTTCTGATTCTGTGAAGAAAGCCAATGGTAGCTTGATGGGGATAGCATTGAATCTATAAATTACTTTGGTCAGTATGGCCATTTTCACGATATTGATTCTTCCTATCCATGAGCGTGGAATGTTTTTCCATTTGTTTGTGTCCTCTCTGATTTCCTTGTGCAGTGATTTGTAGTTCTCCTTGAAGAGGTCCTTCACATCCCTTGCAAATTGTATTCTTAGGTATTTTATTCTCTTTGTAGCAACTATGAATGGTAGTTCACTCACGATTTGGCTCTGTATTTGTCTATTATTGGTGTATAGGAATGTTTGTGATTTTTGCACATTGATTTTGTATTCTGAGACTTTGCTTAAGTTGCTTATCAACTTTAGGAGATTTTTGGCTGAGATGATAGAGTTTTCTAAATATACAATCATGTCATCTGCAAACAGAGACAATTTGACTACCTCTTTTCCTATTTGAATACCCTTTGTTTCTTTCTCTTGTCTGATTGCCCTGGCCAGAACTTCCAATACTAAGTTGAATAGGAGTGGTGAGAGAGGTCATTTTGTCTTTTGCCAGTTGTCAAAGGGAATGCTTCCAGCTTTTGCCCATTCAGTATGATATTGGCTGTGGGTTTGTCATAAATATCTCTTACTATTTTGAGATATGTTCCATCAATATCTAGTTTATTGAGAGTTTTTAGCATGAAGGGCTGTTGAATTTTATCAAAGGCCTTTTCTGCATCTATTGAGATAATCATGTGGTTTTGTCATGGGTTTTGTTTATGTGATGGCTTTATGTTTTGTTTATGTATGTTGAATCAGCCTTGCATCCCAGGGATGAAGTCAACTTGATCGTAGTGGACAGGCTTTTTGATGTGCTGCTGGATTCGGTTTACCAGTATTTTATTTAGGATTTTCACATCAATGTTCATCAGGGATATTGGCCTGAAATTTTCTTTTTTTGTTGTTTCTCTGCCAGGATTTGGTATCAGGATGATCCTGGCCTCATGAAATGAGTTAGGGAGGAGTCCCTCTTTTTCTATTGTTTGAAATAGTTTCAGAAGGAATAGTACCAGCTCTTCTTTATACCTCCTGTAGAATTCAGCTGTGACTCCCTCTGGTCCTGAGCTTTTTTTAGTTGGTAGGCTATTATTTATTGCCTCAATTTCAGAACTTGTTATTGGTCTATTAAGGGATTCAATGTCTTCCTTATTTAGTCTTGGGAGTGTGTATGTGTCCAGGAATTTATCCATTTCTTCTAGATTTTCTAGTTTATTTGCGTAGAGGTGTTTGTAGTATTCTCTGAAGGTAGTTTGCATTTCTGTGGGATCAGTGGTGATATCCCATTTATCATTTTTTGTTGTGTCTATTTGATTCTTCTGTTTTTCCTTTTCACTGGTCTGGCTAGCGTTCTATGTATTTTATTAATCTTTTCAAAAAACCAGCTCCTGGATTCACTGATTTTTTTTTTGAAAGGTTTTTCGTGTCTCTATCTCCTTCAGTTCTGCTCTGATCTTAGTTATTTCTTGTCTTCTGCTAGCTTTTGAATTTGTTTGCTCTTGCTTCTCTAGTTCTTTTCATTGTGATGTTAGGGTGTCGATTTTACATCTTTCCCACTTTCTCCTGTGGGCATTTAGTACTATAAATTTCCCTCTTAAGATTGCTTTAGCTGTCCCAGAGATTCTGGTACCTTGTGTCTTTGTTCTCATTGGTATTAAAGAACTTGCGTATTTCTGCCTTAATTTCGTTATTTACCCAGTAGTCATTCAGGAGCCGTTTGTTCAGTTTCCTTGCAGTTGTGTGGTTTTGAGTGAGTTTCTTAATCCTGAGTTCTAATTTGATTGCAGTGTGGTCTGAGAGACTGTTTGTTATGATCTCTGCTCTTTTGCATTCGCTGAGGAGTGTTTTACTTCCAATTATGTGGTCAATTTTAGAATAAGTGCGATGAGGTGCTGAGAAGAATGTATATTCTGTTAATTTGGGGTGGATAGTTCTGTAGATGTCTGTTAGGTCCGCTTGGTCCAGAACTGAGTTCAAGTCCTGAATATCCTTGTTAATTTTCTGTCTCATTGATCTGTCTAATATTGACAGTGGGTTGTTAAAGTCTCTCACTATTATTGTGTGGGAGTCTAAGTCTCCTTGTATGTCTCTAAGAACTTGCTTTTTGAATCTGGGTGCTCCTGTATTGGGTGCATATATATTTAGGATAGTTAGCTCTTCTTGTTGAATTGATCCCTTTACCATTATATAATGGCCTTCTTTGTCTCCTTTGATCTTTGTTGGTTTAAAGTCTGTTTTATCAGAGACTAGAATTGTAACCCCTGCTTTTTCTTGCTTTCCATTTGCTTGGTGAATCTTCCTCCGTCCCTTTATTTTGAGCCTGTGTGTGTCTTTGCACCTGAGATGGGTCTTCTGAATATACCACACCGATGGGTCTTGACTCTTTATTCAATTTGCCAGTCTGTGTCTTTTATTTGGAGCATTTAAACCATTTACATTTAAGGTTAATATTGTTTTGTGTGAATTGGATCCTGTCATTTTGATGCTAGCTAGTTATTTTGCCCATTAGTTGATGCAGTTTCTTCATCTTCATCAAAATTTGATGAGAACCTCAGGTGACCAATATGTATATTAAAGTTAGATACACATTGATAAAGTCCAAACTCTTGACATAGCATTCAAGACCCCTTAAAATTCAGCTTCATATCCTCCCACAATCCCTCCCTAGTTACATTGACACCCCTCACTAAATGCCTTTGAATACTTCTGTGTTCTCAAGCTTCCCTGTGTTTTTTCCTTAGCTTGAGAAGCTATTTCTTTATTTCTTTGTTTTCACTGCTAAAATCAAATATCATCTCTTCCAGCTGTGCAGGCAGAAATAATTATTCTGTGTTTTTGCTTCCTAACTGGTCACCTAGAGCTTTTTTAGGGTAATTCTTTTATTACTAAATTATTTTAGCACCAAGGTCATATTCCACTTACAAATCAATCTCCATGATTTGCAATATCCCCCAAAGGCAGGAACCATGAATTCATCTGTGAATCTCCACAAAGCAGCACATAGTAGGCACTCAGCAAATATTTGTTAAATCTATAAATTGTTTCATTGAGAAGATTTAATCCAAAAGTGCTAAAAGTCTGGTCAGTTCTGATAATATATGCATTTGGGACAAATGTGAAAGAAAACCTCGGAACAAGCATAAATGACAAAAAAAAGTGCTTTTCTGGCTACAGTTTGTGCCTAAGTACTTAGGAATAAGTGAAAATTAAAGGCTATTGCTGCTTGTTTTGTTGAATAATGCATCTTCAAACTGGAAAACTGCATGTCTGTTTTATTTACCAACACAAATGCCCATTTGCTCACACACATAGCTGTTTGCAAGCAAATTTTGTTCCCATGCAAAACAAATGTAAATTTGGCATTAAACAAGTGCCAATTATTTTCTGAATGTAGAAGGGAAGGGAAGGGTGATTTAACAAACAGAGGCTCTGGACGAGGAAGCAGGGAAGGCGGCCTAGCTCAGCTGCACGGGGCTTTTTCATCACAAGGAGTGAATGTTTAATCTGCTTAATTGGGTGGGTATTCACTGCCGATGAGCAGGGACCCAGTGTTCCATGTCATTTTCTTTCCCTACGAGATGGCTGCTGTGACCTTCGGCAGTCTCCTCGGCTCGCTGCTGGAAAATAGCAAGCTAATTTGGGCTTGTTCTCATGTTTCTTTCATGCGGTAGAGAGAATTCGTTTGATAAGCCCTATGTCAGTTTTTATTGTGAGGCCTGATTACTGTGATTAATTTTAATATTACTAGTTACCATTTATTTAGGGCCCACTATGTGCCAGGCATTATACTGTGAAACTTGGACTCTCTGTTGCGGTTGAAATTTTAACCCTCACAACAACCCTGTAAATGAGGCAATATTGGCCCTATTCTGCAGATCACGAAACTGAGGCTCAGCTTCAAGTCACATTTTGATGAGTGGTGGAGGTGAAATTGCAAATACGGCCTGTTTGCTCCGTAGCCCCCTCCCCCTATTCTTTCCACAATGGGACAGCCCTTCATTTTAATACAAACTACTTAATTAGTCCTTTTCACAGCTTGACAATGTCAGCAACTGTTCTGGAGAAGAATTTGATTACTTTCTTATGGCTGCCTTAGAGGAAGGAGGCGAAGTCTGTTTTGTTGGCAACTCTAACTCCCCCTTTTCTAATCCTCCTCCTGGTGCCACACACTATCTGTCCCCAGAAGTTTGGTGTCTCCTGGGCTCCCACTGTGCTGTCCAATACCAAGCAGCCTGCAGCCCCTCTGCTCTGGGCATGTTCTGGCCCCCTCCTTCAGTCACTGAATGCTTACCTGTCTCATACTCTGAGCATTCCAGGAGTTAAAGCAAACTAAATATGGCCTGAGAAGGACTCAGTAGTTCTATATTTGAATCCTTGTGGATGAGCTGCAACCTAGCTTAACAGGTAGACAAGATTGAAAACCCAACTTTGGAGTATGCACCTATAACAATAGCTGAGTCTTGGCCAATCCCAGCGGCTGTACTTCAATCATTCATACACTCCTGAGAGTTCAAACTGTGTTCAAATAAGGCAAATGCCTAGCTGTAACCAACCTAGCCATTCTGTACCTCACTTCCAATTTCTGTACATCGTTTCACTTTTTGTTGCCTATAAATCTTCTTCCACCACGTGGCTGCATTGGAGTCTCTGTGAATCTGCTGTGAGTCTGGGGGCTGCCCAATTTGTGAATAGTTCATTGCTCAATTAAACTCCTTTAAATTTAATTTGGCTGAAGTTTTTCTTTTAACACAGGCAACAATAGCAAACACACAGAACTATTTCCTGCTCTTGCCCTAATGGGTTTCAAATGACTTGCTTTAGTTCTATTAAGAGTTATACATTCAACAAAAATGTAATGAGTGCTAACTGGGTATCCAGTGCTGCTACAGGTGCTAGATATCGAACAGTCCACAAAACTGTCAGTTCCTGCCCTCAAGAAGCCTACCTGCCCACCTGTTAATCTACCTGGCACTGTTCTGGGGTGTGAAGGTATGGAGACAACCAAGGCTTAGCATCTGCACATGGAGTTTACAAACAACTGGAAGCTCATAATTTCACCCCCATAAGTAAGAAATAGTAATAGTGTTTATTGGGTATTTATTATGTAAAATGCCTTATACATAGCAGGCATTTTCCTAAGCCCTTTTTAGGTATTATCTTACTTAAGTTTTGTAACCTACCCCATGGCATAGCCACCAACATTAGCCCAGTTTTGTAAAGGAGGAAACCTGCGACAGAGAGGAATCAACTGACTTGTCTATGGCTACACAGCTAGTGAATGGTGGAGCTAAAATGTGAAAGCAGGAAATCTGAGTCCAGAGGTGAAGTTCCTCATTCTACCAGGAATCTCTGTCAAAGAAAATATCTTAATGTGGGAAACCTTTCATGAGTAAAGATGTTCTCTGTAGATGTATTTATGGCAGCAGGAAGTTGGAAGTCACCAAAATGTCTGACCTTAGGAGGACACTAAGAAAATGTGAGTGCACTAAAATCTTGAGGAAGATCAATAACCATTAGAAACCCCGATAGCAATGACCCCATTTCTCCAGCACCAGCGTCTGCACGTACCTGGCAAAATCTTTTCAAGACAGAGTAGCAATGGGGGTCCAGTTTTTATAATATCTTTCTGCTCTTACTTTTGTTCCTTCAGTTGTCTCAGCTATTTTCCCATTCTTATTTTTTTCTCAGTAAACATTCTCAGTGGCATATAAATTGTACATAATTTGCGATGCTCAAGACACAAAGCTGAACATATCAATCACATTATACATTTTGGAATCACAAAGAAAGGGCTCGGGTGCCAGAACAAGATGGTGTCTTTCCTCCGTTTAATTGCATGGATTTCCATGGTAATGGAAAGGGAAGAAGCAGGGAAGAAACTATGGAAGACTCTATTATTGGTGCTTACACAGCCTTGGTGAATGTTTCTTTGAATCAGGCTTGAAATGGACATTGCCTTGATACCAAGGGCGAAGATTATTCCAGTTGAACAATCTCTTTTATATTATCCCCTGGATAACTAAGAGCAAGAAAAAGTAAGCAATAAAAAGTGAGCGATGTCACTTTTTTTTTGGCCAGTAACACTGTAAACTGGAACATGGTGGGTCATTTACAATTTTATTATAGTGGCAATGTAGTTAAATGCTAAATTTTTAATGATGTAAATTAAAGTGAGAAAAAAAGAAAAAACTGTATGTATAGTAGGATAAGCTTAAGCCTATATTTGTTCTTAACTTCCGACAAGTATTGGATTTTATGATATACCCTTTGCATATCATTCTAAGTGATAATCTGATCCAAGTTTTCTAACCGGCTTTTTTTTTTTTTCTGCCTGTTTTTCTAACCTTGTTAGAAAGGCTCTTTTTGTGTCTGAAAATGACCTTAAGTCTATTTTTAAAAAATAGAGTATAAATAAATTAAAATATTATTTTTATATATCTTACTTCCTCCCTTATATTCTTTTATCTGTTCTGGGCTCAGTCATTTCCCTATTCTCAGTATAAGTTCTGCCTTCTCGGGCCTGAAGATTATTTTTCTTGACAGAAAGTAAACAATTAGGGGCTGAGAGAAAGAAAATGCTTAAATGACTTGCCTTTGGTGTCAAGCTCCAGCTGAAATGTAAGTTGGGGAAAGAGCAGTGTGGGAGAGCTGATGGCCTGAAACAGTCAAAGACTGGAGAGGTGAACACAGCATCTGATTTCTAAGAGCAAGGACCAATTAGTTAGAAACTGGCTGAGGCTAGAGTCATAGGTCAAGACGGGAATTGCAAAATTGAGAGTCAGGTAGTCAAATTGGGTAAAGAGTGAAAAAATAAAGAAAATGAATTCTAAAGGGAAGACCCTGAGCATCAGAGAGAACGCGTGAGAAAGGCAAAGGCAAGATTTTCTGGGTCCTGGATGGCTGCAACTGCCTACATTTTGACCTACAGTTTCCCTTTATTACAGAGGCCCGCCTTTTCCTATTTCTTGGGTTCTCATGGGCAACTGGTGACATCATGCAGCTCTGCTATATTCTCCTGTGACTGAGGTTTCTCTTGTCTTCCTGTGGCTTCTTCCATAGATTCCTCTTTCTCATGCATTGTAAGTTTTGGCCAGTTGCAGGTGATACACTGTGGAAGTGTGTCCTTTGTGTGGTCAATTCCAAGCCTCAAGGCTTTTAAGGAAAGAAACTGGAGTACCTAATAATGTACCAGTCCTTCCAAACAGGATCTGAGTTAGCTCTTTGTCTCTGCTTTGTCTCTGGGGATGGCGCATGAAAGCACACAGGGAAAATGAACACTTTTCATCCCCTAAACTGGCCCCAAGCAATTTCTGTGAAATGGTTGTCATTTTACAACAAATGGGCCCAGTATTCCTTACAACATTAATAACATTATTATGTAAAGTAGTTGCTTTTCAAGTCGACTGATCATTTTCTCTTTTCTTTTAAACATTAAAAAAAAAAAAAAACAAAAAACCACCCAGTTTCTTCTATTGATTTTAAAGAATACCACCCACCAGGTCTTCCTTGGACATACTAACAGCTCCTGCATTTTAGTCCCTGATGGAAACATCTAGCATCTATGTTTGTTTATTCATTCATTTGTTCATTCATTTATTCATACACTCAAGAGACACTACTTAGTGAGAACCATGACGTGGTGGGTACTATATCAGGTTCTTTATAATTTATTAAAAGTTAAGAAATAGCTATGTGCCAGTTGCCATTCTAGGTTCCAAGGATCAAAAGACCACCCTGGGGAAGGAGAAGAATAAGTTCATAGGGGAAGAAGAAGTAAGTTGAATAAAGAATACAGTGCACACTTCAATGTGGAAGCAGACAGCATAATTCCTGGCGTGTGGAAAAACACCAGGGCAGGTTTCATAAAGCAGTTTTGAGAGGATTAGGCGTTGATTTCACTTCTGATAACTAAGAAAAACTAAAGTTTAAGAATTTAGCAGGGGAGGATCAAAAGCTCAAAGAGAACTTGTCCTTGAGCAACTAAGCTATTATTGCAATAGAAAACTGAAGCCATTTGCTGGAGCGGAAGTGTTATTAGATAAAAGGTACAGGAAGTGGTGCAATACAGAGAGAGAATCTATCTCCAGGCATGGTCAGGGAAGCAAGTTTTCTGAGGGTTGACCCTAGTCACAACGGCCTGTGACTGTCCCCATATAGCTAGGAACCACTGAGAATACATACTTTTGTCTAAGGTAACAAATAAGTTAGCAAAATTGCCAATAGCCAATGGCATCTGGAAACCACTCTCATACCAAATCAACTACCACCCCAATACAGCTTCTTTGCAGGATTCCACCACTCAAAATGTTTTTTGACAGGTGAAAAAAAAGAAAAACAGCTTCCTTAAATAGGAAGGTTGGCCATCCCTGGACATGATGGCATGTTCTTGACATGATGGCATGTTCTTCACATGTTTCCCACACTGGATGACATAAAAAGTAAAAAAGGGTAGATTAAGGCCTTTAAGTCAGGTGTATTTTTAAAGTTTTGGTGTCTGCAAGGTATGTCATTGTCTTTTTTCTTTTCTTTTTCTTTTTTGAAATTGAGTCTTGCTCTGTTGCCCAGGCTGGAATGCAGTGGTGCAATCTCAGCTCGCTGCAACCTCAGCTCGCTGCAACCTCTGCATCCCAGTTTCAAGGGATTCTCCTGCCTCAGCCTCTTGAGTAGCTGAGTTTACAGGTGCCCGCCACCACGCCTGGCTAATTTTTGTATTTTTAGTAGAGACAGGGTTTCACCATGTTGGCCAGGCTTGTCTCGAATTCCTGACCTCGTGATCTGCCCACCTGAGCCTCCCAAAGTGTTGGGATTACAGGCGTGAGCCACCACACCTTGCTGTCTTTTTTGTTTTCTAATGCATCCCCAAGAGCCTTTAGCAGTACCTGGCACTAGACAGACATTTAAAAATTATTTGTTAAATTGAATTGAATTAAGGGCTGTAACATATGAACAGACACAGTATGTCTGAAGCCAGATTAACTGGTTCTAAATCCTAATTCTATCAGGCAGTGGCTCATGCCTGGCCATATTCCTGCAGCTTATGCCTGTAACCCCAACACTTTTGGAGGCCTGGACGGGAGGATCACCTGAGGTCAGGAGTTCAAGTCCAGCTGGGCCAACATGGTGAAACCCCATCTCTACTCAAAATACAAAAATTAGCTGGGCATGGTGGCACATGCCTGTAATCCCAGCTACTCAAGAGGCTGGGGCAGGAGAATTCCTTGAACCCAGGAGGTGGAGGTTTCAGTAAGTGAGATCGCACCATTGCACTCCAAACTGGGTGACAGAGCAAGACTCCATCTCCAAACAAACAAACAAACAAAAAACCACACACACGCACACACACACACACACACACACAAAACAGGAATAGCAGGGTTGTGAAGATTAGATTATTAGAATATACTGAAAGCACTTAAACCAAAGGCTGACACACAGTAATGCTATACCTGGCATGTGTTTGTTAGGATTCATATTGCTCATTTCTTAGTCAGTGGCAAATCTTGAGCCTGAGATTTGAGGACTCAACTTTTATATACACCTGTTTTTCCAGAAGTTGTAGATACTCAAAAGAATCTCAGGAAAACCTGGCTTCCAAGCAACTTTTTTCTAACACATTACTGTGACCTTCCATTTCCCTGAGCCATTGAAATTACTTTCCCTCCGCATTAATTTTCCAACACTGTTCTTGTTGAGGTCCTTACTCTTCCTATTTCAAATCTAAGACTTCTTTTGAAATTTCACTCAGCTGGATTCTTCTGGAACATTTAAAGCTTTCAACCATATTCTTCTTCAAATTATTTTTATTTGGCATTTGGAAGAATATTCCTTCCTGTTTCTCCTCCTAATTCTTAGGCATCTCCTTCTTGATCACCTTTGCCAACCTTTCCTTCTGCATTAAACTTATCAAAATAATTCATTGACCGGGCGCAGTGGCTCATGCCTGTAATTCCACCACTTTGGGAGGCCAAAGCGGGTGGATCACGAGGTCAGGAGTTCAAGACCAGCCTGGCCAAGATGGTGAAACCCCGTCTCTACTAAAAATACAAAAAAATTAGCCAGGCGTGGTGATGGGCACCTGTAATCCCAGCTACTTGGGAGGCTGAGGCAGAGAATTGTGTGAACCTGGGAGACAGAGGTAGCATTGAGCTGAGATTGCGCCACTGCACTCCAGCCTGGGTGACAGAGAGAGACTCCATCTCAAAACAAGAAAACAAAGCAAAACAAAAAAATCCATTAAGGTGGAAACTACTATAATTCCTGTCTTATATATGAGAAAATTGAGACTTAGGTATCTTGCCTAATATTATGCAGCTAGTGTCTTTCTAGATTTGAATTCAGACCAGTGAGTCCAGTGTCTGCATTGATATATATTTTCTTGTTTATCCAATGAGATTGGACCAGATCATAAGAAATCTTGGAGGAAATCCTGATAAAAAATAATACTATTGATAATAACTAACTTATTATAATCCTTGCTCCATGCTGGACACAATTCTTAAGCTTCATATATATTAAACCCTTTAATCCTCGGAGTTCTATGAGGTAGGTACTGTTTTCCTGTTTTACAAATGAGAAAACTGGCATTCAGTTTCTTAAGAATGCTAAACAATAGGCCTTTATTCATAGGCAATTAGAGATGCAAAATTATCCTTAAAAAGGAAGGTGACATGACTCTGTTTAACTTCTACAGAAATATAAATTCCAGGAGTATGGAGGATAGATTGAAGGAATTTTATTGGTGCATGGAAACCCATTAGTAGGCTGTTAAGGATAGTCTAGATTTAAATGATAAAGGATGGGGAAAAGAATGATGGAAAGAGCAGAAATCTTTAGACATATATTACATGCTATCATGAAGGTTTGGTGACTGGCTGGATGTAGGTGGTGGGAAGCAAAGGAAAGATGATTTTCAGGTTTCTTGCCTGGGAGATTTTATAAACAGTGTGTTTGTTTAGCTACATTCTAAATTTTGGGTATTTAGCCTCTCAGACTGGCCTCATGCCCTATTAGTCTTAATTACAGTGTTCGCCTGGGTAAGCAGTTCGCTGCCAGGAGCCACCATAGCCTCTGCTGCTTTCTCCAGCTGATGCTCACTGAGCTACCACTTTTTCCCTACAGCCCTGTTCTGGCTCAGGGAAGAGTATTTAGGCTGCTGGCTCTCTGGCCACTCCACGATTGCTGTTCAGTGACATGGCAACACCATTCCCCTTCTGCCAGGCACCAGCTGCTGCCTTGCTGGGAAAATAAGAACCTAAAATTGTTCTTGGCTGAGTCTTCAGCTCCTTGGCAGCCTTGAACTCATAGACTTTTTATACCCAACCCCACCCTGTGCACCCCACCTGCACTTTCTTGAATGATACCACAGGGTTGCAACTATCGGTTTTTTGCAAACATGAGTTTTCTAGTGAATTTTTTCACCTTGCCTTTTGTAATGGGTATCGTATTTTGAAAGTTAACTATTTATTGAGTGTCCATTAGAACTGTGCCGGGTATATATGAGATTCTCAGAGTACAAAGATGAATGAGGCTATCCTGGTCTTAAGAACCTTTCGGGCTGTTGGGGCAATAGAGTGATAAACAACAATTAAGACAGAGTATGATACATGCCACAGAGGGAAGTACAGAGTACAATGGGAGCCTGGAGGCAGTAGGTACTAATGAATAGCCAATATTGGTTCGGCAGTGGGGATTCTGCCAAGACAAGCTCCTCAGAGCAACTGCCACAATGAGTCCTCAATGACAAGGAAGAGTTTCTTGGATAAGAGCATCAGAAGACTTGTGGGTCAGGGCCAATATTGGAAGATAACTTACATTCAGAATTAGGAGGAAGCGCTGCTAGTTGAGGGATCAACAAGCAGTTCCATATGCCTGGGAAAGGTTTGGGGGTATGCTGAAAGATGGTGCTGGAGGTAGGGCAAAGAGATAAATCACTAGTGGCCTTAACTATCACCATTTATAGTGTGAAATTTATCCACAAGATAGTAGATCTGAACAGGTTTAAGCGGGGGTATGATGTGTCAGATTTGCTCCTTAGAATTTATTCTGCTGCAATGTGGAGGTTAGACTGAAAGATTCTAACTGAAGACAGGGAATCCACTTAGGAGCCCTGGCAGCTAGGCAGGTAAGAACTATGGAGAATTTTACAGAAGAAATAAGAATGAGAAGGGTGGAGAGTGAGAAGATTCCAGGGATTTATCAGAAGATAGATTTGATGATAGTTGGTGATTGACTGGATTGAAAGGAGAAAAACAGTGTCTCTATGTTGTTTCTTGAGCAAGAGAGTTTGACCTTCTCTTTGAAAATAATTTCAATGAAATACACTCAATCACATTGCCAGGTTATCTCCTGAGACACTAAATTTAGTTTCCCCCAAACTCCTTGTTTTGAAGTCATGAAGTTTTTTTTTTAAAAAACAGATGTCCTCCAATAATATTGTCTATCTTTGAGCCCTGAAGGAGGTTCTGTCATTGGCTAAAAATATCAACTGTTCTGATGGGTATTTATGGATTATCAGTGGCCACAGGAGCCCTTCTTCTCTCCCAATTTGGGAAACTCTTCAATGTACAGTTGATATGATTTGGCTCTGTGTCCTCACCCAAATCTCACATTAAATTGTAATAATCCCCATGTGTCAAGGCCAAGACCAGGTGGAGATAGTTGAATTATGGCAGTGGTTTCCCTCATGCTGTTCTCATGATAATGAGTGAGTTCTCACAAGATCTGATGGTTTTAAAAGGGGCTTCCCCCTTTGCTTGGCACTCATTCTCTCTCCTGCCACCTTGTGAAACAGTGCCTTCTGCCATGATTGTAAGTTTCTTGAGGCCTCCCCAGCAATACAGAACTGTGAGTCAATTAAACCTCTTTCCTTTTTAAATTACCCAGTCTTGGGTATTCCTTTATAGCAGTGTGAGAATAGACTAATACAATGGTGCTTTGAAAAGCATCGCTCTCCCTTTTGGGAGTGAATCATGTCGGTTTTGACACATCTCTACAGTGAGTAAGAAGAAATAATTCTAAAAGCTTACTAAATCTTCTCTCTTGTAAGACACCTACCAGCTAACTGGATAATCGGTCAGTGTCCTTCCTTTTTTTTCTCCACTGAAAAGTCACCTTCATTTATCACTTTCATAATATCTGAAATGTAATCTTCAGATATGATATTACCTAACATCTTACCACATCCTTGAAGCCACAGCAGAAACCCCAGCAGCTTTTGATTCCTCTTCATCTTTTTAGTAAGAGTTGGTCCCACCCATTTTGTCCATTTTTTGCACTAATTAAATGACTTATTGAGGTCCTACCATGAACCAGGCACTGGTATAACTTATATGCAGTTGACTTATTTTATTCTAGACTTTTTCATTTTTGAACTCTGTGGGTTTCCAGGCTAATTGGATTATTTGCATACATATTGTTTCTTGCTAGAATCCTATACTCCTCGAGGGCAAGGGTACATCATACACTTCATCTGTTTTCCCCACAACTTCTAGCACAGTGCTAGGAACATTACTAGGTGCTCAATAAATTGTTGCTAAATTCAATTGAATTTGCAGTAATAGAATTGTTTTTCCTAACATAAAGAGTGAACAAAAGAAATATCTACTAAAAACACAGTGACACTATAAAAAGACTTCAAAACAGATAAGTTGCTTCACAAAGACTGGAAGGGTACACTTTCATTTTCATGATTGTCATACCCCAATTTGTTAAAGAGTCATCTTACTTTAGATAGTCATTTTCTATGACAGCTGTCCACATTTTTGCGAGAGAGGAATTTGCCAACATGCAGCTTTGGTAATTACAAATGATTCCATTTGCTAATGAAAGACAAGAGCAGGGAAAAAAATAAAATTTATTTTCTGTATCCAAGAGCCAACCCTCTGGGCAAAAGGCAGGGAGAGGGGCAGGTTCCAGAACTCTGGGTCCAAGAGGGAAGGAGAGAGGGTGAGTATGAACAACAATAGGGAGAAGGAGTGGAGAGACAGGTGAGGGAGTGCATCCAAGGGCAGAAGAGTTAATAAACTAAGGTAGCCAAGCCAGAGACAGAATGAAAAATAACAGGAGAGTGAGAGGATGAGGAGTGCAGTTAGACCCAAAGCAGGAAGGATTGGGTGCCCAGGGGATCATCTTGGGTGAAGTCAATGGGATGCCCGATTATAATGACAACGTCATTTTTATCTGCATCCTTTAGCAGGCTCATAGATGCACATTCTGCCCAGAGCAGTGTGACGTTTTATTTCATGTCTTCATCTATGCTGATGACCTGTCTCATCCCTTGGTGTCATGTTTCTCTGTTATAAGGATCTTTGTGGCTATGACCTCTGCTGCCATGGTAACACCTAAAAAAGCACATCATTATTTCAAACTGCTCCACCACCACAACCATGGTCTTAAAGTTTTCCCGTCCTGCTTCCACCTTTTCTTTCCTTCACCTCTGTAGCCTAGAATTTCACCCTTGTCATAGCCATTTATTCAGCAAATATTTAACAAGCTCACTATAGATTAGGTACTGTCCTAAATGCTGAGAATACAGTGGGGAAAATAGACAGTCTTTTTCATAAAAGAAAAGAACAGACAGTTTCTAGAAATGAAAAATGCATGTAAATATATAAAAGCTCTTTACATAAGGAAGAAATCTCTGCCTCACTCATACTTAGCAAAATACAAACAAAACACTATACTAAGATGTCATTTTTTTTTTTTTTAACTTTCAGACTGGTAAAAATTCACTGATTGATAAGACCCGTGTTTTGCAGCTTTGTTTAGCAAGGCTGTGAGGAAACAGGAACTTTTATACATGGCTGGTGGGAGTATAAATTGGTAGAATCCCGATGGGGAGCAATTTGGCATTATCTACCGAATTTCACATGTATGTAGCCTTTTTCTCACTTTAGGGAATTTCTTCTGCAGCTATATTTGTACATAGACAAAATAATGTATATATAAGGTTATTCATTGAATAAAGAGATATAAATTAGAAAATACCCAAATGCTCATTAGTGGAGGTCTAGTTAAACAAACTATGGTATTTAGTGAAACATTATGCCACTGTAAATTGAACAATCCACAACCTCCAAATCCCCAAAACAAAAATAAACTGAAGACTTTCTGTATGCATTGATGAGAGAAAACTGCAATACGGAGAAAGCCAGTAGCCCAGTGATATGTTTAATGAATTCTCTATTCTGCAAAAAAAGAAGAAGAAAGTTAAGAGCATATATTCATATTTGCTTATACTTCTATAGGGTAACTGAAAAGACAGACGAGAATTTAATAAATGTGGCTATCTTCTAGGGAAGAGGGACTGAAGAGATGAGTCACTACAAGAATTTTCACTGTACATTAAAATCATTTGGTTAATTATATGCAAGACTTACTTAATCAAAGATATTGTAAAGTTGTTATTCTCTCTGCCTTAACAGCCTAGTGGGAGAGATTGAAAATAAAGAGACAATAAGTACATAACATATGAAGCCACTTTTGCCAAAATTACAACAGTAAGAGAAATTTGACAGTTGACTTCATCTTGCTTCTGACCTCCAAGCTTTCCTTGGTCATTCCTGGGCATAGGCCTAATTAACTTTGGGAGGAATTTAGTTCATAGCTTAACCTTAAAGTGAAGATGATAATACTCTTCCCAAAACTAAACTACCATTGTAAAACTAATGACAGGCCACAAGGTTAGGATTATGAGAAGGGCCTAAACTCTGATAAACCATAGGCGTAGTTTCTATAATCCCTTACTGTTCAGGGGTCATGTGGCCAGAGGTCACAAGATTTGTGAATTTCCCAAGTGATCTCACAGATAACATCACTATTGTAGAATCTAATATTGGTTTGTTTGAGATGTTTTTCAGACTGACCCCATCTGGACTCATGACCCATGACTCAACTGATCACGTGGCCCCACCCAGAGATGGACTCATCATATGAGGACCATTTATACACCCATATGATTCATTTCCCAACCAATCAGCAGCACCCATTCCCTAGCCCCTGCCCACCAAATTGTCCATAAAGATCCCTAACCTCTGATCCTTCAGGGAGATTGATTTGAGTGATAATTCCAGTTCTCTCACATGGGCTGGCCTCAAGTCAACTAATGTTGTAGTCTCAGTGGATTGATTTTATCTGTGCAATGGGCAGAAAGAACCCATTGGGCAATTACATATAGTGGCTCATAGTGATCATTGCTAAACATAAAAAATAAAAGTCAGCAAGGGGATGGGTAGTGAAAAGAGGGGCTATTTTAAATAAGGGATCAAGCAAGGACACTTTGAGGAGGCAACATAGCAAGAGAATTCTGAAGGAAGTTGGTGGGGCCATGGGGATATCTTGGGAAAGAGTAATCTGGGTAGAGGGAACAGCTGTTGCAAACACCATACAGTAGGATCATACTTATTATACTAGTCAATGAATAAGCTGGGACTTTTGGAGAGATGACCATGGCCAAAATTGTGTAGAACCTGTAGGTCATGGTGAGGGCTTTAGATTTTGTTTTCTATGTGAACTTTCCATTCTCTGTCAATGCTTTGCCAGTTCTTCTAGTCCCTTCACTGTTCTGGCTTTATTTTCCTCCCATTCAGCCAAGATGCCATGATCAACCTCTCCAACCTCCCTAGTCTCTACATATACAGCCACGACTTTATTTACCTTTGATTAAATTACTATTTTGTGCATCACAGTGACAGTTCCAGATGCCCTCCACTCTTGGCTACTGTCCCCTAATCACCCCACATTAGCTAATGACCTTACTTCCTACTTTAACAAGAATTGAATTCACTAAAATTTCCTTAACTGAACCCACTATCTACTCTTTCTTCCAAACTCACTCCTCCATCTGTTAACCTGTCTTTGTGAGTGGTGCAATCATTCACTCAATTGCTCCATCAGAATCCTAGGAATCATACCTAATCCCTTCTGCACCCATATCAGACTAGTGCCTTGATACTGAACCTTATAAATATCTCTTAATTCTAGCCCGTCTCCTCCAAGATCACTGCCTCTGACTCAGACCAGTCCCTCAGCATTTATTTAGATTACTGCAATATCTTAAAAATCGAGCTGCACTGTTTCCTGATCCTAATTCACTGACCACTCCCAAACACATGCACACTCTCCCTGAATCTCCAACAAATCTCCAATAAATATATAAGTATCATCAAGATAAAATAAAAATTCCTTGACAAGTGATATGAGGTTATTTATAACCTGGTCTCTGTTTACCTCCCTTGGGAAACATGTCTTAACTTCTTTCTACTTCTATTTATCTCCAAAATGGGGATAATGATAGAAGTAACCTCATGGGGTTATTACGATAATTAAGGGAAAACATGATATGTAAATTTCTCTGAAAGGAACTTGACCATGGTAAATGTTCTTCAACACCAGTCATTATGATTACCATCCATTTTCAACCCAGCCTCACCTCCTCCCCATCATGTAACAGTCCAAGGACTATTTACATTTCTCTAACTAGTCTTTGCTCTCTTACTCTGAGTATATGCATTCTGTTTGGAATGTTCGTCCTGCTCATCCATGTTTTCAGACATCAGCTAGCACCCAGGGCCAGATTAGGATATCTATGTCAGACAGAATCTTAAACTTGCCCCCATTATGTAGTGTTCATGCTCTGATGTGATCCTCCACCAATACCTGAGTATGGGTGGAATCTGTGAATTGCTTCTAGACATACAGAACAAGTGGTTATATGCACTCAATTATGTCACATAAGATTGCAGTCCCTATCGTGCTGGGGTCTCTCTTTTCCTTGCTGACTTTGAAGAAGCAAGCTGTAATGTTGGAAAGTGCCACATAGCAAGGAACTGGAGACATCCTTCAGTTGTCACCTGGCAAGAAAATTAGGCCATAATTATAGCACCTACAAAGGACTGATGCTACCACAACTATGTGAACTTGGAAATGGATACTTCCCCAGTCAAACCTCAGAGGAGAGCACAGCCCAAGCCAACACCTTGATTGTAGCCCTGTAAGATTTTGGAAAGGACACAGTCAAAACATGCCCCCAAACCTGATCCCTTAGTATTGAAAGATAATAAATCTGTATTGCTTTTAAGTTGCTAAATTTGTAGTAATATCAGTATGCAGTAATAGATATTTAATACATTACGTAACTGTACTTTCTAACCATCCAACAGGCCTTGATTACAGTACTTATCTCTTGCTGTTGGAAGGCTCTGCTCATTTCATGTCTCTTCTCTGGCTTTGGAGACAAGTGAGAGAGATGATTGCATTTTTCTCTATATCATGAGTGTCTTGCACAACACCTATGGCCCAGTTGGTACCTCATAAATGTTTGTTGAATCATTTCTCTCCTATAATACTTTCCAAATACTTGATGACAAAGGGATTAGAATCCTGATTGAGTGCAAGAGGATAAAACTTGTTTTGCAAGTGTCTGAAAGTGAAATAGATCCCAAAGGGGTAAAAATGACAACTGCATGTGATGTGTGTCTAAAGCCAACTTTTTAATGGAGTCATCTTCATTAATGAGGTTCTTTATTTGTGCAGTCACTAGAAAAATTTTTTAAAGTTCTATTTCCTCTAATAGTCTACTTTCAAATGTGCTGCCTTCTCATTATGAATAATCAAATACAACCCTGAAAGATGAGCAAACTTGAATTGACTAATTTTTAGCTTTTAAGGTCTATTATTCAAGTGAAAAGTAAAACATTCCTTTTATAAAACTGATGTTAGACTTTCACTTGGGTAATTTAATACTTTGAAAAATGGCAGTGTTCTTGTTTCATCTTCTGGTTAACTAATCTGTTTGAGGGGTTTCCTAGCTGAGAATATTCCAAGAATTTGGGTTTTTAATTTTTTTTTGAGGAATTGATGAAATGAAGTACTGTATTATATTATTCTCATTTTTTATGAATGTAATTATACTACAATGAAATTATAATACAAATTTTAGACAAACCAAAAGTGACTTAGAATAATATTTATTTTTACCAGTAAATAATCAATACATATTTATTGAAGTGAATTAAGTCTAGTGTTTATTGTAGTAAGTACAGTACATCTGCTTGAAGATCAAGCAAAGTCTTTGGGATGAAATGATGCAGGCTTGTGTCACAGCTCCAACTACTGCAAGCTATATGATCTAAAGAGACCTGCTGATGTTCTGTGTATTATTTCTAATCCTTCTCCTGTAACTCAAGTTCAGAGAAAAGGGTTTTGATAGGAGTAGGAGTGCTTGATGTGATATCAATATTGTTGCTACTAATTAACATGGTACTGGAGTTCTTGTCAATGTGTGAGGAAAGAAAAAGAAATAAAGGCTAGAAGAAAAGAAAGACAATAAAGTAAAATAACCTGAAAAACTATTAGGACTAATATGATATTTTCACAAGGTGGCTAAATATAGGACCAAAACACAAAAATTAATAGCCGTTTCTACAAAAAATATAAGCAACCAGAAAATTTAATAAAAATTAAATACCATCTGTTGGGAAAACTGGTTAGCCACATGCAGAAAGCTGAAACTGGATCCCTTCCTTACACCTTATACAAAAATTAACTCAAGTCTTTAGACTTAAACGTAAGACTTAAAACCATAAAAACTCTAGGAAAAAACCTAGGCAATACCATTCAGGACATAGGCATGGTTAAAGACTTCATGACTAAAACACCAAAAGCAATGGCAACAAAAGCCAAAATTGACAAATGGGATCTAATTAAACTAAAGAGCTTCTGCACAGCAAAAGAAACTATCATCAGAGTGAACAGGCAACCTACAGAATGGGAGAAAGTTTTTGCAATCTATCCATCTGACAAAGGGCTAATACCCAGAATCTACAAAGAACTTAAACAAATTTACAAGAAGAAAACAAACAACCCCATCAAAAAGTGGGCAAAGGATATGAACAGACACTTCTCAAAAGGAGACATTTATGTGGCCAACAAACACATGAAAAAAAGCTCATCATCACTGGTCCTTAGAGAAATGCAAATCAAAACCGTAATGAGATACCATCTCACACCAGTTAGAATGGCGATCATTAAAAGTCAGGAAACAATAGATGCTGGAGAGGATGTGGAGAAATAGGAACACTTTTACACTGTTGGTGGGAGTGTAAATTAGTTCAATCATTGTGGAAGACAGTGTGGTGATTCCTCAAGGATCTAGAACTAGAAATACCATTTGACCCAACAATCCCATTACTGGGTATATACCCAAAGGATTATAAATCATTCTACTATAAAGACACATGCACACATATGTTTATTGTGGCACTGTTCACAATAGCAAAGACCTGGAACCAACCCGAATGTCCATTAATGATAGACTGGATAAAGAAAATGTGGCACGTATATACCATGGAATACTATGCAGCCATAAAAAGGGATGAGTTCATGTCCTTTGCAGGGACATGGATGAAGCTGGAAACCATCACTCTCAGCAAACTAACTTAAAAACAGAAAGCCAAACACCACATGTTCTCACTCATAAGTGGGAGCTGAACAATGAGAACACATGGACACAGGGAGGGGAACATCACATACTGGGGCCTGTTAGGGCATGGGGGCTAGGGGAGGGATAACATTAGGAGATATACCTAATGCAGATGACAGGTTGATGGGTGCAGCAAACCACCATGGCACTTGTATACCTATGTAACAAACCTGCAGGTTCTGCACATGGACCCCAGATCTTAAAGTATAATAAAAAAATTAAATGCCATCAACAGCAACAAGCATTCCTTAAACAGGAACACATACAATCTATGGAGAAGACCTTAGATCTTAAATTAAAAATAAAAAGATAGTCTAAGTAAATAAAAAGACATTTATGCTCTTGGATGGTACCACCTAATATAAAGGTGTAAATTCTCCCCTAAATTTACCCACAATTTTGCAATCCCAATAAAATCTTAGTTGAATTTTTTTTTCCAGGAACTCAATTAACACTCTAAAATTTGGAATTAATGGAAATTGTTTTTCATAATGGAATATTATGGAAAAATTAATAACCCCATCGAATCAAGCCAACACCAAAAACCATAGTTAAGAAAGAAGGACTTGCCCGGTTGACATTGATAAGAAGACATGTCATAAAGGCAAGGTGAGGACATCACTCTGTCAGGACTGTGATTGCAGTTATCTTAAATCCACAGATCCCATGATTTAATCATGGAATTAATAATTCCATAATAATATTAATAATTTTACTATTAATTAATAATAAAATGGATAGATTGCATCATGGAATCTATGGATTTAAAATAATCACAATCACCGTCCTGACAGGGTGTTTTATTTTGTTTAGTTTCATTCTGTGTATGTGGGAACTGTGATACATTGGTTCTAAAATTAAGATGAAAAAGCAAACATCCAGGAATGTCCAAAATATTCCTGAAGGAGAAACTCTTTGTGGCTGAATGGCATACAAATTGTCTAAACTTATTTTTAAGCTATGGTAATTATGATAATGTATCATTATTGCAAGGACAGACAAATTGATCAATGGAGCAGAATATAGAACTCCCCAAGCTGACTCACAAATATGTGGAAATCTAATGATAGATCTGGCTTTACAGAACAGTGAGGAAAGGATGGATCTTGCAATAAATGGTTTTGGGAGAGTCATTCATATGGATAAAATGACACTGAGCTTTTATATCACACCATACACAAAAATCAATTGCAGTTGGATTATAGACTTAAATATGAAAGGCAAAATTATCAAACTTTTAGAAGACAATATAAGAAAATATATTTACAATCTTGGGATAAAGAAGAATTGTTAAACAAAGCAAAAAATGCAAAGCAGAAAGAAAATTATTGATACATTTGATTGCATTAGGTTTAAGACCTCTTTATTAAAAATAATCATAAGCAAAATAAAAAGATAAGCTATGCATTGACATAAAATATCAATAGCCATAATTGTGAAAGGGTTAAGGACCAGGAAATACACACACACACACACACACACACACACACACACACACACACAGCGAAAGAGGGAGAAAGAACCAAAAATCAATCTGATAAAAAAAAAATACACAAAAGACAGAGGAGGAGGTAATAAGAATGAAATATAAAGATGTGAAAAGATGCTCAATCTCATCAATAATCATGAAAATGCAATTTAACAGTACAATGTCCAGTAGTAGTAAAATAGAGAAATTATAATAAGTTCATACAATAAAATATAGAGATAATGGATGAAGTACAGATACCCATCACAAAGATGCATTACCATAATGGCACTAGGAAGGGCACACAGAATGTTCTATTTCTTACACTAATGTTGTATACATAGGAGCTTTTTGTCCTGTTAGTCATTATACCTTAGCTTACCTTATAAATATACTTTTTGCATCTAATAAATATTGGATCTAAGCTACTTTTTATAAGTTATGAGTGTTTTCAGGCATGGTGGTTTACTCGGATCCTATCCTATAAGAATGACCAGATGGGCAAGTAGCTCTGGGTTGGAATGCTACATGTGAATTATGAGATTTTTTGGACTCAGAAGAAAGTAGTTTTTACTTCAAATATTCCTCATAAACTAGATACTAAAATTGAGGTTATATTTTGTGGCTTAAAGTGACTGTAGGAGTTGTGCTTCCTTAAGAGAAGTCAGAAGAAAATATGGGGCCTGATTACATTTCCATGAAGAGTCCTAAGAACTTTCTCACTATGCTACAGTTTGAATGTTTCAACCTCTCCAAAATTTATATTAAAACTTAATCCCCAATTAACAATATTAAGAGGTGGGTTTTTAGGAGGTGATTAGGTCATAAGGGCTCTGCTCTCATGGATGAGAGTCATAAAAGGGCTGGAGGAGGTTAGCTACGCCCTTGTGCCCTTCCATCCTTCTGCCATGTGAGAACACAGCAGTTATCCTCTCAAAGGATGCAGCAACAAGTCACATCTTGGAAACAGAAAGCAACTCTTATCAGACACCAAACCTGCTGGGGTCTTGAACTTGGACTTCCCAGCCTCCAGAACTATGACAAAAAAAAATCTGTTGTTTATAAATTACCCTGTTTCAAGTATTTTTATAGCAGCACAAATGGACTAAGACACTGTACAAATTTTAAGGGAACATGGGGAGACAAATAAAGATGCTCATGATTATATCCCAAAGTCCTATTCATTCAACCCACTTCATAGGGTAGTTAAGAAAATCAGACGAGATAATGAATATAAAATGGCCAGCCACATGATCAGTGCAACAAATATTAGGACATATCATTATCATTACCTTATCATAGGGTAAAATTATGAAATGATTTATTTTTTTCTATTATGGAAGTTTTCACATACATAGATCTGCTAAAATATAATCATTGAGCTTGGGAGAATTAACTTTAGCACATTTATGATCCATGAAAAATTGTGGATATTGAATTTTTTAATATTTGATGTGTTCAGACAATTTGCTTAATTCAGAACAGCCATCAGAGGCCATAAATCTCCCCCAGGAAGAGGACTGTGGAAACAATATGTACATATATGTGCACATTGTCACTGTAAACCAAGAGCTGACCTTGATTCTTAAATGCAGCCATCATTTCATTTTAACATGTCTTCCTAGCTTATGTCTTCATTTATTTACTTTCTTAGGGGGACAGACAAAGACTTCCTGTGAAGTTAAGAATTTGAAATTTTGTCCCTAAGTTTAATCTTTTGTTTTGCTAATTTAGGTTTGGCCATAACACATTCAGGCAAACAAAAACAAAACAGGAATCTGGGTCAAATGCTGAGCCCCCAGTGTGAGCCCAATGCAGGTGATAAATGGATTACTGAGTAGTCATGGGCTTAATAAGAAGAATTAAATATAAGCAATTTTAAAAAATAAATTGAAGTAGAAATCTGGGGCATTAAATTGTATCTGTCTGCACTTTATAGGATTATATTTGGACCATTTGAGGGGCAATGAAAAGATTTGGCATAACTTAGGTAATAAGTAATTTCAAAATAGAAAAACAGACAGCCTTTTAAAATGTAATAAAAAGAGAGATATGTTTTATGTAGACTTCCCCCATACTCTCATTTGGCAGCTTAATATCTCTACAGGGAAAACAAATGCATGATATCCAAACATCAGAAACGAAATATGGAAAAACGTGCATTTGTTTGAAAAACGTGCATTTGTTTGAAAAACGTGCATTTGTTTGTGCTATCTTCTTACCTTCTCCCTATAATCACACTTTTATGCTGGATGCTCTTTGATTATATTCATTTTGAATTTTTACAACATTGTGTATAGAATAGACAAAAGATAAAAACCATATGTTTGTTGATGACCTGGTTCAAAGATGAATAGAGAAATGATGTTTCTATATGTTTTATGTATTTCCTAAGACCAAAAATGGGACTTTCCAGCTGTTATTGTCTTGCAGAAGTATATATTCCCTATGGAGCAAATATGCTTCCATTCTGTTCCCACTGAGATGATTTGCTGATTCTGATCAACCCCCAGTCCTGAGTCAGGCAGAGAATTATTCAGATGATTGCCCTAATTTCAGGCTGTTCCTAGCCTAGGAAAACTCGACTTTAAGTGATCTTCCTGCAAATTACTCTTGCCTCCAACTTATTCACCAGCTCAGTGGTCCCTAATCCACCATTCTTTGTCATTGCATAATCGAAGCATATTCTTCTCCATTACTGTCATACAATATCAATGTTGTAATCTGTTTGTAATTAGGACCACTCGAAAAATCCATCTTTTCTTTATCCCCTTTCCCCATGAACTTTATAGAAGAATAAACATGCCAGTATTATTCTCTCCCACAAACAGAAATCAATCCATACCAAATTCTCTGGTGTGATGTGTATTAGCTTGTCACCGAAGATAAATTTATATTTACTTAAAGACATGTCACTCCACACAAACTTTCTCAGACCTGCAGTAAATTAAAATGCACACTTGCTTAGGCATTAAAAAAAAGGAATCATTTTGAGAAATGTAATCCACTGACTCAAGAAGTCATGGAATGAACATGCCATACGCCAATAACATTGTGCCTCAAAGAATAATGAGTCTTATTGTATCGAGCTTGCTTTAAAGTTCTTTGACGTCATAGCCTATGTATTTACTGCTGGCCTATGAACAAAGTCCTAGTCCCAGTTTTCTAAATAATGATGTAAAGGAAAGATGCTGCATGCAATTTAGTGGATTTGAGGGTTTTTGTTTTTTAATTGTGGCACGCTGCCTGGCTAATTTTATTTCTTCCTTCCATTTGCTTTGGAGTAATGTAACTTAGAAAATTTCATAAATAAAAGGTTATTTTAATAATTAATCCTGGCATATCCACTTCAAGGCAAGTCAGTCCATTTATAAGAAACCCCTTTATGTTTTCAATTCAAATTAGATAAGCTCTTCTTTGGGGGTTATCTCTTTGAAGATGCCTATTAAAAAATAGCAGGATATACCAGACATTATTTCCCTACAGCCATTTGCATTATTTTTGCTCTTTGCTAGAACTGTGCATATAGTAGGAGCAGGATAAATGCCTGCTGCTGAGAATAAAGTACTAAACTTCCAACATGTTGTATTTTCTTTCTTAAAGAGTTTACATAGTCTGGTAGCTGGATTTTTATCCATAGTGTAAATCAAAATTTGAAACAACTCAAAGCAGAAGTAGTTAGCATAGGGTAACAAAGACTCATGATTGCAAAGTTAAATTTAGAGTAAGATACAAGAGATTGTGTACTGTCTGCCTTAAGTACTCTGAAATGTAATTAATTCTTCAGAAAAAGCAAACAAACCAATAATAAACAAAAAACAAAACTAATTAGAAAACTGAAAGATTTCCTAACCACAGGCTTCCAGAAACTCTGAAAAGAAAAAGAAACAAAATCATTATATGAATGTTAATAATATCCTTTTAAGCAAGGTATCTTTTTAAAAGTGGCATTCACTATAATTATAGCAATTGAATGAACATCAGATTTCCTGGTGAATGAGATTGACCACAATTTTGTTTTTCTTTGAATATTTCATGAGTCTGTGTTCATAAGCCTGGTTTTAGAGGACAATGGAATACTACCTTATCTCAAGGCTCGTGATTTGCCTTCTGTATTACTGAAACTCGCAAGAGAAATTAGGACTATGTGACAGAATGGGTGTCTGAAGTTTTCTGTCCAGCCTTCATGTGTTTATCATGCAAAAAAAAGTATTCATTCCCTCAGTTTTTAGTGAGGGCTCACTGTGGTCCAAATAATGTGCCTGGAACATGGTTTACCATGATGAGTGAGTTGGCAATTCCCTACTCCTATTGAGCATAAGTTCTAGTAGTGGAAGAGAGACAGCAAATGAGTAAACAAAGGCATAAAAGTATTGCTGGTTGCATTATATTTGAGAAAGGAAATAAACAGAGTGACTTGGGAAAGAATGAAAGGCTGGGTCCTACTTAGATTTAGAGCTTAAGGAAGGCCTCTAAGTTATGGCAGTTAATTTTTAATTTTTGTTTATTTTTTTATTGAGACAAGGTCTCACTCTGTGGCCCACTCTGGAGTGCAGTGATGCAATCATGGCTCACTACAGCCGCGACTTCCTGGGCTCAAGCAATCCTCTCACCTCAGCCTCCTGAGTAGCTGGGACCACAGGCATACCACCACCCATGCCTGGCTAACTTTTTATTTTTACTTTTGGTAGAGACAGGGACTTGATATGTTGCCTAGGCTAGTCTCAAACTCCAGAGCTCAAGCAATCTTCCTGTCTTGGCCTCCCAAAGTGCTAGCATTACAGGTGTCAGCCACTGCGCCTGGCCAGTTATAGCAGTTAAGATGAGACTTGAAGCATGAGAAGCTGGTTGCTGAGGAATAAGCCAGGTGGAGGGATGTATTAGTATGATTTCATGCTGCTGATAAAGACATACCCGAGACTGGGCAATTTACAAAAGAAAGAGGTTTAATTGGACTTACAGTTCCACGTGGCTGGGGAAGCCTCACAATTATGGCAGAAGGCAAGGAGCAGCAAGTCCCATCTTACATGGATGGCAGCAGGCAAAGAGAGAATGAGGAAGACGAAAAAGTGGAAACTCCTGATAAAACCATCAGATCTCTTGAGACTTATTCACTACCACGAGAACAGCATGGGGAAAACTGCAACCGTGATTCAATTATCTCCCACCAGGTCCCTCCCACAACACGTGGGAATTATGCGAGTACAATTCGAGTTGAGATTTGGGTGGAGACACAGAACCAAACCATATCCAAGGAACACCAAGTAAGATATTCCTGAGGCAGACAAGAGCTTGTGGTGTTCTGAGAATCAGCAGAAGACCACGTGACTGAAGAGTGGAGAGTGAGGAGCAGGCAGGCAGCACAAATGAAGGTTGAACAAGCTAGCTCAGGGCCTGGTCATACAGGGCATTGCAAGCAAGGCAAAGAGCTTGGATGTGACTGTCTTATTTTAAGAGCACTAGGATCCAAAGAGACAATCCCCAGGTTTCACTTGCAAAGGAGAAAAATCAACTTTCCCTTCCCAGGGATATAAATTATGTGACATTCTTGTTTGTTGAATGTAAGTGCCTGGAAGTGTCGAGATAACTAACACACTGATAACTTTGGAAGAAATATTGAAAAATTCAGAGGAAATATCCAGATACGAATGTCTTATATGATGGAAAACAAAAGTACTGTGTATTATAATGAGCAGGCATTGAGGCTAGATCCTTCTACTATTTTCTTTGTTGCTTGGCAAATTACTTAATATCTTTGCATTAAAATTTCTTTTTCTGTAATATTGCAATAATAACATCAAACTCACTAAACTATTGTAAAATTCCTATAATACTATATATGAAAGCGTAACATGGAGATCGAGAACTAACAGAGAAACAAGCTTTATTAAAATATCTTAAGATGTTTACTTGGCTTCCAAATATGAATATTTTATTATGACAAATATAAAGGAAGCTTTTGCATAAATTACCAACATGGATTTTTCCACCTTTTTCTATCAAAAGACTGTAAACCTTAATGCTTTGCATTATGAAATAAAGCACTCATTGAAACCCGTGATAGTAATTAGCATCATTTTTTGTATTGTGAAAAGGTTTTGATAGATTCTCTGTAAGAGTATCATAATATATCTATATAAATAAAACATATATTAGAATATGTAAAAGTGCATTTCTTTTCATTTAATTTCTTAAATTTCTAAACCTCACCTCACTGCCAATATTTCTAAACCTCACCTGACTTTCAATCTTTTGACATTTTTCTACAAGGTAGAAATAAAAATTAAAATGAAAAGCACTCTCTGAAAGCCACAAATGATGATCATCTGAATAAAAAGGTGTCTGTATATATGTCTGTGTGTGTGTGTATGAGTGTGTGATTGATCCAGGCACAGCAGAGTGGATAAATTCAAATGGAAAAGGTCTTAAAGGGAACACAATTCTATGTTGGACCAGGTCTTTATGAATATAACCCCATCAACTAATTATAGTGGGTGCTGAAATACATTACTGAAATCTATTATGTGAATTAAAATGTAGTATCAAAACATAATTTCCACATACTGTGGAGAGTTAATTATTAAATATATTATCCATTGCACAAAAAACTGTGGATAATGATGTTTTTGCTGGGCCCAAGTGTGATTGACAGAAAACAATGTCAATGTCATCATCAACAGTGTGCCTATTTCACACTGATAAAATTACTAGATTTACTTCTGTGGCATACCTTTTTAAAAAATACAGAAAGTAATACATTCTCATTGTGTAAAATTGAAAAAAATACAGAAAATTAGTACCAGGAATCCCAGTCCTTACTATCCCATAATTTGGGAGTATATATTTTTCTTTTTTCAAGACAGAGTCTCACTTTGTCATCCAAGATAGAGTGCAGTGGCTCAATCTCGGCTCACTGCAACCTCCGCCTCCAGGGTTCAAGTGATTCTTTCACCTCAGCCTCCCAAGTAGCTGGGATTACAGGTGCGTGCCATCACACCCGGCTAATTTTTGTATTTTTAGCAGAGACAGGGTCTTGCTGTGTTGCCCAGGCTGGTCCCTAACTCCTGGCCTGATCTGCCCACCTCAGCCTCCCAAAATGCTGGGATTACAGACATGAGCCACCGCACCAGTCAGTTTGGGAGTATTTTTTCCAGATATTTTATAATTATTGCCCCTAGATTTTAATTTATAAAATGGAATGACATAAGCATGTAATTTTCCATCTTACTTTCCTCACTTCATATCGTATTTGGAAAATTTCCCCACGCAATAATATCATATTCTTTTAATTATAATTTTATTTGTTACGTTCCTCAGAAATTTTGTTAGAATTTTATTAAAGTTATTGAGTTATTTGCATAAAACTAACATCTTCATAAGGTACCTTATTCCTCTGAAGGCAGATAATATTTTTCTTCATCTATTTAAATCTTCTTTTTTAATCTCAATTGCAATGTGTCCTTTGTTTCTCACAGGCCATGCACATTGCTTGTTCAGTTCATTGCTAGGGTTTTTCCTTGCTCCATAGAGAACTCTTACTGTATTCTAATTTCAAACTGGCCATTGCTGAAAGTTAGGAAAAACTATTGATTTGTCTATTTATTTTATCAGCAACGAACTTATTAAATTTACTTACTAGTTGACTTTTTTGGTGTAAAAATGTATCACAGGCAAAAAATGAATTGTTTCACTCTTTTCAGCTATTTTTATCTTATACGCATTTCTTGACTTATTAAATTAGCAACAGTTCCTAGAATAATGTTAAATTACAGCTATCACAACAAGTATCGTTGGGATTAATGATAGTCTGGCTAATGTCTCATCGTTGAATATGATATTGACGGCTATCCCTGTGCAACTATTTTTTATCTTATTAAATTTTTCTCTACCTGAATTATTATAATTCCTACATTCAATTCAACAAGAATTCTTGTGTTTTATCAAAATATCACCATTCTCTGGATGTTCATATGTTATCTATGATATAATAATGTTATGAACAAAAAGCTAAAATATATCAAAAGTTACTATTTGTCATCACATAAAATATCTCATTTAATCTTTACAAGAACTCAATTAGGTAAGTACTATTATAATGCCCAAATTATAGTGATTGTATCCACATTATAGACCTAAATTTCTAATAAGGAAGTATCCCTGAATTTTGGGAGCAAACCCTACTTCATAGGAAATTACTTGTTTATTATACTGCTGAACTCTATTTACTAGTATATCTGGGGTTTTTACATCGACAGAAATACAGCACAATTGTTGAACACATTTAATTCTAATCATGCCCCTTTGAGGGACATACATAATCCTCAATTTCCAAGAAAGGCAACAGGGACAAAATGAGGGCATAAAAGGTGTTAACAAGTTTAGCCTAAAGCTGCTTCCTTACGTATTCTAAGTTCAGCCTAAAAGTTTCTCTGTGCACAGTGAACTGTAGCCTAATTGGCTATGTAAACAGACTGTAATCTACACTTGTGCCAATCACTGAGTTTTGACCAATCAAACGTGGCCAACTGTTCAAACTGGGTTCAAATAAGGCAAACGCTGAGCTACAACTAATCCAGCTGTTTCTGTGCCTCACTTCTGTTTTCTATATGTTACTTCCCTTTTTCTGTCCATACATCTTCCACTATGCAGCTGTGCTGGTTCTCTTTGAATCTGCTGGGATACTGGGGGCTGCTCAATTTGTGCCTCAACCTTTGCTCAGTTTACCTCTATTAAATTTAATTTGTTGAAGGTTTTTCTTTTAACAAAAAATAAAATTTTCTGAAGTTGAATGGCTAGTAAGTGCCAAAGCTGAGATTTGAACCCAGGCAGTGGAAAGAAAGGAAAAGAAAAAAGAAGGAAGGAAGAAAACAAGTCGAGATGGAGAGAGGATGAAAGGGAGGAAAAGAAGGAAGGAAGGAGGAAAAGAAAGAAGAAAATGGAAGAAGAAAAAGAAAGAAAGAGAAGAAAGAAGAGAGAAAGAGAGGAAGAGAGAAAGAGAGAAAGAAAGAAGGAAAAGTGAGACCGGAATAATCCAGGGTGGTCACAGGAGAATAAAGAATTCCAGACAGCAGTTTCACATGACTAGCAGCTGTGGTCTAATGATGTTAACAGCAGCGAATCCATGCGGGTCTTCAACAACTCAATTATTGCCTCCTCAGAGGAAATAATTTGTCTCAGGGGCATAAGGCAGAGTGAGAGACTGAGGCAAGTTTTAGAGCAGGAGTGAAAGTTTATTAGAAAGTTTTAGAGCAGGAATGAAAGGAAGTCAAGTACTCTTGGAAGAGGGTTAAGTAGGTGACTTGAGAGATCCAAGGGTCCAGTTTGACCTTTGACTTGGGGTTTTATATGTTGGCATGCTTTTGGGGTTTTGTATCTCTCATAGCTTGATTCTTCCTTGGGGTGAGCTGTTCACATGTGCAGTGGCCCGACAGCACTTGGGAGGGGCGGCATGCACAAGGTGTTTACTGAAGTCACGCACATGCTCACATGAGGTGTTTTTCCCTTATTAGCCAAGAGTTCCTAGAGGAAGGTCATACACCAGTTAAACTCTGCCATTTTGCCTCTTAGTGTACATGCTTGAGCCCACTCACCCAACTCCTGAGACCTTATCAGGAAGCTGCTCATCGCCAGCTTCAGGTGTTTTATCTATTTGGGAGACTGCCTTTCCCTGGCACCAGCTGTGAGCAATTATTATTTTAGAGAGACAGTTTGACAATCACCTGACCATAAGCCGATGGTCACCTGACATTCCTAAGGTGGGCGGGGGTGCTCTTCTGCCCTGCTTATGTCGGTCTAGTTACCTACTTTAACAAGACCCTGAAAAACTGAGTGTGGATCAAGCTGGCTAAGATCAACTGGACCCAACATGTTGCTGGATTTGACCTAGGTTTCACCTAGGACCTTATTATATGCTCATTAACATACAAATCCCACACCCATTGGTGCCATGACAGTTCCAAGAACACCTGTAGTTAGTGTAAAAATGGGTAGCACCACAATTCTGAGAAATCTCCAACTTTTTCCGTGAATATTCCACGCTTCGGTTAAAGAAGCATGTAAAAGTAGCAACCCCCAACCATCTTGCACATGACTGCAAGATGTCTGCCCACTTTACAATAAATCTCTTTCACTATTTTCTGACTCATCCTTGAATTCCTTCTTGCGATGCTGCCAAGAACCTGGACACTGGCTGGGGTGGAGGTCCCACCGGCTTTTGGGGGCCTCCCCAAACCCACCAGTACCAACAGAAAGGAAAAAACTAAACAGTAAAATCCTATGAAATAAATGCTCAGGAAGAAAAAATGCAAAAAGGAACAAACCAGGATGGTTGAAAGTAAAAAGTGCAGAACTTCTGCCTTTTCTTATGGATTTGAGGGACTCATTTACACATTTTTGGTGCTAGTTCTTAATTGGGTTTATGAATTGCAAATACATTCTTCCACTCTGGCCTTGCCTTTTTACTGTCTTCATGATGTCCTTTGGCAAATATAAGTTTAGATTAGTTGCATTTTGTGTCCTACCTTTTGCTGATTTCAAGGTCATGAAAGATGTTCTCCTATGTTTTATTTTAAAAGCTTCATCTTACCTCTCACACTTAGATCTATACTCCATCTAGAACTGCTTTTGTGTGCATGGTATGAAATAGGGTAAAGATTCATTTTTTTTCCATGTGGATATTCAATTGATCCAGCCTCAGTTGCTAAAAAAATCATCCTGTCTCCACTGCATTATGGTGTTAACCTTCTCATTAATCAAATGACCTTATCTTTGCTGGTCTGTTTTTGGATTCTCCTCTCTATCAGTATCCTTTCACCAATCTACACTATATTAATTAGTATAACTTCAGGGGAAGGCATAATTTCAGCTAATGTAAATTCTCTCCTGTGTTTTTCCTCTTCAAGATTGCTTTGGCTATTCTTAACTCTGCATTTCTATAAAAATTTTAAGATCAGCTTGTCAACTTTCACACACACACAAATACCTTCCTGCATTTCACTTGACATTAACTGATTTGACAGATTGATCTGAGAATTGATATCTTTAAAATACTGAGTCATCCCATTTATGATGAATGTAGTATATATATTTCCATTTCTGTGGTCTTTAAAAGTTTCTCTCAACTTTGTTTTGTCATTTTCAGAATAGGAGTCTTGTATAATTGATTTTCTCGCATCCAGTGACCTTGCTAAGTTTACTTTTTAAATTCCAGTGGCTTATCTATAGATTCTTAAGGTTTTTCTCCATATATATAATTATATCACCTGCAAATATTATATAATTTTATTTTTCTTTTCAATTCTTATGCATGTCATTGCTCTTTCTTGCCTTGTCTTATCAGCTAAGACATCTAATACATGTTGAAAAGAAATGATATTCTTGTCTTTTTTCAGTTATCAGGGAAAAATTTTCAATAATTCATTAAATACCATGTTTAGTGATGATGTGCTATAGATACTATTTATCAGACTTTTGCCCCCATTACAGGATTTGAAGGAGAGTTGCTCAGAGAACATTAGCACAGAGTATGCAGCTCTTGAACCCAAAAGGGAAATTTATAATTTAAAATTTATAATTTATAATTTTACTCACAGTCTCCAGAGTTGCCCTTGGCTTTGTCTTGTTGATGATGATATCTCATCTGGGAGCTGGCTGGAGTGGAGGGCCCCTTCAGCTCAAGGCCTTTATTGGATTGGAGTTTGGCCTGGGGGACTTTTTGGCTCTTGGGACAGTCCTTTTTCTAATAGCAAGCTCCAATAGAAGGGGCAGGTCTCTTGAGACTTTTTCCCATTTAGCCCATTGGGGCAGTTTGCCTTCCAGTGGCCTAGATTCCCATACTGATTGGCAGTTCTCTGGAGGGTTGTCCTGAGGGCAACCCAAAGGGGAGGGTTGGGTGATGGGCTTGATAGTACCCTTTTATTCCTAATTTGGTAATAACTGATTAATGTTGAGTTATGTAGAATGCTTTGTTTGTGTCTACTGACACAATCATATATATTCTCTCCTTTTCCTGTTAATGTGGTCAATTATACTAATTAGTTTTTGAATTTTAAACACCTCTTGCATATCTGAAATAAGTACCTCTTGGTCATGATGCAGTTTCCTTTTTATCTATTACTAGATTTAATTTGCAAATATTTGTTTACCATTTTTTCACTGATATTCATAGACATAGTGGGCTGGCATTGTCTGCTCCTTTCCTGTATCAAGGTTATGCTGGCCTCATAAACTGACTTGAGAAGTTTTTTTCTTTATGCTGTTCTCTGAATAGAAGAGTTTTTAATAAGATTGTTGTTATTTTTCCTTACTTGTTTGAAATAATTAATTGGTGAAGCTATCTGAACCAGTTTTTGGTTTATTTAGTTTTTCTGTGGTAAAAGCTTTAATGATGGGTTCAATTTATTCAATAGCTATTGGAATGTTTAAAATTTCTCTTTTATCCATTTTGGTAGTTGTATTTTCTAAGGAATTTGTACATTACATTTAAATTTCAATTTTTATTTTTAAAATTTTGTTAATTATTTTATTTTCTTTTTAATCTGGGTATATGTAGACAGATACTTCCTATTTCATTGCTGACAATTTGTTTTTTAGTTTTCTTTCCCCTTAATTAGTCTTGTTGGGGGGATTATAAATTTCATTAATATTTACAAAAATACAACTTTGGCTTTGTTGTATGTTTACCTTTACTGTATGGCTCTGTTAAAAATTGTTTCGTTTTGCTTGTTTAATTTTGAAAAGTAATTATCACAAATTCTTTCCCCAAACTCTGATAAGAAATGTAAAATTCTCTTCTATATGGTAAAATACTTCAGGTAATCTATTAGTGTTTTTTTTTTTTTTTTGCCTTGGAAATTCTTCTCCTAGGCCTCTATGTACCACAGTATGGATCAGTTGACCATTAGAATTGCTGCCTACCCTTATTTTGGTAATTCCATTCCTTACTGTGACACTGTGAAATATATATTTGGTCTTTGATTCTGTTTCCTGGTAAACAACTCCTAAAATCTGTGGAAACTTCAAAATGATGTCTTTGTATCCCAGTGAGTTGATGATGGTTGGCAGCCCCTAGGTAGCTTTGGGATGAGGCTGGTCCCTGGAAAGGCCATGGCAGGTCTGATGGGAAGGAGAGGGTGGCCTTATGTGACTGAGCCCTCAGCCTGTGGTTTCTGAAGCTATCTCCAGGTAGATAGCATCAGGATTGAATTGAATTGAGGGATACCCAGATGTTGTCCCCTACAAAATTGATTGCTTGCTTGGTGGTGTGGGAAGAAACCCTCCCACATTTGGTCACAGAAGTCTTCTGCATTGATTGTTGTGGTGTGAGAGCCAAGGAAAAAACAGTTTGAGTTGGTTTTCCCACAGACACTCATCATCTTAGGAGTGCTCATCACACCTCTTCTATGTTGAACTCATTTTGGCTTGGATTCCACATATTTTACTTGTTTACTTATTCAAGTTCATAGGGACAGGAGGCAGGGAAATTCTAGGCAGAAAAGGGCAGGGTCCCTGTTGAAGCCCCACCCTCAAGCCTGGAACTGTGGCCCAAAGTGAGAACATGCATTCCTGTTTTCCCACTTGAATGTTGCCTTTTTCAAAACCACCCATGGCCCACTCTGCGCCCCCATCCTGTACCCATAAAAACCACATGCTTCACTGGCAGAGAGCAGAGAAGGCTAGAAGAGAAGAAGCAGCTGAATGTCAGAGAGAAGCAGCTCGACTTCAGAGGGATGGCTTGACTGCAACACTTTAGGGGAAGAATACCTTCCCACTGCATCCCCTTTCCAGCTCCCCTTCCCACTGAGAGCCACTTCCATTGCCAGTAAAATCCTCTGCATTCACCACGCTTCAATTCTTTTGTGTGACCTGAATTTTCCTGGACACTGAACAAGAGCACAGGTGCCACAAGTGCAGATGCTAAAGGCTTGTCACACCAGCCCTTGCTGGTGGAGAGTAATCACCTCATGCAAAAAAACAGAGGGCCCACAGAGTTGCCTAACACTTAAGCCATCCATGTACAGCAAAGCTAAAAGAGTGCACTGTAACACATGCCCTCTGGGGCTTTGGGGGCTGTGGGTACTCCCCCACTAAACACTACTGTGGGGCCTGATAGAGTTTTGCTCCTGCTAGCACCCAGATGCACTCATCCTGGCTCCTGCACCTGCTCATCTGCATGCTCCCCCTCCTGCAAGGGGTTGAGAGCTGCAGGATGAGTAAGCAAGGTACTCCTGTTGTGAGGCCAGCAAAGGGGTCAGGGAAGATTTCCTATTGCAATATTTGGAGAATATTTTCTGGTAGCTTCCTAAAAGTAGGGGACTTAAAGGTAATTTTTTTCTTCTTTTTCTTTTTTTTTCTTTTCTTTTTCTTTTTTTTTTGCGAGACAAGAGTCTTGCTCTGTCACCTAGGCTGGAGTGCATTGGTGCAATCTCAGCTCACTGCAGCCTCTGCCTCCTGGGTTCAAGTGATTCTCCTGCCTTAGTCTCCTGAGTAGCTGGGACTACAGGTGTGTGGCACCATGCCCAGCTAATTTTTGTATTTTTAATAGAGACGGAATTTCACCATGTTGGCCAGGATGGTCTTGATCTCCTGACCTCGTGATCCACCCACCTCGGCCTCCCAAAGTGCTGGGATTACAGGCGCAAACCACCACGCCCAGCTGAGGTGAAATTGTTTTGGAGTGAATTCATGCCTGAAAATATATTAATTCCACCCTCAGACTTAAAATAACATGAATATGTCTGTTAGTAGCCAAAAAGATAAAAGAAGTCTGAGTACACACTTTGGTGTTCCATTGACTTTGAGCAAGTAAACTTTAAGTAGCATAATTGACTGAAGTTAAAATACATGTGATACTGTTAGAAAACATTACAAAATATTTAATGGAAGAGGGTTTTGGCTACATATATAAAGGACTCCTATAAATCAATAGGAGAAAAAATGAACAAACCAAAAAAAAAAAAAAAAACAGAGACAGAAAAGACAGAAAAAGGACAAGTGTTTTTGATAAAAAACAAAAAATTATTTGCAAATTACTCAACATCTCTAATAAGCAAAGAAATACAAATGAAGCCAAAAACAAGATGTTTCATTCTTATAATTAGTAGAATCTTTATAAAAATTGACAATACCATACTTGCAAGGGTGTGTGGAAACAGGCATACACTTTCAGAAAGCAGTAGTAGAGTAACTGATAATTTTTTAAAGAGATCAAGCATTTAAGAAACTTTTTCCTACAGAAATACTCCCAGAATTTATACACATAAATGCATACAAAAATATCCATTGCAGTATTGTTTGTATTAACACACAAATAGAAATAATTAAAAAAATTATCACTAGGAAAATGTTTTAAAAAATGTAAGAACATTATTATAATGGACTACTAATATACCACAATTAAAAAAGGAAAAATTGAGAAATGAAAATGGAGAAAAAAGAAATATTATCAATATAAAAAGACATTTAAGATAATTAATATATATATAATTAAGTTGCAGAACTACCCAGGCTTTGAGAGTAGTTATCTTTTGGAGTGATATTCACTTTTCATGGTATTAGTTCCACAACATGTAATTTTATAAAACTATGCAACATTTGTGATCTGAAAAAAGTATATAGTGATAATCAAAACAACAACAAAAATGATTTCTAGGTTTTTAAAATTATTATTATTACTGTTCCTAGTATATCAATCACTCCTGAGAATATCTTTTCTTTTTCACTGCCTTATCTCAGGGTAAGTATGCATTCTCTTATTTGTTTTCTATGGAGTTGAGATAAAAACAGCTGGTTGTGTTCTCATTAGATATTTGAAGACAATTATATCATGTTTCTTCTTAAATATTTACTATCTCATTGATTCAAAGAAAGGTAACAAGAAAACATATTTTAAATAACTGTAAGAGTCAGCAAATTAACTTATTTCAGATATCAAATTATCTCTTTAATCTCATGTAACTCTCAAGGACTCGAATAAGAAATACTTTAAGCTGCGGTCTAACTTTCCACATTAATTAATTTTGTTCTTTGAGCAACATTGGCCCAAACCTAGCTGTAAGGGAAAACTGGGCAGAAAAGTCCCTTCCTCAGGAAAGAACCCCTTTAATCCTTTGAGAGCCGGAATTATAATATATACCTTGAAATGTATACTTCATAGATACTTTGAAAAATTATCAATAGCAAGTAAAAGGAACTTATATTATAAATCGTGTTTACTATATCTCAGTGTACAAACACAGTGTTACAGAGCTAGTGTGTGCACTTCCTAAAGGCCTTGTCCTGGTTGTTTCATTTTGGTAAAATTATCATATTTTTGGTATTTTTCCAGTAGACCGAGAAATCTGGTTGCATTGCCAATGTAGTCTTTTCTCCCCATTGTAAAAATCTGGTTATCCTTGTTCAGAAATAACTGAGGCTAGACTTCAAATTTTAATATTTATGAGGGCAGAAATGTAAAATGTGTCCTGTTGTGGAAGGAAACACATTCTCTTACTTGATTTTTCTCATGGGATCTAGGAAGCCCTTTTCTCTCCTTGTTTTCTCATCTAATTTGTACAGATACAAATTTCATCAATATTTAAACCTAAATATTAAAAGAAACAAAATTCCAAACACAAAGCCTTTGATGTGGGGTGTCTCTTTGTAGATCTGTGCTTGCCAGGCCTGCTGTCAGCGCTGTAACTTGACAAAACATCAATTCTGACCAGAAAGCCTTCAACTAAAATTCAACATAGGACTCTGGGGGATAGTGTGATACACATATGGGGAAGCAACTGGGAGGCCAACCATTCGAGAGTCTCTGTTCCAAACTGAGAAGATTCGTTTAGACTCCAGGTGCCCCTTTGAGGTCAAGAGAACTAATTCAGGTACACCCCACAGGCTAGCAGTTTAGTACCAGTTTCTAGATGACAGGAGATGAGTAGACAAGGAGCTGAGCAAGCTATGGGTGAAGTCCGGAATCCAATAAAAATGGGTAAGTTCCAAGGAAACAGGAAGTTCACAATTGCGCAGATTTCTTCTAATGCTCTCCTCCCAGGGCCTAATGCTATGGGAATCTCTGCTGTCGATGTCGGGTACAGTATGAAATGGAAGACATACAGACTCTGCCTTTGTGGTACTTCTGTACAAGCAGGAAAGAAAAAATTCTAAGGCACTGTGATTTAAAAAAAAAACAAACTACAGGGGCTATGGAGACCAAACGGGTAGACCTAGACTTGGCTGCAGGGTTAGAGGAAGTGTCTTAAGAAAAGTATTGTTTAAACTGAGATTGAAAGTAGGATTAATGCTGGTTCAGGAAAAAAGGGAACAGACACTCCAGGAAGAGAATGTTCTGGCGCTCCCCATATGGATAGGTAAGAGTTGTGGCTGGGAGCGGTGGCTCACGCCTGTAATCCCAGCACTTTGGGAGGCCGAGGTGGGCAGATCACGAGGTCAGGAGATCGAGACCATCCTGGCTAACACAGTGAAACCCCATCTCTAATAAAAATAGAAAAAATTAGCCGGAAGTGGTGGTGGGCGCCTGTAGTCCCAGCTACTCGGGAGGCTGAGGCAGGAGAATGGCGTGAACCCGGGAGGCGGAGCTTGCAGTGAGCAGAGAGAGCACCACTGCACTCCAGCCTGGGCGAAAGAGTGAGACTCTGTCTCAAAACAAAACAAAAGAAAACAAAACAAAAAAGAGTTGGTCCAAAGTCTCATGGAGCTGCAAATGCTCCATTGGTCTTGGTCATGCTATGCTTTTGTGTGTCTTCCTGGACAAACAGTTTACCCAAAAGGGCAGTGTGTCATGTCTTAGTCGCTGTGATACTTCCATCCCTTGGAACAGGGCCTGCATAATATGGGCCTTCAATAGATGTTTCCTAAGTGAATATATAAAATGTTTCTATTTATCGAGATGGCTATAAGAATGTTCATTTTCTCCCTGGTACTAGAACTAAATTTTGATAAAGTGTCCATTAAAAACAATAGAGTCTCAACTTTGTTCTCATGATCTTTATTGGTAGGTATTCCGAAGGTGTGATTAGTGATGAAGACACATTAGGCAGTATAATTTTTCTATTCATTTTTCATCTTTTCATTATTGCAAATTAGACCTATAGTACAGTATCTATGAACAAGATATATTAATTTAAAATAAATTATCATTTTGAATTGTTATAGACATTTCAGAGAAACATTTTAAAAATAGAAATGTAAAACAATACAAAATCCATTAAAAATAGGTTTTTATTTATTGATCATTGTTTCAACATTTTCTTAATTTAATTTAGGCCTACATAGAGAGCAACCTTTTGACAGTTCTGTGAATTAATGATAAAAATCCAAAAGTCTTGAGGAAGTACACACACACACACACACACACACAAACACACACACAATACCTACATACACACAGTTACATGCATACCCCCCGATATGTATGTATGTATGTATGTACATATATTTCTAGTACTTTGGGGTCTCAGAGCTTTATGGAGTAAAAACTTTTAAAGAAATTCTCTGGCAGTAGAAAACTAATTACTTATACATTTATCAGAAAAAAAGGATTACATGTTTTAATAGTCTTTTGACTATGTTCCCTTTCCTCTGAGCTGAAATAAATGACAACATATATGATTTAAATCACTAGTCCAAATATAAACCTTATGTTGGTCTTTGTTTTTTTGAGCATAATATTCTTGACAGCTTTTAAGAGAACCCCTCCCCGAAAATCCAATTTGGATTTTCTCCAAATTTCTCCCATTTTTACCTTAAACCAAAAATATATTTAAGCAGAATATAGCAAGATTTTGAATGGTCTCTTGGTTTCTTACAAATGACGTGGCTTTCAGAAATCATCTTTGCTTTTTTATTTTGAAATCCGCATCCCAACAGCTTCTATTTTTAATTCTACAAGAGAGGGAGGGTTTTTAGTGTACAGAGATTACTCTGGAGGTTAAAGTAAACCAGACATTAAAACAGTTTCTAATTAGATTTGTGTAAATACTAGTTGATTTGCATAAGGCTTTGTCGTGGTCTTCTTTATTTTTGAATTCCCAGGGCTGAGGACTCTATCTAGCACATAGTAGATGCTCACTACATTTTTGTTAAGTAAATAAAAGCATGAACTGTGAATACAAAAATCCGTTAGAATCCCTGCATTATTGGAATTTTATATAGTTCAATTATCATGTTATTTGAGATTCTCAGATAAGAGGTTCTATAAAGACATATAATCAATAATGGTAACAAGCCTTATTATTTGGAAGTGACAACATATCTGCTGTTCCTTTAATGACTCATATGCCACAGTACATAATGTTTCTTTTTGATAATGAAACATTGCGTCTTCTAGACAGTATGCTAGACATGATGATTTAAATGGCTGAGTTTAAAAATAACTTCCAAGCAGCCTCACTAAATGAACATACTGTACAATGAGGGCTAAGTGAAATGTTTGGTTTTCAGGTTGAAATTATTGGTAGCAAGCCTAACCTATTTTTATTGTGTGTAAGGCATTTATATGCTTAAAATTTCACTAACTGCCTTAAAACAAAAGTTTTATTATAATAAAGTAATTAGGATAAATGGCTGTTCCTTATTTGTTTTCTTATTTTAAAATATGTGATATTTAATCCTGCAGCCAGACTGGATAAAAACTGTTGGCTTTTGGTAAGCAAAAAATTGGATCCAAGGGAAAGCACCAGATACTATACTCAAATAATGTTTATTCACTTGAGTAGCACACAACTATACATAAGTGTGTGTATATATGTGTTTAGGAATTGTGTTTAGGAATGGCAAATTTCCTCCCCCTTCCCCTTCTTTGTTGACAATGCACTAGTGTCTTGTGAGTATATATATATTCCAAGGGAAAACACTAAATGCATACATATGTGTCGATGTACATATATGTGTATATATGTACCCCCATATATACACACACACTTATATATAGTTGTGTGCTATTGGAGTGAATAAACGTTATTTGAGTATGATATTTGGAAGGAAATTTGCGATTTTTAAACACTCTCTATACTGATTTTATCTCATAAAAATCCTCAAAACAGTTTTGTAAAGTGGGTGTTATTATCGGTGTTTGGGAGACAAAGAGACTAAAGTTACGGGAGTTTAAGTGACCTGTCCTTCACATAGCTGGGAAGCAGAGGAGCCAAAATTCAACTCTGAAGACAGCTCTGTTTCTCCCCTCCAATGTCCTGTCCACACCACCTGGCACTGAGGCAGATTCTTGCTCCATTCATACACAACAGTTGCATAAAAGGAATCCTGCTACAGCTAATGCTGTGCCCAAACAGATGGAAAAACTCCAGTTTCAGCCCGACCAACAAACTCTGTAGGACCCATCATTGCTCTGTGGAATATTGTAAAATATTGTAAAAAAAGGAACCCACCTTTTCCCAAGACAGTTCGGCTCCCACCTGTGGGAAGAATGAAACAATAGTGGCACAGATGAGTTCACTGCATTTCAGGACTGTCTTGTCCTCACCACTCGACAAACAGCATAAAACTAATTTTCTCACCTCGGCACACAAGTATCATCATCATGTACACAGACAACAGCTCATCAGGTGCATTTTCTCAGATGTGATGTCATGGAAATGCTGCCAGGCAAACCATCCTGAGCCCGACTAACAGGTAAATTAGAAAGACTGATCCAAATCAAATGTAAAATGGGCTTGTATTGCACATTGACTAGGAGAAGACTCATTTTGCTCCATGCCTATATTTCTAAGTTTCAGTGTCCACTGCTAATGTATCCAAATGCCAAAGGGTATGCCAAGATCTAACTTCTTCTCACATCAAAACAGCTACCTTGCATTGAGACAACACTTCATCATTTTTTTTTTTTCTTTGAGACTGAGTCTCGCTCTGTCGCCCAGGCTGGAGTGCAGTGGCTGGATCTCGGCTCACTGCAAGCTCCGCCTCCTGGGTTCACGCCATTCTCCTGCCTCAGCCTCCCGAGTAGCTGAGAATACAGGCGCCCGCCACCATGCCCGGCTAATTTTTTGTATTTTTTAGTAGAGACAGGGTTTCACTGTGTTAGCCAGGATGGTCTCGATCTCCTGACCTCGTGATCTGCCCACCTCAGCCTCCCAAAGTGCTGGGATTACAGGCGTGAGCCACTGCGCCCAGCCAACCCTTCATCATTTATAACATATACTAGCATACCTGTGTATACTTTGAAATATAACAGCCCAGTCTGAAAGCTATGTGGTGAGTGTATTTGGATCTCTTCCTTAGCTAATCCATCCCTCTTATTCCACAGAATTTCAAGTGTGAAATTTATTCTTTTTTCTCACATTCCAAACAACTCCTGATGACTGTGAAAAATGTTGAATCATTGGAATGGGATAGAAGTAAACAAAAATAATTCCCTGCATCAAAGGTACATCACAAATATGTATTTCCTCAGATGGAAGGAAACTGGAAAACAGCCACAATCTGGGTGCCTATAATCCCAGCTACTCAGGAGGCTGAGGCAGGAGAATGGCTTGAACCCAGTAGGCAGAGGTTGCAGTAAGCCAGACGGCGCGACAGGCCTGGGCGACAGAGCAAGACTCTGTCTCAACACACACACACACACACACACACACACACACACACACACACACACACACAGAAAAAGAAAAGAAAAAAGAAAACAACCACAACCCTAATGCAAAACCAGATATGATATTCAACTTAGTTTGTTCTCCTTCACTTCCTGAAGTTATCTCTCCATTCCTCCCTCTACTTCATCAGTTTCTTACACATGCAACAGGTTTTGTATTTCATTATCCAGATGAAAGTCAAGATCCCCTAGGCATATTGATATTAAGGCAATAAAGAAAATGATAACAGGTATGATAATATTAGGCATAAAGATGTTTGGTTTTGCTTTTGTTTGCAACTTCAGGGCTATGTTGAATAATGGCATTTTGAAGGTACTAAACAATGAGTCTTTGTCTTCAACTTGGCTCCCAACTAGATGAGTAAATATGTCTCCTTACCACACTGCACAACAGAAAGCAAATAAAACAGAGGGGCTTAGACATAGGAGTCTGGGAGTAGAACATTATGACTATAGGCATCTTGGGGAGCCTGTTGGAGGGCATTGAATTCCCTATCAATGGATAAATGTCACTTAGAATGAACCTTCTACCAACACATCAACAGAGACTGAAAACCATGTACAAAAAGTAATACGGAATAATGCAAAGAAACTAAGAAACTACCAGCCTCAGCACAGGTTATGAGAAACACACATGCAAAACCAGGAGAATCTCAATAAAGAATCCATAAAATCTCAATAAAGCATCCATAAAAGGCTGGCTGCAGTAGCTCATATCTATAATCCCAGCACTTTGGGAGGCCTAGGCAGGTAGATCGCTTGAGGCCAGGAGTTCGAGACCAGCCTGGCCAACATGGTGAAACCTCGTCTCTAATAAAAACACAAAAAATTAACCAGGTGTGGTGGCACGTGCCTGTAATCCCAGCTACTCAGGAGGCTGAGGCAGGAGAATCGCTTGAACCCAGGAGGCAGAGGTTGCAGTGAGCCAAGATCGCACCACTGCACTTCAGCCTGGAGACACCAGTCTTTGAGACTCTGAAAAACAAAAAGAAAAGAAAAGGAAAACAAAAGAAAAAACAAATCCATAGTAAATGAGAACAGAGCCTTTTTTTTTTATCCATTTAGTTAAGCGTTGTCATCAGTTTCTAAGTAAGGAAAAACTGGTAGTTTATTTATTGAGGTTTTTTAGAACCTCATGTGCATAGACTTTACATTTTTATTTATTTATTTATTTTTTTGAGATGGAGCCTGGCTCTGTCGCCAAGCTGGAGTGCTGTGGCACGATCTCGGCTCACTGCAACCTCTGACTCCCTGGTTCAAGTGACTCTCCTGCCTCAGCCTCCTGAGTAGCTAGGATTACAGGCACACACTACCACGCCCAGCTAGTTTTTGTATTTTTAGTAGAGATGGGGTTTCACCATGTTGGCCAGGATGGTCTCGATCTCCTGACCTCGTGATCTGCCCACCTTGGCCTCCCAAAGTGCTGGGATTATAGGCGTGAGCCACCGCATCTGGCTGAATTTGTCATTTTTTATGTACATATAATAATGTTCTAGTCTGTTTGTAATGTGTATTCATGTCATTCTAAACAATTTCTTTTGTATTCGTGAGATTCTGAAGTAAAGCCCCTCCTGATATTTTATATTGGTACCTCTAGAAGAGACTCTGAAAGGCTATTTCTGTTGAACTTCAGGGATCCAGAGCAGGTGCCTATAAGTAGGTAAGCAGCCCCGCTTACCTTAATCTTGTGGATGTGCTGCCTGCTGCTTCAAGGTATTGAGTCTTTCAAACTTTTTGTAAATCTGCTGTTGTGTAGTATTGTAAGAGCATGTAATCATAGAATTTTTTATCCTATTTTTTCTGGTATTTAAATAATCTAGCCTCTTGATCTGCTTCCGGGAGGCATAGGAATTATCTCACACATTTTAGAGAAGGGCGCATAGGCAGACAGAAGTAAAATGACTTGCTTAGAGGCACAGTGAATTATCTGGAAAATGAAAAACTGATATCGGATGTCCTTCCCCTCAGGGCTAATTCTCTATTGCACTCCCTTCCTGAGCAAATATACCCGAATCAAATCATCTCTCATTCTTGCCTTAACAACATCTACTTATGTAAGCCCTGCAAATTCAGAATCCCGACAAGAAAAAGGACAGAGCA